>NC_000024.10:15940958-16550505 GCF_000001405.40 Homo sapiens
AATGATTATTGACCTCATACCCAAAGCCAGTTTATAATGAACAAACTTGAGGTAGACTAATTCAACTAGGAACACAAAATTGATCCCTGTATAGATAGAAATGATTATTGGAAATTCTGGACAATAAACTAAGATTTGGAGTAAAAATGACAGGTCTAAATATTGGAAATGGTAAGTAAAAATTAGATTTATTTGCAGATACTCTGACTGCTGTAAAAGCATGATGATCTGTTTTTGAAGATTGATAGAACTGATTTGTTCTAAAATATTTTAATACCTTTTGTATATGCCAGATATAAGTAATACAGTAAGAAATAAAAATATTTAAGTGGTCTTAAAGTAATAAAATATGGATTGTAAAATATGTTGAGATGTACTCTCTACAGGGGACAAATTTCTATCAGCCCATATACATATACATATATACATATATGGGCTAAATTTCTGCATTAAGAAAAGCAATGTGTCTTCATTTTGTTTTATTTTTAAATTAAATTTTAAGTTATGGAATACATGTGTAGGATGTGCAGGTTTGTTTCATAGGTAAACATGTGTCATGGTGGTTTGCTTCAACTGTCCTTCTGTCACCTAGGTATTCAGCCCCATATTCATTAGCGATTTATCTGGATGTTCTCCCTCCCCCAAACCCCTCTGACAGGCACCATTGTGTATTGTTCCCCTCTATGTGTCCATGTGTTCTCATTCTTCAACTTCCACTTATAAATGAAAACATGCAGTGTTTAATTTTCTGTTCCTGTGTTAGTTTGCCAAGGATAATTGATTCCAGCTCCATCCATGTCCCTGCAAAGGACAAGATCTAGTTCCTTGTTATGGCTGCATAGTATTCCATAGTGTATATGTACCACATCTTCTTTATCCAGTCTATATTTGATGAGCATTTGGATTGGTTCTATGTCTTTGCTATTATGAAGAATTCTGCAATGAACATACATACATGCATGTATCTTTGTAACAGAATAATCTACATTATTTGAGTATATATCCAGTATTGGGACTGCTGCATCAAAAGGTGTTTCTGGTCCTAGGTCTTTCAGGAATCAGCACACTGTCTACCACAATGTTTGAACAAATTTACATTCCCACCAACAGCGTAAAATCATTCCTATTTCTCCACAGCCTTGCCAGCATCTGTTGTTTCTTGAGTTTTTTTTTTTTTATATCTATATGTATATATGTACTTTAACTTCTAGGGTACATGTACACAACGTGCAGGTTTGTTACATATGTATTCCTGTGTCATGTTGGTGTGCACCCATTAACTCGTCATTTACATTAGGCATATCTCCTAATGTTATCCCTCCTCACTCCCCCGCACCCCATGACAGGCCCCAGTGTGTGATGTTCCCCTTCCTGTGTCCAAGAGTTCTCATTGTTCAATTCCCACCTATGAGTGAGAACATGTGGTGTTTGGCTTTTTGTCCTTGCGATAGTTTGCTGAGAATGATGGTTTCCAGCTTCATCCATGTCCCTAAAAAGGACATGAACTCATCCTTTTTTATGGCTGTGTAGTATTCCATGGTGTGTATATGCCACATTTTCTTAATCCATTCTATCATTGATCGACATTTGGGTTCGTTCCAAGTATTGGCTATTGTGAATAGTGCCACAGTGAATATAAGTGTGCATGTGTCTTTATAGCAGCATGAATTATAATCAAATTCTTCCATTTGTTTGTATCCTCTTTTATTTTGTTGAGCAGTGGTTTGTAGTTCTCCTTAAAGAGGTCCTTCACATCCCTTCTAAGTTGGATTCCTAGGTATTTTATTATCTTTGAGCAATTGTGAATGGGATGTCACACATGATTTGGCTCTCTGTTTGTCTGTTATTGCTGTATAAGAATGCTTGTGATTTTTGCACATTGATTTTGTATTCTGAGACTTTGCTGAAGTTACTTAACAGCTTAAGGAGAGGAGTTTTCTAAATATACAATCATGTCATCTGCAAAGAGGGACAATTTGACTTCCTCTTTCCTAATTGAATACCCTTTATTTCCTTCTCCTGTCTGACTGCCCTGGGCAGAACTTCCAACACTATGTTGAATAAGAGTTGTGAGGGAGGGCATCCCTGTCTTGTGCCAGTTTTCAAAGGGAATGCTTCCAGTGTTTACCCATTCAGTATAATATTGGCTGTGGATTTGTCATAGATAGCTATTATTATTTTGAGATACGTTCCACCAATACCTAATTTATTGAGAGTTTTTAGCATGAAGGGCTGTTGAAATTTGTCAAAGGCCTTTTCTGCATCTATTGAGATAATCCTGTGGTTTTTGTTTTTGGTTCTGTTTATATGCTGGATTACATTTATTGCTTTGTGTATGTTGAACCAGCCTTGCATCACAGGTATGAAGCCCACTTGATCATGGTGGATAAGATTTTGATGTACTACTGGATTCAGTTTGCCAGTATTTTATTGAGGATTTTTACATCAATGTTCATCATGGATATTGGTCTAAAATTCTCTTTTTGTGTTGTGTCTCTTCCAGGCTTTGGTATCAAGATGATGCTGGCCTCATAAAATGAGTTAGGGAGGATTCCCTCTTTTTCTATTGATTGCAATAGTTTCAGAAGAAATGGTACCAGTTCCTCCTTGTACCTCTGGTAGAATTTGGCTGTGAATCTGTCTGGTCCTGGACTTTTTTTGGTTGGTAGGCTATTAATTATTGTCTCAATTTCAGAACCTGATATTGTTCTATTTAGGGATTCAAATTCTTCCTGGTTTAGTCTTGGGAAGGTATATGTGTCCAGGAATTTATCCATTTCTTCTAGATTTTCTAGTTTATTTGCATAGAGCTGTTTACCATATTCTCTGATGGTAGTTTTTATTTCTGTGGGATCAGTGGTGATATCCCCTTTATCATTTTTATTGCATCTATTTGATTCTTCTCTTTTTTCTTCTTTATTAGTCTTGCTGGTGGTCTATCAATTTTGTAGATCTTTTCAAAAAAACCAGCCCCTGGATTAATTGATTTTTTGAAAGGCTTTTTGTGTTTCTATCTCCTTCATTTCTGCTATGATCTTAGGTCTTGCCTTCTGCTACCTTTTGAATGTGTTTGCTCTTGCTTCTCTAGTTCTTTTAATTGTGATGTTAGGGTGTCAATTTCAGATCTTTCCTGCTTTTTCCTGTGGGCATTTAGTGGTATAAGTTTCCCTCTACACACTGCTTTGAATGTATCCCAGATACTGTGGTATGTTGTGTCTTTTTTCTAATTGGTTTCAAAGAACATCTTTATTTCTGCCTTAATTTCATTATGTACTCAGTAGTCATTCAGGAGCAGGTTGTTTCAGTTTCCATGTGGTTGAGCAGTTTTGAGTGAGTTTCTTAATCCTGAGTTCTAGTTTGATTGCACTGTGGTCTGAGAGACAGTTTGTTATAATTTCTGTTCTTTTACATTTGCTAAGGAGTGTTTTACTTCCAACTATGTGGTCAATTTTGGAATAAGTGTGATGTGGTGCTGAGAAGAATGTATATTCTGTTGATATGGGGTGGAGAGTTCTGTAGATGTCTATTAAGTCTACTTGGTACAGAGCTGAGTTCAATTCTTGGATATGCTTGTTAACTTTCTGCCACATTGATCTGTCTAATGTTGACAGTGGGGTGTTAAAGACTCCCATTATTATTGTGTGAGAGTCTAAGTCTCTTTGTATGTCTCTCAGGACTTCCTTTATGAATCTGGCTCCTCCTGTGTTGGGTGCATATATATTTAGGATAGTTAGCTCTTCTTGTTGAATTGATCCCTTTGCTATTATGTAATGGCCTTCTTTGTCTCTTTTGATCTTTGTTGGTTTAAATCCTGTATTGTCAGAGACTAGGATTACAACCCCTGCCTTTTATTGTTTTCCATTTGCTTGGTAGATTTTCCTCCTTCCCTTTATTTTGAGCCTATGTGTGTCTCTGCACATGAGATGGATCTCTGGAATACAGCACACTGATGGGTCTTGACTCTTTATCCAATTTGCCAGTCTGTGTCTTTTAATTGGAGCATTTAGCCCATTTGCAATTTGCTATGTGTGAATTTGATCCTGTCATTATGATGTTAGCTGGTTATTTTGCTCGATAGTTGATGCAGTTTCTTCCTAGCATCAATGGTCTATACAATTTGGCATGTTTTTGTGGTGACTGGTACTGGTTTTTCCTTTCCATGTTCAGTGCTTCCTTCAGGAGCTCTTGTAGGGCAGGACTGGTGGTGAAAAAAATCTCTCAGCATTTGCTTGTCTGTAAGTTTTTTTTTTTTCTCCTTCACTTTTGAAGCTTAGTTTGGCTGGATATGAAATTCTGGGTTGAAAATCCTTTTCTTTAAGAATGTTGAACATTGGCCACCACTCTCTTCTAGCTTGTAGAGTTTCTGCCGAGAGATCTGCTGTTAATCTGATGGACTTCCCTTTGTGAGTAACCCGACCTTTCTCTCTTACTGCCCTTAACATTTTTTACTTCATTTCAATTTTGGTGAATCTGACAATTATGTGTCTTGGAGTTGCTCTTCTCGAGCAGTATGTTTGTGGCATTCTCTGTATTTCCTGACTTTGAATGTTGTCCTGCCTTGTTAGATTGGGGAAGTTCTCCTGGATAATATCCTGCAGAGTGTTTTCCAACTTGGTTCCAATCTCCCTGTCACTTTCAGGTACACCAATCAGACATAGATTTGGTCTTTGCACATAGTCCCACATTTCTTGGAGGCTTTATTCATTTCTTTTTACTCTTTTTTCTCTAAACTTCTCACTTCATTTCATTCATTTGATCTTCAATCACTGCTACCCTTTTTTCCAGTTGATCAAATCTGCTACTGAAGTTTGTGCATTTGTCACATAGTTCTTTACCATGGTTTTGAGTTCCATCAGGTCATTTAAGGACTTCTCTACACTGTTTATTCTAGTTAGCCATTTGTCTCATCTTTTTTCAAGGTTTTTAGCTTCTTTGCAGAGGGTTCAAACTTCCTCTGTTAGCTTGGAGAAGTTTGATCATCTGAAGCCTTCTATCAACTCGTCAAAGTCATTCTCTGTCCAGCTTTGTTCCATTGCTGGTGAGGAGCTGCATTCCTTTGGAGAGGGAGAGGCACTCTGATTTTTAGAATTATCAGCTTTTCTGCTATGTTTTTTCTCCATGTTTATGGTTTTATCTACCTTCGGTCTTTGAGGATGGTGACGTGTGGCTGGGGTTTTTGTGTGGATGTCCTTTCTGTTTGTTAGTTTTCCTTCTAACAGTCAGGACCCTCAGCTGCAGGTCTGTTGGAGTTTGCTGGAGGTCCACTCCAGGCCCTGTTTTCCTGGGTAGCAGCAGCGGAGGCTGCAGAACAGCAAATATTTCTGAACAGCAAATGTTCCTGCCTGATCATTCCTCTGGAAGCTTCATCTCAGAGGGGTACCCGGCTATGTGAGGTATTAGTCTGCACCTACTGAGGGATGGCCCCCAGTTAGTCTACTTGGGGGTCAGGGAGCCACTTAAGGAGGCAGTCTGATAGTTCTCAGATCTCAAACTGCATTCTGGGAGAACCAATACTCTCTTCAAATCTGTCAGACAGGGACATTTAAGTCTGCAGATGTTTCTTCTGCCTTTTATCCGGCTATGCCCTGTCCCCAGAGGTGGAGTCTACAGAGGCAGGCAGGCCCCCTTGAGCTGTGGTGGGCTCCACCAATTTCGAGCTTCCTGGCCATTTTGTTTACCTACTCAAGCTTCAGCAATGGTGGGCATCCCTCCCCCAGCCTTGCTGCTGCCTTGCGGTTTGATCTCAGACTGCTGTGCTAGCAATGAGTGAGGCTCTGTGGGCATGGGACCCTCCAAGCCATGTGCAGGATATAATCTCCTGGTGTGCCATTTTCTAAGACTGCTGGAAAACTGCAGTATTAGGGTGGTAGTGACCCAATTTTCCAGGTGCCATCTGTCACAGCTTCCCTTGGCTAGGAAAGGGAATTCCCTGACCCTTTGTGATTCCCAGGTGAAGTGATGCCTTGCCCTGATTTAGCTCACACTCGCTGGGCTGCACCCACTGTCCTGCACCCACTGTCTGACAAGGCCCCATGAGATGAACCCAGTACTTCAATTGGAAATGCAGAAATCACTGGTCTTCTGCGTCACTCATGCTAGGAGCTGTAGATTGGAGCTGTTCCTATTCAGCCATCTTGGAACCACCCTCTCTTTCCTGAGTTTTTAATGATTGCAATTCTGACTGGCATGAGATGGTATCTCATTGTGGTTTTGATTTTCATTTACCTAATGATCAGTGATGTTGAGCATTTTTTCATGTACTTTTTGGCCACATAAATGTCTTCTTTTGAGAACTGTCTGTTCATGTCCTTTAATCAAATTTTAATGCAGTTGTTTGTTTTCTTCTCGTGAATTTGATTAAGTTTCTTGTAGATTCTGGATATAAGATCTTTGTCAGATGAATAGGTTGCAAAAGTTTTCTCCCATTACATAGGTTGTCTGTTCAATCTGATAATAGTTTCTTTTGTTGTGAAGAAGCTCTTTAGTTTAATTACATCCCATTTGGTCAATGTTTGCTTGGGTTGCAATTGCTTTTGAGGTTTTTATCATAAAATATTTGCCCATGCCTATGTCTTAAACAGTATTGCCTAGCTTTTTATAGTTTTGGGCTTTACATTGAGGTCTTTAATCCATCTTGATTTGATTTTTGCATAAGATATAAGGAAGCAGTCTAGTTTCAATCTTCTGCATATGACTAGTCAGTTTTCCCAGCACCATTTGCTTGTTTTTGTCAGGTTGGTTTAAAATCAATTGGTTGTAAATGTTTTGTCTTATTTCTGAGATCTCTATTCTGTTCCACTGGTCTATAAATTACTTTGGGCTGTATGACCATTACCATGATATTGATTCGTCCTACCTATGGGCATGAAATATTTATGTCCTTTCTGATTTCCTTGTAGTTCTCCTTGAAGAGGTCCTTCACTTCCCTTGGTAGCTGTATTTCTAGATATTTTACTATTTTCTTAGCAATTGTGAATGGGAGTTCATTCATGATTTGGCTCTCTTCCTGTCTATTTTTGGTGTGTAGAAATGCTAGTCATTTTTGCACACTGATTTTGTATCCTGAGAATTTGCTGAAGTTTCTTATCAGCTTAAGAAGCTTTTTGCCTGAGACAGTGGAGTTTTCTAGATATGGGATCATGTCCTCTTCAAACAGAGACAATTTTACCTCCTCTCTTCCTGTTTGAATAGCCTTTTTTTTTTTCTCTTGCCTGATTGACCTGGACAGAACTTCCAATACTATGTTGAATACAAGTGGCGAGGGAAGGTGTCCTTTTCTATGACATTAATAGACTAGATCGTCTTCCCCTCTGAGTCTATAGGCCAGCTAAAATATGAATATAAATAAATAATATAACAATAAATAAATATTCTATATATAACACACACACGCGTGTGCACACACACACATATATATGCATATGTATATATATGTACATGTGTATATATATGTACATATATATGTACATATATATATGTACATATATATGTACATATATATATGTACATATATATGTACATATATATATGTACATATATATATATGTATGTGCATATATATATATATGTAGAGAGAGACAGATTGAGAGAGAGAGAGAGAGAGACAGCCATGGGGAACTATTAAGTTTTTGTGTGGGGAAATGACATGATCCGATTTTTGTTTCAGAAAATTCTCTCTGACTCTTTAGAAAAAACTCTGACTGCAGAGACTAGAACACATTATAGCTGATGTGTCCTAGAGCCAGAAAGGCCAAAAAGGAGGAAGTGTTTGCTGTAAAGAGGAAAATTTTTTAAAAATTCTACATCCTAATTCTGAAAAATGAGGACATATGTTTTTAGTTAAATCCCTCTGATGTCCTAGGAGCCTTAAAAAGTTCAAGGAACATCTAGGATGGCTATGGGCTCCTAGGAAATGTTCTTTCTCGATGATCTTTATATATGGAAATACATGTTTCCTTCTGCAAGTTCATGAGGGAGGCTCTATGCCAGTCTAGGGCATGTCTACGTGACTCCCAGAAGCAAGTGGTAGAACGACCCTCATTTTGAGTTCTGAAATTCCTGCTCTTGCAATCAGTGCTCGACTCAGAGGCCAGGGTATTTCTCTAAAAATATAAACCATAGCATGCTCTCTGCTGCTAAGCCTATTGATGTTTGACCAGGTCCTTGCCCACTCACTGCCTGGACAAAGGTGAACGTTGAGACAGAGGTAAAGTAAGAATTCAATTACTGCAGGCAACTGAGCAAGGAAGAAAGGAGATATTTCTCAAAGCCACCTCCTTGAAACTTCAGAGGCTGGGGTTTTTAAGTTGATTTGGCAAGCAGAGGTATGAGGAGGAGGGTGCTGCTGATTGGTCTGAGATGAATTCAGAGGGGTGTTGACTGTCTTTATGCACTGAATCAATTCCTGGGAAGAGAGGAAGTCACAACACTAGTCAGTTCCTTGGTTGGGTTTACAGGCCACTGGTCTGGTTGATGTCAGTTGACCAATTTGCAAGACAGGTCTAAAAATATCTCAAAGGCCAGTTTTAGGTTTACAATACCTCTTGTTACTGCAAGTTACTGTGGAAGGCAAGCTGGGAAACAGTGACAGGTTATCGTTCACTCTGCCTGGAATATAGCAGAAAAGTTTTCAGGGGTGATAGTTCCAGTAATCAAAGCTGCCTGAGACCCCTTTGGCAAGCTAAAATTCTGGAAGCTATTAAATAGTTCTGCAAGATCTAAGAATCATTGTTCTTTAAAACAAAACAAAAAAAAATGTCCATTAATCTTGCAAGCAGCCTGCCCAGGGGCTAGGACAGCAAGACAATCAATTATTGGTGACTACCATTTATTAAATTACTATGAACAATCAATCATACATGGAGGAGGAAAATATCAGAGAGAAAGGAAAATATGTTGCTGAAAATCATGCACCTACCATAATTTTAATTTTGTGGTCTTTTAATTCCGTGAAGGCAGTTTCAGACCTCTCCAACAATGTGCAGCTATTTGTAAAATACAATGGAAACACTTAGCCCTGGTTTATGTAACTCTATTTTTTGACCTGATTGTCTTATCCTTTACACTGTCTTTGTCCACTATAAAAGCTGACTTCAGAAACTTCATGGAAATGTTTTGTTATGAAAAAATTATGCATGGATTTACATTTTTGTTGTTTTTTTCACAAAGATAAACTCTTACTAGCTTGTAATAACATGTGTGAACAGAGTCAAGTTTGAGGCTTTAAGAAAGACAAGACATCAGTTTGAAAAGAGCCCCTATCAGAACAATATGCATTCCACTACAATTAAAGAAAGAACAAACATCAAATTTATGGTGAGGTTTGGGTGGAAGAAGGGTGAAATCATGGATGTTTTATGAAAGATTTATCAGGAAAATGCAGCAAAGAAACCAGCAGTTTACAAATGGACAACTCATTTTAAGAAGGGATAAGATAATGTTGAAGATAAAGCTTGCAGTGTAAGATCATCCACATAAATTTGAAAGGAAACATTAATCTTGAATGTGCCCTAATTAAAAAGGACCCGATGATTAAAAACAGAAACAATAGCCAACACCATAGACATCTCAACTGACTCAGCTTACACAATTCTAACTGAAAAATTAAAGTTGAGCAAACTTTCCAGAAGATGGGTGCCAAAATTGTTGCATATGGATCAGCTGAAGACAAGAGCAGAGCTTTCCATGGAAATTTTAAACATGTGACATTAAGTTTCTGAAGCATTTGTCTGAAGAATCATTACAGGAGAGAAAACATAGCTTTACTAGTACCATCCTGAAGGCAAAACACAATCAGAGCAATGGCTATGAAGAGATGGAAAGGGTTCCATCAACGCAAAAATGGATGAGACAAGAACAAAGATCGTGGCAACAGTTTTTTTGAATGATCAAGGCATTTTACTTGTAGACATTTTGGAAGGACAAAGGACAATAACATCTGCTTATTATGGAAGTATTTGAGAAAATTAGCCAAAGATTTAGCAGAAAGATGCCCAAGAAAACTTCACCAGAGAGCCCTCCTCCACCACTGCAATGCTTCTATACAGAGCTCAGTCCTGCAGACCCTGACTCAGTGATGAATGAATAATGTACACCCATACAGATATTATGCCTGTCAGTCTGGCTGAGGGTCCAGGCTACTTACAGACTGCAAGGCGTGTGCTGTCAGCCATAGACCCCGACTTGCTGGCCTTCTGACATTTATTCAGTACACATTAAATGATGAAAGTCTCCAGTAAATACCATTAGAGGGTAATCATCCTGACCACCTTACTCACCCCTCGCTCCAAGATTGCTATCCTGCCCACAAGTGATCAAAGGTTAGTTTTAGAACCACATGAGTAACAAGCTATTTAGATAAACTACTCTATATTCCTATGTTTATTCCCCTTGCTGTAGCTCAAAGAGGATTAGGCTGCCCTCAGCCATAACTATCGTGAAGCTTTTGCAAAACCTTTTGGCCTTCTAAGAAGGTTTGTGTTTTAATTTATAGTTTTCCCCATCATTCTGACTGAACCCCTACACTTCTACTCATTCCTCTCATGAAACGAGGGAAATTCTGTAAGAGTTTCAATGAGAAATAATTAGGCATCCATCTTACCATCTGATCTGGTTCCTTTTGACTTCTATTTTGTCAAAGGACACCGATTTTTCTTCAGTTAATTATGTAAAAAATATGACATTGACATGGGCAAATTCCAAGGGTCTCAGTTCCTTAGGGATGAACTAAAATGGCTGATATTATCACTTACAGAACTTGAACTTGATGGAGATTAAGTTGAGAAATAAAGTGTAATTTTTTAACTTTTATATTTTAATTCCATTTTTCCATGAACTTTTTGAAGTCCCCTGATATGTAACTGCAGAGGAATTCTTTATATGTATTCAACAAATAAGCCACTTCCCACTGACAGGCCTTTACCCTGGCTGTACCTTTCACCTGGAGAGAGAACTGTCTTACCCAATTCCAGCCCTGACTTCACAAAGGATCACACTTGGACATGGGATATTTCTCAGGGTCTGTCTCTTCTGGTTTTCTTCTAGCCAAGTCTTAAATCTCTCCACTACATAGCATCCAGAACTATTTTTCTTTTCTATGCTTTATTTAGAAGAGTGTTCATTGTTTATTTTTTCCATTGCTACTTTCAAATCTGCCTGTGTGAGTAAACAGTGGCAAAGAAGATATCCTCTTTCCCACAGATTGTGCAACTAAGAAAGGACATCTTCATAACTACAAAATAAGTGAATGAAGGACAAGCTAGACAATTTCTCACCAGCTTCTCCATGTGGTCTTCCAAAAGAAATTATTGATAAAGTCCTGCTAACTTCCTACTTCTACTTTTTAACTCCATTTCCAAATGTAGTTTGTGATATGACTTGGGAGGCCTTGTGATGTAAGCATTACTCACAATATCTCATTTTTATATTTTTGGTGGCTGTTTTGTTTTTTTTTTTGTGTTGAGAAAAACTCTTACTCCATCACCCAGGCTGGAGTTCAATGGTGCAATCTCAGCTCACTGCAACTTCTGCCTCCCATGTTCAAGCGATTCTCCTGCCTCAGCACACTGAGTAGCTGGGACTGTGGGTATGCCCCACCACACCTCTCTAATTTTTGTATTTTTTACTAGAGATGGGGTTTTATCATGTTAGCCAGGTTGGTCTCAAACTCCTGACCTCAGGTGATCCACTCGCCTCAGCCTCCCAAAGTTCTGGCATTACAGGCATGAGCCACCACATCTGGCCTTAGTGGCTGTTTTGAATACATAGATCCATAAGAGTGTTTTAGCATGAACTCTGCAAAAGCAATATGCCATTGTCTCTCCCATTTACCTGTAAGTAAAAAAGGACAGTTCCATGTTCTTTGTGTCACTCAAAAATAGCATCTCTGGTATTGTGTGTGTTTTTTGGGAGTCTATAGATCATGATAAACAGCAGAGATGGAAAATCAACATTTGATTCCCACTTTCCCTTCCAATGGCAGCACTGTTTAGCCTGTATTCACAGAATATCTGCCTGTGAATCCTGACTGTTCTATCTCTCCCATGAGGTACACCATACAGTCTAGTCATTTCTGTCATTTGTCCTTGTAATGTGTTGAATAATCTCTCCATTCAGACAAGTCCACCCAGAACCTGTAGATGGGAACTTATATGGAAAAGGGGTCGTTACAGATGAAATTCAGTTGAAGATTTTGTGATTAGGGTGAGTCTTCAATGCCATGACTTTATAAAAGAAGAGAAGATACACAGAGGAGAAGACCACATGGAAATGGAGATACCAGCTGGAGTGATGATGCCACAAGCAAAGGACAACTGGAATCAACAGGAGCGGAATAGGGAAAATAGATCCTTTCCCTAGAGCCTCTGGAGGGAACTTGACCCTATCTACTCCTTGATCTCAGACTTCTTGTCTCCAGAAGTGAGAGAATATTTATCTGTTGTTTATGTTACACAGCCTTTGGTAAATAGTAATGGAATCTTTAGGAAATGAATACTGATCTGTGGTATAATTATAAATTTTACTCCATATCTCACCTCTTTTATGAACACTTACATTTGACTTTTAGTTCCAATTACTGAATAAAAGACTTGGTAATCAAGGTAGTCAAATAGAGGATGGAAATTCAGATACTGTCCTGCAAGTGAGGGAGATTTTGTTTAGAGGAGTGAGCCACTTGAAATTCCACTCCTTAGGTGAGATAATGAGTCCCCCAGAGAGCTCTCCCAGACCCCTGGGTTAATAAGCACATGTTAAAGGTGAACTATAGGTATTCCTCCTCTAACATGGGCCTTCCATGAATGAGTAGACTGTATAAGTGCCTCCGATATTGGTGGGTAGGTAGATGTTCCTAGTTCATTTTCAAACAGATAAATAAGTTTTTAAAATTAATTTTAGTAAAGGGAGAAATAACCTCTAATGGTAAATTCTAAGAGACTTATGTCTGTAATGGGTACGTCAGAAGATGCCTACATTAATTTTGTTAAATTGATGACCTTCCAAGCCAGAGTTAAAGTATCCTAAAATGCCGAGATGAAGATAATTAAACTATGAAGTTTTGAGGAGGTATATATAACGTTCTATTTCCTAATAAGTAGGAATTAGAAGACCAAAATAAAGAATCATTTGATTTTGCATTTTTTTAGTGAAGTTATGAGAAATTAGTGTAAGAGAAGAAGTTCTCAAAGCAGTGCCCACATTATCAAAATCAGTCTCACCTGAAACCTAGTTAGAAAAGCATATTCTCAAGTCCCACCCCAAGCAGACTTGCTAAATCAAACACTCTGGATTAGGACCCAGAAACTTGCACTTAAACAAACTTTACTAGAGATGCAGATGCACAGCCTCTGCTAGAATAAGGCTAACATGAAACCATTTACTTTTCCAGCTCTGTGAGTAGTTTCACAGAGAATGTGACAACTATATAAAAAGATTATAATTTTTACTTTTTGGAGAGTTGAATCAGTAACCTTCAAATAGTTTCTTAAAGAGACAGACTATTGGGAAATCTGCATTTTATTATTAAATCTTAGTGATAACAAGTTGTCAGTGAGTAAATTTAATGTGGCCAAAACCTGGCTGGGGAAAATGGCTGCAGGAGAGCCCATTGCTAATCATGTCCCCAGGGAAAACCTGGAATCAGTGCTGAGTTTTGCCAACCTGAAGGAGTTGATAGTAGCCTTGTCCCTAAATTGGCTGCACAGTCTGCTTTAGAGGAGAAATTAACATGTTCCAAAAGGATGACTTCAATTTTCATTTGGAGCCACACCCTGGGAGATGCAAAGCCATGTGTCTCTGTTGAATATACAGGTGACCTGGAGAAGGAGTGTGGGTGAACTCCAGAGAAACAGTGAAAATTTTACTCTCCCTTCTCTCTTGATTTCCAGAAAAGAATGAGACCACTATGCTCCATGTCCCCAATTTCCAAAGCTTATTTAGATTTCAAAAATGATTTGAAGACCCAGCCATGTGTGTTGCAAGAAGCCTATTGACTTTACTACTGGTGACAGTCCTGGCCCTAGTGAAAAAGGAAGCAACACAAAATTAAGTTATCCCCTCAATAATGACAGAATTGCAATCAGAGAATGAAATTTGTTTTCTCATCTGATTATACCCAAAAGGCTACATTCAGATGAGCCATCTCTCCATTTTGCAGAAGAGAAAATCTTATAAAATGTTTATGTGAGGGTGTTGAGGGAGTTCTTTGACACAGGAGAGTCATTGGATAGCAGGAAAGCAGATGTGAAAGTTAGACTTCTGAGTAAAGTGAGAATGAAGATAAGATAGACTTGAAACAGGATATTTCGAGAAAATTGAAATGCAAAAGTGAATCCTTTCCTTTGACTTATTTATAATAGAAAACAAAATAAAGAGAATCTTAGAAATCTTGAATATTCACATTTAGTTTAAGTAAATAATAAAATATTTTCCAGAAACTTGTAAATAACATAGAAACATAACATAGCATTTTCTCTCTGTCTTTCTCTCTCTGTATCCCTGTCTCTCTGTTTCTCTCTGTATTTCTATCTCTCTTTCTCTAACACACACCTGTCCATTTAATATAGGTAGAAAGAAAGAAAGAAAGAAAGAAAGAAAGAAAGAAAGAAAGAAAGAAAGAAAGAAAGAAAGGAAGGAAGGAAGAAAGAAAGGTTGAGTGGGGTATTTACAATGTGGTACATTTGATTTTGACTGTTTTTGACATTCTTATTCTGAAAAATGATATAACTTTGAAATTAATTATGTTTACACACCCATACATACTCTTCACATAGGCAATTGGTGTGAAAATGTGTCCAGTGAGTCTAAAAATAATAAAACTGTGTAATGTGAAATGTGGAGGAGCATTGTAGAATGCATATTAAAACAAAATAACCATAAAGATAGATTCTAGCACAGAATGCCTGGATTCCAATCCTTTGATAGGATTTCAAAGTGAAATGAGATAAAATGACTGGAGAGAGAGAATGATGATAACTTTAGACACTAAGGCAATTCCCAGGATGTGTTCAGTGTGACACATTGCACATGGACCTTAAGCAAATGCACAATGGTCAGTTGGGCTCAGGGGATTTCTAGGGTGGACTAGCCCTAGCTTGGGTTTAGAAGAAGCTTGACAGAGCCTCTCTCCTAGCCATACATCTATCAATCTGGGAACAGCAAAAATGCACTCAGTGGGATTTAGGACTTTTCCCCAAAGCATTAGAGACACAGAGCTCTATCGGTCATCTCTGAATTCTCTGAGTTCCCATGTCTTGTCTTAAGATTCTTGTTGGTTTGGCTTCTTTTTTCTTGCTTTGTCCAATAATTCCACCAGCTTCTTACGTTCTTGGTTAATGAAGTAACCCATGACTATCTCAGCACTCAAGTTTGTCCCTATTGATTGATACCTGTAACTTCTAGCTATCTGATTTTTCCACAAATCCCCCAATACACATCTACACCAGTTTTTGAATCTACTTTTTTTTTTTTCTCCAAGGTTACCAATGACCTCAGGAAATGCAGTCAGATCCAATTATCTCCTCTTAGTCCACCACTGGCATTACAGTATTTGACTCTATTCACCCGCATCTCAGTTTCAAGGCGTAGCTCTGTGGCTTTAAATCTGTTCGCCTTCTTCATTGACTTCAGTTTATCCAACAATTTTTATAAGTCAGCATTTCCCAAAGCTGTGCTTGAATTCAGCCTGTGCCTCTAAACTCTGCTTTCTGTGGGTTCCCAATCATCCCTATAGCTTCTACCATGAGTTCTTTGCTGCTAAGTCCCTAATATGTGTTTCTTTGCTCTCATTTCTAAAAGCCAAACACTTACACCTGTAACTCAGCACTTCTAAAATTAAATTCGTGACTGCCTTCTCTATTTTTGCAGTCTGGATTGATTATCAGTGTTCTCTAGTTTAATAATAAACCCATGGAATACCGCGGAGCCATAAAACAATAATTTTATTAGGTAAATATATATTAATCATATTTTTATTTTAAAATACATGCTGAGTTAGCACATTGCATTTATTTTCAGGAATGTCTGTAAAACACTTTTAAATTCTTTCTTTCTTTTTGGAGATGGAGTTTTGCTGTTGCCCAGCGTGTAGTGCAGTAGTGGGAATCTCAGCTCACTGAAATCTCTGTTTGTTGGGAGACAATCAATGAGACCAGTGTCCAGTGTGTATCAGGAATGGTGGCATGCTTTCTATTACTGGTCTCCTCATTTGTGTGCATTCACCCCTCACACTTTCCTTATTCTAAAAAGTCTTTTATAAATCTTGAAGTTCTTCACCTTTTGCAGCCCAGGGCCATTTCTCCAGGTTTGCAGCACAAGTGATGCAGCAGACCATCAAGGGAGACATCCAGTAATGCGTGAGTACGTCTTCTGCCCTGAATTCTACTCTGCTACCACTTGGGTGAATTAAGTTGCCTACAATGATGGTACCCCTAGATCTAGTGACTCAGCCAACTCAAGCACAGGAGTATGATTACATTCACCTGGGATAGTGATTCTGACATGCAGCCAAGATAATGGATCTACCACCATGAAGGAAGAGCCATTAAACAATGGCTAGTAGGCCAAATCCCTCTGGCCATCTGTTCCTTTAGGGACCACTGACTAGGAATATATTTTCATATTTTTGAAATGATTGGGAAAATAATCAAAAGGAGGCTCATGTTTCATGATGATAAAAATTATACAACATACAAATTTCAGTGTGCATAAATGGGAACACTACCATATTTGTTTATCTTCATATTGCCTGTAGCCGCCTTCTCCATATGACAGCAAGGTTGAGTAGTTGCAGCAGAGACTTCACCCATCTTCAAGGTTTTCTCACCTCTCACTCTCAAGGTTTTGTGCACAATGTATGAAATATTTGCTCATGACTTTTCCTACTTTCTTAAACATTTTGGTTTCTACTTGGTTTTAAAGAAGATCAACCTTGGCCCTGGATTTCCTAGTTAAATATAGACAACCTAGATTAATTGTATCATAACATTATCTCCCCTAAGCTGTCTGATGGGCCAGGAATGTTGCAGTAAGTAAACTCATGCATCTTTTCTGGACATGAATCAAGAAGCAGTGAACTTGGAAGGGACCTTGGGCCATCAAGGGAGTTAGCTTTAAGATGACTGAAACAACAGCAGGTAGGGCAGTGTGAGGAAAAAAACCAAGCACTTGGTTCATAAAGGAGTTGCTGGATGAAGTTTTCCCTGAAGGATGACCAACCTTTGAACTTTCCATTTAGTGTTGTCAGAACTAGTAGATAATATAACATGACCAGTTGTATTTAAATTTTAGATAAACAACAGAGAACTCTTCAGTATAAGTGTTGTAAAAATAAGTAACTCAAAATCAAAGCTGTTGGAACTTTTTTTTTTTTTTTGAAACTTAAAGGAATGTGGTTATGGGAACTAAGTCTCCTGACAGGCAGCTTTAACCTAGGCAGCTTCAACCTTTGTTCTGCTGATCATAGAATACCCTTTGCTTTACCTACATTGTCTTGTAAAATATTGTGAATTACTAAAGGGCAACAGAGAAGATCCCTTCCCACTGCACTGTTGATTTTCCTTGTGAATTAACTTATCTCTTGCTTCTCATGCACAAAGATCTCACAATTACCACATTATCTAAGATGAAATATTAAATATACTTTTAATTTAGAAAAGGGAAGGAAAGCAGCTGTAAGTTAGCTGTATGTAAGTTTGACCAAATTGATGAAACTCTTTTATACCGGATTCTGATCCTTTTGATGATTTTAGGTTGACAGTATGTTGTATGTTAGTGTGTATTTACATGTGTATATATGTATAGGTACATATATTCATATATATGTGTGCATGTGTGTGTGTGTGTGTGTGTGTGCACTAAGCTCTTATTTGTTCCCCTACTGACTGTTTTTATTTATTTGGATAACATCTTGAACCTCTTGTTACTACCTGTTATTACTGTTCAGAAGTTTGGCAGCAAAAGCAGATGTTGAACTCAATTAATAATTCTAACCTTACATAAATGCTAAACTTTCAGTAGATAAACTTGGACCCATTATGTATTTTTAGAGAAGAAGTCATGTGCCAAAACACCTAGATGTGTTAACTTTTCAGCGAAACCTTATCAGAATCACTTATCAAAGAAAATATGTGGCACAACTCCCTGGACTTGCCATTTAAAAACCCACGATCTTTATATGTAATATGTATATATAATACATATTTATTTAACCCATGAATTATATGTAAGGTGTTTCACTAACAGACTTTCTTTCTATAATCAACCATATTTCTTGGTATCAAGGTATATCCTGTAGCCTGATTTTCATGTCCCATAACTTTTGAGTGGGTAATTGTAACTGATCATAGCTCATTATGCAGTCTTCTGGAGGCTGCTGTTTTTCAACATTTTATCCAATGAATATTTGCATAAAAAGAGTAGACTAAATATCCCAATTTTGCTTAAAAAATGCACACAGAATTCAGGAGGTGAAGAGTCACAGGGATAAGAAGCCACACTTAGTCTATGTAAATAATTCATTTGGTTGAGGGAAAGGAGATGAATGAATAAAAACAATCTAACTCTGGAGAATAATTCTCATACATAAATGGATGAAGAATATGAACAGACACTTCTCAAAAGAGGATATTTATGCATGCGACCAACACGAAAAGAAGCTCATCATCACTGATAATTAGAGAAGTGCAAATCAGAACTACAATGAAATACCATCTAATTGCAGTTAGAACAGTGACCATTAAAAACTCAGGAAACAACAGAAGCTGGAGAGGATGTGGGGAAATAGGAATGCTTTTACACTGTTTGTAGGAGTGTAAATTAGTTCAACCACTATGGAAAACTGTGTGGTAATTCCTCAAAGATCTAGAATGAGAAATACCATTTGACCCACCAATCTCATTACTGAGTATGTACCCAAGGGATTATAAATCATTCTACTATAAAGACACATGCACACACATATTTACTGCAGTACTATTTACAATAGCAAAGACTTGGAACCAATCCAAATGCCAATCAATGATAGAATGGATTAAAAAAAAGTGGCACATTTACAACATGGAATACTATGCAGCCATAAAAAAGAATGAGTTCATGCCTTTTTCAGGAACATGGATGAAGATGGAAGCCATCATTCTCAGCAAACTAACACAGGAACAGAAAACCAAACACCTCATGTTCTCACTCATGGGTGGGAGTTGAACAATGAGAACATATTGACACAGGAAGGGGAACATCATACTGGGGTCTGTCGGGGGGTGGGGGTCAAGGGCAGGGAGAGGATTTGGACAAATACCTAATGCCTGTGGGGCATAAAACCTAGACGGATTTTCATAGAATATGCATTGCTGATGGCCTGAAATGATCTTGTAAAAGCCAAGGTTTCAAACTTGATAGCTCTAAGTTATTTAAGGTAACATGTAACAGCAAAGTATTTATTACCAGCAGAAATTGTTTCTCCAAAGGAAAATAAATTATATATAAGACTCCATTAAAATAGAATAGTTTTTAAAAGAAGAATAAAAGGGGTAGTATACAGAAACATTGAGTTATAACAAATTTTGGCTTCTATATATACTGATGGCTCTCAAATAGAAATATTTCACGTACCTAGATGTGTGCATGTGTAAGAGTGTCTGCCTGTGTTCTGTCTGATGTTTTCAAGTTAATTTGTCTGAATGTTTTGTAAAATTAAAATAAAATATTATAATAAGTCCATTGTTTCATTGCTTAAATACACAATATTTAATAGGATTAGTTAAGAAAAAAAAGCTTCCATTAATTGAAAATACGTTTGAAGAGTACAAGGAAAAGGAGAGTTTCTCTTCTGAGACAAACATTTCTTATCTCAAAAATGGGAAGTAATTAGGGCTTTGGGATTTTGTTAGGTAAATTTATATTAATCATATTTTCATTTTAAAAATATATGCTGAGTTAGCACATCACATTTATTTTCAGAAACTTCTATAAAACCCTTTTAATTGCTTTCTTTATTTCGTTTCTGAGATGGAAGTTTGCTGTCACCCAGCGTGGAGTGCCGTGGTGGGATCTCAGATCTCTGCAATCTCTGCCTTCTGGGTTCAAGGCATTCTGCTTCAGCCTCCTGAGTAGCTAGGATTACAGGCATATGCCACCACTCCTAGCTAATTTTGTATTTTTAGTAGAGATGGGATTTCACCGTGTTTGCCAGGCTGATCTTGAACTCCTGACCTCAAATGATGCACCCGCCTTAGCCTCCAAAAGTGCCAGGATTACAAATGTGGGCCACTGCACCTGGCCCAAAGACTTTTAATTTCAATTATTCCATTTTTCAGATACATGTATGTGTGTGTCTCTGTGAAGTCTGTATGACGGTATATATGTCTGCATCTATGTACATATTATTATACAGATACTCATGGGTACAGGGTTGGGGATGAGGGATGGGATTACTTTTTCAGAGGTCATATGGTTTATTATACAGCCACGCTGTGATATTTCCTTATCTTTCTAATTAATAATACCTTCAAATGTGCACAAGAACAACAGCAAGATCTCTGCAAAATCATGGTGAGAATTTATCAGTTTGCAAATTTAATGAACAAGTTTCAAAGAGTGTATTTTGAGGATTTTAAATGGTTTAAAGATTTCACACTTCAGCGATTTCTCTTTCATTGTCACAAATAATGTAAGTTTTCTCATAAATATGTAAAAATGTTAAAAATGTATATGATGAGTACAAAGGTTACTATTGTGTAGTAATTTGATGAAGACATAGAGTGCTCAGATATTTGATTAAGCATCATTCTGGGCGAGTCCCTGAGGGTGTTTCTGGCTGAAATTAGCATTTGAATTGGTACATCGGGTAAAGCATATTATCTTCCCTATTGTGGGTGCACATCATCTTTCCCATGGAAGACCTGAATATAATAAAAGACTGAGTAAGAATTATTTCTCTCTGCCTGACTGTTTTGGAACTAAGGCACTGGTCTTCTTCCTGCCTTCAAAATTGATATTGTACTGAAAATAACATCATTGACTCTGCTGATTCTTTGGCTTTTGGATTGACACTGGAACTTGCACTTGCAGCTCTACAGGGTCTCTAGTCAAAAGACTGGAATTCACACCATTGGCTTCCTTGAGTTTCACACCTTCAGACAGGAAATCATGCCAGCAGCTTTCTTGAGTCTCAAACCTTCAAACTCAGACTGTAACTCATACCCGCAGCTCTCCTGGGTTTCGGGCCTTCAGGCTTAGACAAACTCACACTCTCAGATCTCCTGGGTCTCAGGCCTTCAGACTCAGACTGGAACTGACACAGTTGTCTCTGCTGGATCTCAGGCCTTTACTCTCAGACTGAAACTAACACCCTCTGCTCTTCTGGGTCTCAGGCCTTCCGACCCAGACTGGAATTCACACCCTTGGTTCTCCTGGATCTTGGGCCTTCAGACCCAGGTGGAACTCATACCATTGGCTCTCTTGGGTCACAGGCCTTCAGATTAGAACTCACACCTTCAGCTCTCCTGGATCTCAGGCCTTCAGATGTAGACTGGAACTTACACTGCTGGCTCTCCTGGTTTTCAGGCCTTCATGCCAGAACTCATACCATGGGCTTCCCTAGCTTTCTAGCTTTCCCACTGCACATCTAGGGACTTCACTCCCTCCACAATCATATGAACCAATTCTTTATAGTTAATGTCTCTAACTGGCCATTAAATAAATGATAAGTATGTTATGTACTATTTCTAAGAAAAAAATGTGATTTCTAAGGAAAATGTTTCATTATTACTTACCAGTAATACCTCTAATTCAAATGAGAGTATATCTGACTTTTAATGCTGATAGGCTATTAATTCAATTTATATTCAAAACATTGTTTTATGACTTCTACTAAAATATAGACGTGAAGAAGACAGAGTTAAGACCCTAGAAGAGTTTACCACCATTCAGGAGGGAGATGTGGGCACAGTGGGCCATACTACCAAGACTAAAGAACACCTAAACCATTCCACGTCTCAGTAGCTAACCCCAAACCAAGCTTTAGTATATGTGCCCATGTTCTGAGTCTGAATCCCAAACAAGCTCATTGGTTGGAAATGTGTTTATTATGTCTGTCTCTATTTAATTCTATTCTTTCTCATTCCTTTGGAAGAGAAGAAAGATTAGTGGTGCAAGATGAATGCCAAGTTGAGAACTACTTGACTGATATTGCACCACTTCCCCAGGAAATGCTTAGCAATGTCTAGAGACAATATTGTTTCTTGTCATAATTGAAGAGAAAAGGAATTACTGATTAAAAGACAGGGATGGTGCTAAACATCCTACAATGCTCAGAACAAACCCCCAAAACTGAAAATTGTCTGGTCTCAAGTGTCAATACTGTTGATCTTGAGAAACTCTACTGCTGACTCACAGTGGAGGAAACAGCAAAACAGAATTAATAAAAACCTTAATTAATATGATGCTGGTAAGAAATCTAATCAGAATTTGAACATCATATCTTGCACTTATTAATTCATTTTTTAATTATGTTTTGGCTTTTTATTTTTATTTTTTGAATACATCCTTACAGAGCTTCATTTATATTCTAGAGCCTGGATATACAAAGCTAAGTAAAATGCTCATGCAACACTTGAAGTTCACCAGAGAAAGTATATGCATGACAACATGTATTAGGGTACTCCAGAGAAACAGAGCAAATAAGGGATAGATAGATAGATAGATAGATAGATAGATAGATAGATAGATAGACAGACAGATAGATATAGATAGATGTAGAGATAGATAGATGGAAAGATAGAAAGATATAAATAGATATAGAGATAGTTATAAACAGACAGTAGTATTAGTCTGTTTTCACACTGCTATAAAAATACTACCTGAGACTGGGTAATTTATAGAGGAAAGTGGTATAATTGACTCACAGTTCTGCATGGCTGGGGAGGCCTCAGGACACTTACAATCATGGCAGAAGGAAAAGGGAAAGCAAGGTATGTCTTACATAGTAGTAAGAGAGAGAGAAAGCAAAGGGAAGTGCCACACTTTAAAACCATCAGCTCTCATGAGAACTCACTCCCAATCACAAGCACAGCATGGAAGAAACTGCCTTCATAATCTGATCACCTCCTACCATAACCATCCCTTAGCACATGGGGATTACAATTCAAGATGAGGTTTGGATGGGGACATGGAGTCCAGCCATATCAGATAGATATCAAACATAGATATAGAGATAGAGAGCTCTAAATAGACAGAAATAGATACATAGATACAGAGATATAGAGATAGATAGATAAAGATATGTAAATTAAGAGATAAATGATAGATAGATTTATGATATATTGCTGCATGCTACTATGAAGGCTGAGAATTCCCATGACCTGCTATCAGCAATGCATACCCAGGAAACCTGGCCTTGAAATTCAGCCTGAGTTTGAAGGTTTGATAATGAGGGGAGTCAATGGTATAAATACCAGCCCAAGAGCAAGAGAAGGTGAGATGAGATGTCCCAGCTTAAGCAGTAAGTCAGAAAAAAAGGGATGATTCCTAGTTTCTCCTCTCTTTGTTCTATTGAGGCTCTCAATGGATTGGATGATTATGGGTGGATCTTCATTATTCAGTTGACCAATTCAAATGCTAATTTCATCCAGAAACAATGAATGCTGATTTCATCCTTCCACAATGTAAGTTTCCTGAAGCATCTCTCTCTCCATCCCTATCCCTGTATCTATTTCTATATCTATTTATATCTATTTTCCTATCTCTACAACTATCTATCTGTAGCTATCTCAGTATCTATTTCTATACCTATTATATCTATCTTTCTATCTCTACATCAACCTATTTCTCTATCTGTCTGTCTGTCTGTCTATCTATCTAGCTAGCTATCTATTTATCTATCTCTTATTGGCTTTCTCTGGAGTACCCTGACTAATACATCCTCACAGACACACCCAGAAATAATGCTCAACGTAGGCAACCCATAGCCCAGTTAACTGTACACAAGTCAAAACAAACTATCCCATCATACACACTACAATACTGTAGGATGAAATCATGGGACATCCCCAGACTCTAGGAATTCAGGACAAGGATTTACTTCTAGGATAGCCTGGATATCTTCAGAGGTGGTGTAAAGGGTGCAGACCCTGGGGGATCAGAGAATATTAGACAGAAAAGGAAATCAGAGGGAGACAGGATAGCAAATAAAAGCCCAGTGCATCAGGAAAAGGTGAGTGTGTTCTGATACGTGGAAAAGCCAGTGTGGCTAAAGTCAAGTTAGAAATCAATTTCAATAGAATGTTGAGCTAAAGACAGGGAATGTGACCATGGCTGTGGTTGTGATTGGCAGCTTGGAAAATTCACATAGTGATTAAAGACAACACTTTTAAGAAGTTTGTCTGTGACCTTGTAAGACAAGGGTCATCAAAAATGTAGTGAGATATTACAGCACCCCAGTTAAAATAGCTATTATCAAAAAGACAAAAAATAATGATCGTGCAATGGATGTGGAAAAAAGGAACTCTTGTTCTCTGTTGGTGGGAATGTAAAATAGTATAACTGCTAGGGAGAACCAATCACATGGGAGTTCCTCAACAAGCTGTAATTAAGACTACCATAAGATCTAGCAATTCCAATGCTAAGTATTTGCCCTAAAGAAAGGAAAACAGTATATTAAAAGAATATCTGTAGTGCCATGATTTTGTAGCAGGGCTCACAATAGACAAAGTGCAAAATCAACCTAAATGTCCCTCAATGAATGGGTAAAGAAAACGTGGTATACATACATAATGAAATATGATTTTACCATTAAAAAAAATGAAATACTGTCATTTGTGGCAACAGGGATGGAACTGGAGGTCAGTATGTTAAGGAAAATAAACCAGACACAGAAAGGCAAATATTGCATGTTCGCAATCACATGTGAGTATTGGGGGAACCTGTCCCCAATATTTCAATGTAGGTTCTTTCTATTTTTCCTAAGTGTTGGCTGGTCTCAATAATAAAGAGAAAGAGCACAAACAGCAATTTTACAACTGGGCCACTGGGGGTGACATCACATATTGGTAGGTCTGTGATGTCCACCTGAGCTGCAAAACCAGCAAGTTTTTATTTGGGATTTTAAAAGGGGATGAGGTGTATGAACAGGGAATAGGTCACATGCTTCAAGGGGCAAAAGGCAGAGCAAAGATCACATGCTTCTGAGGAAACAGGACCAGGGCAAAAAGAGAAACTACTGATAAGAGTTTATGTTCAGTGGTGCATGTATTGTCTTGATAGACATCTTAACAGAAAACAGGGTTGGAGAGCAGAGAACTGGTATGACCTCAAATTTACCAGGGCTGGGGTTTCCCAATCCTAGTAAGCCTAAGGATACTGCAGGAGACTAGGGAGTATCTCAGTCCTTATCTCAACTGCAGAGGACAGACAACCCCAGAGCAACTGTTTACAGACCTCCCTCAGGAAAGCAGTTCTTTTCCTAGGGTCTTAATATATTCCTTGCTAGGAAAATAATTTAGTGATATCTCTCCTACCTGCACATCTGTTTATAGGCTCTCTGCAAGAAGGAAAATATGGCTTTTTTTGCCTGCTCCCACACAGTCAGACATTATGGCTATCTTCCCTTTTTCTCTAAAATCACTGTTATTCTGTTCTTATTCGAGGTGCACGGATTTCATATTGTTTAAACACATGTTTTACAATCAATTTGTACAGTTAACAAAATCATCACAGGGTCCTGAGATGACATACATCCTCAGCTTATGAAGATAAGAGGATTAAGAGATTAAAGTAAAACAGGCAAAGTAAATTATAAAAGTATTATCAGGGAAGTGATAAATGTCCATGAAATCTTCACAATTTATGTTCCTCTGCTGCAGCTCCAGCTGGTCCCTCTGTTCAGTGTCCCTGACTTCCCACAACATTTGAGAGCTGAAGAAGTGGATCTAATGTAGATAGAGAATAGAATAATAGGTACCAGAGGCTGGAAAGTGTAGGGGGGAGGAGGGAATAAAGACAAGTTTGTTAACAATACAAAAAATATAGTTAGATGGAAGCAATAAGTTCTAGTCTTTGATAATGAGTAGGGAAAGTATAATTAACAAGAACTTATTGTATGTTTTTAAATAGCTAGAAGAGAATGATTGAAATGTTCCTAACACACACAAAAAAAGATAAGCATTTAAAAAGATAGATACACCAATCACCCTGATTTGATCATTACACATCATAAACAGGTATCAAAATCTCACTTTGACCACCAAAATATATACAACTACTATACATCAAAATATTTTAAAAACACAAGTGTCAACATAAACTTTTTCCTTTTTTAATTTTAATATTATTGTACTTTAAGTTTTAGGGTACATATGCACAATGTGCAGGTTAGTTACATATGTATACATGTGCCATGCTGGTGTGCTGCACCCATTAACTCCTCATTTAGCATTAGGTATATCTCCTAATGCTATCCCTCCCCCCTGCCCCCACCCCAGAACTGTCCCCAGAGTGTGATCTTCCCCTTCGTGTGTCCATGTGTTCTTATTGTTCAATTCCCATCTATTAGTGAGAACATGTGGTGTTTGGCTTTTTGTCCTTGCGATAGTTTACTGAGAATGATGATTTCCAATTTCATCCATGTCCCTACAAAGGACATGAACTCATCATTTTTTATGGCTGCATAGTGTTCCATGGTGTATATGTGGCACATTTTCTTAATCCACTCTATCATTGTTGGACATTTGGGTTGGCTCCAAGTCTTTGCTATTGTAAATAGAGTGACAATAAACATACGTGTGCATGTGTCTTTATAGCAGCATGATTTATAGTCCCTTGGGTATATACCCAGTAATGGGATGGCTGAGTCAAATGGTATTTCCAGTTCTAGATCCCTGAGGAATTGCCACACTGACTTCGACAATGGCTGAACTAGTTTACAGTCCCACCAACAGTGTCAAAGCGTTCCTATTTCTCCACATCCTCTCCAGCACTTGTTGTTTCCTGACTTTTTAATGATTGCCATTCTAACTGGTGTGAGATGGTATCTCATTGTGGTTTTGATTTGCATTTCTCTGATGGCCAGTGATGGTGAGCATTTTTTCTTGTGCTTTTTGGCTGCCTAAACGTCTTCTTTTGAGAAGTGTCTCTTCATGTCCTTCACCCACTTTTTAATGGGGTTGTTTGTTTTTTTCTTGCAAATTTATTTGAGTTCATTGTAGATTCTGAATATTTGCCCTTTGTCAGATGAGTAGGTTGTGAAAATTTTCTCCCGTTTTGTAGGTTGCCTGTTCACTCTGATGGTAGTTTCTTTTACTGTGCAGAAGCTCTTTAGTTTAATTAGATCCCATTTGTCAATTTTGTCTTTTGTTGCCATTGCTTTTGGTGTTTTCGATATGAAGTCCTTGCCCATGCCTATGTCCTGAATGGTAATGCCTAGGTTTTCTTCTAGGGTTTTTATGGTTTTAGGTCTAATGTTTAAGTCTTTAATCCATCTTGACTTAATTTTTGTATAAGGTATAAGGAAAGGATTCCATTTCAGCTTTCTACATATGGCTAACCAGTTTTCCCAGCACCATTTATGAAATAGGGAATCCTTTACCCATAGCTTGTTTTTCTCAGGTTTGTCAAATATCAGATAGTTGTAGATAAGTGGCGTTATTTCTTAGAGTTCTGTTCTGTTCCATTGATCTATATCTCTGTTTTGGTACCAGTACCATGCTGTTTTGGTTACTGTAGCCTTGTAGTATTGTTTGAAGTCAGGTAGCATGATGCCTCCATTTTGTTCTTTTGGCTTAGGATTGACTTTTTTCTTTTATTTTGTATTAATACAGGGAAAAATGGAGTTGGCTTTTTGAGTTGGCTCATCTCAATTTTTGGATAGCTTGCAAATATTTTCATCAGCCTTTACAAGGAGTGAGACAGGCATGTTTATGCTTTTCTGAAGCTGCATGTTGAAATTTAGATACGTCTTCATGTCTCTAACAAATATTCTGGATATTTGGAGTTGGCTTTGTGTTGGGAAAGAGCTGAACAGGTTGGGAAAGAGCTGAATCAATAAACAGAGATTTCAGCAAAGGGGCAGCTGAGACAGTTGTTGTTGGCTCTGCAATATCTGTTCTTGTGTGCAGGATCTGGCTCTCCCCTAAGACTCAAGTCTTGTTTTTATATCTGAATGAAAAATGTCTGGCATTCTTAGGAGATTGTTTCGTTCCTTTCATGAGTTTTACAGATTGAGCTTGTCTTCTACATACTTAACACTTCTGCCTTTGAACAGCTTTGCTTTGCTTCATTCAGAGGCACTTGCAAATGAGATGCCTCTCCATCAGTCTCTTCCTCTCAAATATCTCTGTGCTACTTTTTAAAATTTCCTGAATATGGTAAACATAGGGGTCTAGTTTCATTCTTCTGTATATCAGTAGCAAGTTTTGTCAGCACCAGTTATTGAATAGTGTTCTTTTCCCATTTACTTTTGTTGTCACTGCAAAAGATCAGACGAATGTAGGTGAGTGGTGTTATAACTTGGGTCTCTATTCCATTTATCTATGTACCTATTTTTCTACCAGTACTATTCTGTTTTGGTTACTATAGCCTTGTAGTATAATTTGAAGTTGGGTAATATGATTCCTCCAGCTTTGTCTCTTTTGCTTACAATAGCTTTCATATTCAACCTCTTTTTTAGTTCCATATGAATTTTAGAATTGATTTTCCTAATTATGTGAAGCATAATATTGGTAATTTGATAGGCATTGTGATGAATATGTGATGAATCCATGAACATGGGATTTTTTTACACCACAGAATACTACATTGCCATAAAAAGAATGAAATTATGTTTTTCACAGCAATATAGAAGGACTGAGCTATTATGTGAATTAAAATAACTCAGTAAATCAAACACTGCAAGTTCTCTCTTATAAGTGAGAGCTAAACAGTGGGTACATATGGTCATAAAGATGGAAATAATATACCCAGGTTACTCCAAATGGGAAAGTGGGAGGGAGCGAGGACTAGAAAACTACTTATTGGGTACTATGTTCACTACTCTGTTGGGTGATGGGTTCACTGGAAGCCCATATCCCACCATTACACAATACCTCCTTGTAACAAACCTGCACATGTACTCTCAAATATAAAATTTTAAAAATGTTCCCGAGAAAACAAGCCAATAATGAGGAAGAAATCCCACAAAGAATGAAAAACAATCAAACCTTATTATCCCAGCACCCCCCTCCTCCACCTGGTGCCCTTAGCCTTCTCCCTGGTGCCCCTAGCCTTCTCCCATGTGATCCTGATGCCTCACCTGCTGGCATCTCCCCATCTCCAACAGCCAGGTGTGTTCTACTGTGCTTCCTCATCAAAGACTTCTCAAGATCTGTTTGTACAGCCTCCAAGTGCAGCCAAACCTAGAAGAGCAGATGGTCCCTCATTTAAACATAGGGAAATAAGTTGCCTGATTTATATCCCTGACAAGTGACCTAAATATAAGACACAGGTTTTATTTTTAGACTAGACAAATCAATGTTACCAAGAATGTTGTTTTAAAATTCTTAAGTGTATGTCTGTTATATATTGTATTCCCAATTATTGCATCTTAGAATAAATGTAATTATGTAGAAATTAGAGAAAGAGAGACACAAAGATATATGGATATAACCTATCCTCAATGTGATGAGGAAGATAAAGTAAAAATATAATATCGGTGAAAATATAAAAAGCTACAGATAATATCAGGAAGTGCAGCTTTTGTTAGCATTCTTTCAAAAGGCATTGTTTTAAAACTTTTAGCCTAGACTTCATCAAATCTAATGCACAAGAATAATTGACAGTCATAAGATCAAGTACAAGACACTGAAAATTTAAAATCCATCTCCTGAGTTATCAAAGAAATATTAAACTGTGATTTCACTCAGGATGAAGGTGAGATTAATTTAGTTTTTACTTCAGTAACTGTCCTGTATTTATTTGAGAAAATATCACAGATATTGTCAGCTTTTTTCCCCCTCAAAGGAGAATGATACTGGGTTTAAAAAATTAAAAAACCTGTAAAAAATAAAAATAAAAAATAATCAGAGCTGTAAGGTGACAAAAAACTTTTATCTATTTTTTTTTGTTTTTTTTTTTGGTTTTTAATTTTAACTTGCTTTTAAATTAAATTCAAAGTCATGCACATACATGGGAAGAAAATCTCAAAAAAAAAATCAGTATACAATGGAGTATAAAACTGTGAAAATCCAGACTATCAACTCTTTCTATACCCTCTGTGTATTGTTCTGGTGTACACCCATCTGTGTTTAGTTGTATCTGTGAATGTGTATATATGTATGTATCTACAGGTCTGTGTGTGTGTGTGTGTGTGTGTATATATATATATTTAGGTATGTCATTTTTCATAATTGGAGAATATTATACACAATATTTTGTACCTTATTTTTTATTTAAAAAGCTTATTTTGCAAAACTCAAATCTGCAAACTTCAATTATAGCTTCAAAGTAATCCTTTGTATGGAACCTATACTTTATTTTACAAGTCCCTGATTATGTCCACTTGGGTTGTTTCTAGCCTTTCATAAATAATGTCCAAATGAACATTTGTGTCTGCAGGGCTTTGCACATATTTCAATGTATGCGTAGTGTACATATCTAGCTTTTCAATTGCTGTATCAATTTTGTTTCCAAAGAGGCTGTCCCAGTTTACATTCTGACCAATAGCCATGTGAGTGAGTCTGTTTTACCCGTATCTTTGCCATTACACTACATATTTCAAAACATTTTGAAACAACAGGCTAAGAAGAATTTTTGCTGATTTAATTTACCATTTAATATTACAGATATTATTGAACAACTTTTAATATGTTTGTAAGTAAGTGGTGTTTATTTTTCTGTGAAATCTGTTCTATCCCACCTGGCTGCCAGTTACCATATTCTTAACTCATATAGGATTTATGTAATTAAAGGTGTGTTAAGAGAGTAAGGGAATAAAGGATGAACTTGAAATCACCATCAAGGCATTTTAAAGGAATATACCTTTATTTCAGAGCTTTCACAAATTTTGAGGATAAAAATTCCATATATTACATAAATACTATCATTCACAAGGCCTTAAACACTATGATAGGACTTGCCCCGCTGGACATGAAGAAACTGCAGGAGGAATGAATAACTGCTAGGAATCTATATCTTTTGTTTGCCTTGCTTAGTGCAAAGAGTATCTCAGAAGATAGACTGAAATATTCCTTATGGACTCAAAACAATAATTAGAGGCATCTGGTTAATCTAATCTTCTAGAAGCTTAAGACCAGTAGCAGCAATACTATTACTAATTAGTAAAATGTTATTTTTCTTGATTTGATTTGTTTCTAGTCTAACTAAAATGATGTTGAATACATTTCAGGAGGAAAGATTTTAGTATTACCCACCTGGGTTTTAAAGGCTAGCTGGTTTAGTAAAGATCCATATTTTAGGAAAACCTAAATAACCAAGGCAGTATTTGAGATGTTGCTCTAGATTTTTTGACTTGGCATTTCTCTTCTGCTCCCTGGAGGGACCAGCATGGGGCATGGTGCAGAGTCAGAGCCAGAAATGACACGAACAGTTCCAAAACTTGAATGGAAGAGAGCTATCCCTAAACCCATCCCTATTGTGTCTGTGCCCAAATATTAACTTGCTTTAAGCTCTTTCTCCCAATTTGAGAATAAATTAGAATTATAAGGAAACAGATAAGCTTTCAGGAATTAATTAATAAATATGGCCTGCATCAAAAATAGTTTTCAAATAATAAGAGTTAAAATCCATCTAAAAAATGTTGCAAAGAACAAAGCCATTCTTTCCCACTTTCCCCTCTATGATCTTTCAGCTATTTTCAGATGCAGCAGTTGCAGTGTTTATGCCAAAGACAAGTTTGCTCTTACAAAAGTAATCTTTTTGTAGGTAAAAACACACTACTAACTCCTTTTATAAATTACCCTGGAAAGCTGGGGCCAAAGTTGTCCAATGGCAAGGAATAGCTTTCCCATGTAATAGTGGATCATAAGTGATGGAACCAAGACAAGCCCTTTATTTCCAAAACTTTACTCTTTCCCATGCCTTGTTGCTTACATAAGACATATTCCCAATTCAAGAGCCACAGGATTTACATAGGTTTTTGTGATGTGTTGACAAGGAGAAACTCTCAAAAGAAAAAATGTTCTTTGGTAAACATTCAGTCCTACTTTTAAAACTGTTATATTTCCAAATACTTGGGGTAAAAGGATGAATGGATTAAGACCAGGAGAAAAAAAAATGAGCATATATTTTATTCCTTAAAATTTTTACAGATAAAAAATCCAAAATAGACAGATGCTGCAAAAAAAGAAAAGAAAAGAAAAGAAAAAGAGTATCCAAATGGTTGATAAACAATTTTTAAAGGTTATTCTACGATTGCAGGATCTGGCCAGCAGCCCGCAATGCAACAGGGCTCTCTCTTCATTCCCAGGCAGATCGGCAGGTTGAGAAATAATAGATACACAAAAGATAGTGAAAGCTGGGTCCACGGGTTCACCGCCTTCTGGTCCCATGGTGCCAACAATGCACTGGATATACCAGCATTTATTATTAAGTTTAGTGAGGGCGGCGGGGGGCGGGGTAGGTTAGTGAGGGATTTAGGGTCATTAATTATGAGGTGAGATGGTCACATGGGGATGAAGTAATTCTTTAACATAACATTTGTATGTAGAAGTACAGTACATTTGTATGTAGAAGTACAGTATACAGAGATAAGAATTTACAATATAGTGTGTGCATCAGTAATTTCTAACAGAGCCTTAAAACAGAAACACAATCTTTCCATAACATGTGATTAGCAAGATATTAATCAGCAGTAACAATTGCAACAAAAGCTGGTTACAAATAATCCATGGAAACAGGACGTGAAGCTAGACAACTGGTTAGACCAGAAATTCTCAGAAGAGAGTATGCCTTAACCCTAAAGAGGCCTAGAAGAGTCACCGGCAAGATGAGAGTGTTTATAGCCCTATCTTATCCATAGGGACAGGTGTCCCCCATGCGTCCATTTATAAACTCTCCACAAGGGTCGCATTCCATTCCCAAAGCTATGAACACCTGCTTTTCTGGGATAGGAATCTTGGTGATGTGAAATCTGCCTGACTGCATGTCCATTCATAGGCTCTCTGCAGGGGGAAGCACATCACGTGCTGTTGGCTTGTTCGGGCAGTCCAACCTGGCATTGTCTATACACAATCCAGCATGCAATTCTGTATTTACAGTAATCAGGAGCATTTCATCTTTTATTCCATAGCAACAGTTTCAGGGGGTCTCCCTACCTCTCCCTCTTTCCTCTGATTTAAATGAACCATAGCAATCATAGCTTGGCACTGATCACAATTGGATTGAAGAATTTTTTTCCAATTTTACACGTGAACAATAAACCAATAGCACAAATCATACACAGAAGAAAATTAATGATAGTGGATCCTCCCAAAGATTTTACCCATTGAATGGGGTTGAGATTAGATAATCCCTCAGAGATACCGTCTAAAATTTCAGCACCAGGTAAAGCAGTTAAGAGTGCTTGAGAGGCCTCAAAAATCTGTTCTTTTAGCTTGCTTATGTCTAAAGTTAAATTATCTTCACTTCCTTGTAAATGGCGTTCTACTGATTCCCAACTGTGAACAGACTCATTATATTGAAATAGAGTTATACAAAAATCAGAAGTATTCCAAACACATTGCATTTGTAATCTATGTTCTAAACTCATAATTCTATCTCCCATCCATATAACAGTTTGTTGTAGATCATTAATTTGATTAGTTAACTTTTGATCAACACCTGACTGAGAATTCCACATCCAAGAAGATTTTTTTTTTGACATTTATCCCACAAAATTAACAGTTTGAATACATTGATGTAATGCAACTCCAGCAGTAGCAGCAGTCGCAGTAACAGCAATCAAGTCCATTATTATTTCAATTAATTTAAAAATAAATCATTTACTCCTTTTAAGAATTTTCTGTAGAATATTGTTAATAACCTGGATAGAGGGGGAAGATTCCCAAGACCTATGTAAGTCTACAGGGAGCCAAATACCTTATCTGGCTCTGACTATTAAAATACTATGATTTGATTAAAGGATGAATCAATACAAGTATACAAGTAACAACACAGGTAATTATGTTGGTTTCTGAATGAAGATGCATCTTTCCTACTAATAACATATATGGTGGTTTAACACAACTTTTAAGTGGTATATAGATAGTATACATATTTTGAGGTGACAAGGTGGATTTACTTATAACACTTTCTCCAGCCCAAACTCTCATACCAGTCATAGCTCTTGTTAGTCTCCATAATTCTGAATGTTCAGGTCCTAAGTGGGGAACAATGAGCCTTGGCTTTGAAGGGCAACCCCCGCCCCTTTCCACTTCAGAGGAAAAAAGGAGTTAAATCTGTGATATAATAGGGGACGGTTGTCACTACTTTTTTGATACATAATAAAATAGAGAAAATGTTGACAATCTCTGTGACCTTGAGAGCAATCATTAGTAATATGACCTTTGGGAGTCCAACCAACAATGGTGTAGTGAGAAGAATTAAATAACACAGTTCCTTCTGAGCTAACACAATCTTTCCATATTAATTTGTCAGCATTTGAAGACAAGTAGAGAGGACATAACTTATATTGAGGTGTGTGAATATAATCACATATCCTAAAGGCTTATATTGGGATGTGTGAATATAATCAGTGATTCCTGTTTTGATTTGCCTTAGAGGTTTTAATGAGAGTCCTGATACCAAGTGTCCTAAAGGAAGGACAGAGTGACCAGATGATAGTGTGACAGCCCAAATTTGAATATCTAACAAGAGACATCCATTAGTGGATCACAGGCACAAAGGTGGACACCTAAAACGTAAAGTGATATTGAAAGGGGTTCCTTCTTCTCAAGGTTGGGCAGGACAATGATCATCTACAGAACCAGGCATCCAAATACTATCATTAACATAGAACTCGATGGGAGCATCCATCCATATCATGGCTTGAATAAGAAGAGGAAAAGGAATATAGGCCAAATATATAGTTTTTAACAGTCTGTGGAGGGACAGAGGGTAGAAGGATCAGTGTTGTCAGGAGGAGGCAGAGGTTGAGCTGGACCTGGATCACTGGAGACAAGTTGTTCAGTGTGACTGACTGGATCGTCTGTTGTAAAGGAGTTAGTGTGGTCATTTTCTTCTTTTTGATGATTGGATATGCTAGTTGTTTCTTGCTGTGGTGCTTTTTCAGCAAATTTTTCTGTCTCGTTGTTGCATGCATTTTCAGGACACAATTTTAGGTGTGTAGCAGGAATCCAAACAGGAGATTGATGTTCACCTGGGGAAACACAAGCATAGCCTCTTCCCCACGTTAAAATAGAAACTTTTGACCATATATTAGATTGAACATCTTTCCATCATACTTCTCTTCCTTAGTTTACTGTAGGACAGTTACCAGAGAAATGTTTTTTGGCAGCAGTAACAGAACTAGATTTAGGAATATTAAGAAAATTTAACGTGAGCAATGCTAAGTTTAGTTGTATGTGGTGGGTAGACAACTGCTTATCCCTCTCTTTTTGTTTCAGTAATTGTAATTTTAAAGTTCTGTTACTTCTTTCTACAATAGCTTGGCCCTCTGGGTTGTAAGGAATACCAGTAATATGTTTAACATGCCACTGATCAAGAAAATTTTTAAAAGCTTTACTGCAATAGGCTGGAGCATTTTCTGTTTTGAGCTCATTAGGAATTCCCATAACTGCAAAACATGAAAACATATGTTTTTTAACATGAGATGTGGCTTCTTTGGTTTGACAGGTAGCCCAGATGAAATTGGAAAAAGTGTCAACTGTGACATGTTCATAAGCTAATTTTCCAAAAGAAGGAATATGAGTAATATCCATTTGCTGGATAACATTAGGAGAAAGTCCTCAGTGATTAACTCCAGGAGATTGTGTGGGTAAGACAAAAACCTGACATCGAGAACAGTGTTGTACAACTTGTTTAGCTTGTTTTCAACTGAGAGAATCTTTACGTTTAAGACCTGACGCATTAGTATGAGTGAGTTGATGAAATTGTTCTGCATCTGTAATAGCTAGAGAAACTAGAGTATCAACTTTATGATTACCACTGGCTAAAGGTCCAGGCAAGTTAGTATGAGAACGTATGTGAGTGATGAAAAAAGGGTGGTTTTGGTTTCTGACAGTTTTCTGTAACAAAGAGAACAAGGAAAACAGATTAGGGTCAGCAATATTTTTCATGGTAGCTGTTTCTATTGCCTTAGTGGCATGGACTACATATGCTGAGTCAGAAACAATATTAAGAAGCTGATCAAAATCCTGTAATGCAGAGATAACAGCAAACAACTCGGCTTTTTGAGCAGAAGTGTATGGAATAGAAATGACTTTATCTTTTGGTCCTACATACCCTGCCTTTCCATTACTGGGTCCATCAGTAAAAATGGTAACGGCTGTTTCTAGTGGTGATGAATGAGTATGTTTTGGTAGAATACAGGAAGTATTTCTTAGAAATTGAAAGAATTTTGACTTAGGCAAATGATTATCAATAGTGCCAATGAAGTCAGCCAGACTAGTCTGCCAGCACAAAGATGTAGAAAAGGCATTTTTAATCTCATTTTTTGTCAAAAAGACCACAATGGTGTTTGGATCAAAGCCGGAAATTTTAATGATATGTTGAGGTCCTAACCCAATTAAAGTGGCTATTTGATCAAGATATATTGAAAGAGTTTTAGAGACTGAATTAGGAAGAAATACCCATTCAAATAGAGAATCATTTTGTACTGTAAGGCCCGTAGGAGAGTGGATGGAAGGAAAACCTAAAAATCATAAAGGCAAACTTGGGTCAATACGAGAGACTTTTGCCTCTCTCACTCTTTGTTCTACAAAAGACAACTCTTGTTTTGCTGGCTCAGATAGAGAGTGAGAACGGTTTAAATCTCTATCTCCTGATAAAGTGGCAAATAGATGAGATAATGCATAAGTAGGGATGCCTAGGGTTGGTCTGAGATAATTGGTGTCACCTAGTAATTTTTGAAAATAATTTAAGGTGTTTTAATTGTCAGTATAAAGTTGGACTTTTTGGGGCTTAATGGAGAAATCTTCTAGCTGAATTCCTAAGTACAGAAAAGGAGTGGTTTGTTGAATTTTATCAGGAGCAATGTGGAGTCCTGCATTGGCAACAGCTAATTTTAAAGAGGTAAAACATTGAATTAATTTATCTTTAGTAGGGGCAGCAATCAGTATATCATCCATAAAATGAAGAATGTAATTATTTTTTAAAGTCTGTCAGATAGGTTGTAACACAGTACCGACAAACAACTGACAAATAGTAGGACTGTTAATTATTCCTTGAGGTAGAACTTTCCATTGCTATCTAGCTGTGGGAGCTGAATTGTTAATGGAAGGTATAGTGAAAGCAAATTTTTCACAGTCTGACTTGTCTAAAGGAATATGAAAAAAACACTCCTTAAAGTCAATGATAATTAAAGGCCATTCCTTAGGAATCATGGAAGAGGAGGGATACTGGATTGTAACACACCCATAGGTTTAATAACTGCATTAACGGCTCTTAAGTCTGTTACCATCTTCCATTTTCCTGACTTTTTTTGTACAACAAACAGGAGAGTTCCATGGAGACAAGGAGGTCTCAATAGTGTTTGTTTGTAGTAAATCATTAACAATTTCAATTAAAGCCTCCAATTTGTGTTTCGACAGTGGCCACTGCTCTACTCAAACAAGTGACTCACACATCCGTTGTAAAGGGATTGGCAGGGGAGGCTCAGCAGTGACAGCACCTAAAAGGGTATTCAAGTCCTGATTTGTTAAGTTTTCAGGAGGGTTCCAAGGGCTCTTTAATTCCCTCTCCATTAACTCCTAATCATCTTCCAGGAAAAAAAATTCATTTTATACATTTTGTTTTTGTTAGCTTCACTATAATTTGATAAAGGGATAGACATCTCAGCCCCCCATTGTTGCAGTAAATCACATCCCTATAAATTTATGGGAATTGGAGTAATATAATGTTGAACAGTGCCCATTTGGTCATCAGGTCCTGTACAAGGAAATATAAGAGAGCTTTGGTATACATCAGATGACTTTCCAACTCCCACTAAATTGGTTGAAGAGGGCTGTTTTGGCCAAGAGGAAGGCCACTGATTAGCAGTGATTATAGAAATATCAGCCCCAGTGTCAACTAAACCTGCAAACTTTTTTCAGGAAATTTTAATAGTACAGGTGGGATGGTGAGAAGAAATAGTATTAACCCAATAAGCAGCTTTGTTTTGTTTAAAGGTATTTTCTACACCTCTTGTGTGAGTAGCAGATTCTGTGGAGGGGCACAGTTCAGGGAGAAGTAGTAATAGAGCAATGCATTCTCCTGGTTCAATGAAAATGGGAGATTTTGTAGAAATAACCAAACATATTTCATCTGAAGTGTTGGCATGGATAAGGCCAGTATGAACAATTACACCTTTTAAGGCTAATGAAGCTCTGCCCAGAATTAAACCAATATGATTTTTAGGTAAAGGCCCTTTAACTCCAGTAGGAGCAAGGACAGGTTGTTCTTCAGGGAGTAAAGACAAAGGGAGAGTACTACATAAGTCTATTGAGTCCTCTCCTGTGGTGCAGGTGGATGGGCATTGTACTGGGACAAGAGGAGGGGGTAATTGGCATTGGGTTGTGGGTATAGAATTTAAGGTAATGTCTGTGGCACTGTTTGTACTTGAGTCTGCGGCATTTCTGGTGCAGTTATAGGGGTAGCCACAGGGAGGGGGAACGAAACCCCGGAGCCCTGATTGGGATTGGGGCTTGAGGCTGGCCCCTCCCCCTGTTTCCCTGAAATGGAAAGGGATTAAAAACAGTGTTGACCACATTAAAAGGAGGCAACAGATTACCATAATATCAAATTTAGATTGACAAGAACTCATTCAATGTTTACCTTTTTTACACCGTGGGCAAATAGTACTAGGTGTTTTTTGTAAATTTGGAGTTTGTGGAGCAGGTTGTTGGGGATTAGCATTAAGTAAAGGACACGATTTTTTAAAGTGTCCTACTCCCCCACATTTGTAGCAAGTACCAAGAAAAGTATTGGGCACACCTGTTGTAGGAACATTGAGAATAACAGCAGCAGCTTTTAAAGATGAGGTCATGGCTTGAGCCCTGAGCATAGCTTTATGAGTTTCAGAACCAATACCATCACAGGCTCTAATGTAGGAAGGAATGATGGCATCATCAGGTGTGTTTTGGGTTTTACGACGTAATGGTCATATGGCAGCCTGACACTTAGTGTTAGCATTTTCAAGCGCCATAAGTCGGATAACCACATCTCTTGCTCTAGTATCAGAAATAGCCTTTTCAGCAGCATCTGTGAGTTAAGCCATGAAATCAGGATAGGGTTCAGAAGGACCTTGTTTAATAGCACTAAAAGATAAAGGGGCCTTGCCTGTGTCTTGAATACATTCTCATGCTCGTAAACACACTTGAGTTACCTGAGTTAAAATACGTTGACTATATTCCAATTGTCGAGCAAGTATATTCCACAAATCACTAGTACCCATAAGCATATCATAAGGCACTTCAGTCTCATTTTCAAAATTTATCGAAGTTTGAATCATGGCCTCTTCTGACCACAATATCTTAAATTGTAGGAATCAAGAAGGGGTAAGAGAAGCATGAGCTAACAAATTCCAGTCAATAGGAACAAGTTGTTTTTCAGTGGTAAGGGAATGTAGAACAGTTTTAACATAAGGAGAATTTGGTCCATATTGATCACAAGCAGCTTTAAAATCCTTAAGGAGTTGTACAGAGAAAGATTCATAATATCACCGGCCTTTAGCTGTGCCTTTTCCCCACCCTCCTGCACCTTCACACTTAGAGGCTATGGCTATGGGGAGCTGCCAGACATCCAAACCACTAGAAGCCATAGCTCTACACATTGCCTCCTGAATAGAAGTGCGGACAGGTCTAGCAGGGGCAGAAGAAGAGAGAGAAGGAGAGTGGGAGCTCCAGGATGTGGAGTGGGGGGAAGCAGGGTTCCACGTCTCTGAAAGAAGGGGTCCCGGAGCGTCAAAAGAAACAGTGGGCTTAAAAGAGGGGAGTGGTCCAAAAGGATGAGAGGAATGAGAAACAGACCATTCAGAAGAATGACACACGTCCTCCTCTGGCAGAGGGGGCAACAGCTTAGTAGAAGAAGAGTTAACATATACAGGTTCCATGATAGGAGGTGGAGGGAGGGGATCATCACCATGTTCCTCCTCTTGGGGAGAAAACAAGGAGAAATTAGATTCTTCTTCATCATCAGAAAGAGTACTAGTAAGGGGGTCATCTACCCGAAGTTAAAGGGGAGGTTCACCATCCACGTTAACTTCTGGCAGTTGAAGAGGATTACCAGACTGAAAAGGAAGTAAAGCAACACAAATAAGAGCCCAGTCAGTCCAAACAGAAATAGGAAGTAAAACACCATCTCTCATGAATTGGCAGAGTGTGGCACCAACTCTATCCCAGTCTAACAGGTCCATAGAACCTTTGTCAGGGAACCAAGGACAATATTTTTCAATAGTCTGAAATAAGAGAACAAGATTATTGGAATCAGCCTTGATTCCACCCTGTTTAAGAAGAAGTTTCATAAAAGACGGATAAGCCTGGTGTTTAAACTGTGATTGTCCCATGATAACCCTGGAATATTACCAGTTGACAAACCCAAAAAGAGGGGAGAGTTGGAAAAAGCGTACCCAGAGACCTTACCATTGAGACTGAAGACTAGTCATCACTAGTGCACTCGGAGTGCACTGAATGGAGGAACAAAGAAGGCCACGTTGGGTGTCAGATATTGTGGGATCTGGTCAACAGCCTGAAATGCAATGGAGTGCTCTTTTTGTTTCCAGGCAGATCGGCAGGTTGAGAAATAATAGATACACACAAGATAGTGAAAGCTGGGTCCGGGGAGTCACCGCCTTCTGGTCCCACAGTGCCAACAATGCACTGGATATACCAGCATTTATTATTAAGTTTAGTGAGGGTGGGGGTAGGTTACTGAGGGATTTAGGGTCATTTGATTATGAGGTGAGATGGTCACATGGGGATGAAGTAATTATTTAACATAACATTTGTATGTAAAAGTACAGTACATTTATATGCAGAAGTACAGTATACAGAGATAAGAACTTACAATATAGTGTGTGTGTCAGTAATTTCTAACAGAGGCTTAAAACAGAAACACAATCTTTCCATAACCTATGATTAGCAAGATATTAATCAGCAGTAACAATTGCAACAAAAGCCGGTTACAAACAATACATGGAAACAGGATGTGAAGCTAGACAACTGGTTAGACCAGAAATTCTCAGAAGGGAGTATGTCTTAACCCTAAAGAGGCCTAGAAGAGCTGCAGCAAGATGAGGGTGTTTATAGCCCTATCTTATCCATATGGACAGGTGTCCCCCATGCATCTGTTTATAGGCTCTCCACAAGGGTCACATTCCATTCCCAAAGCTATGAACATCTGCTTTTCTGGGATAGGAATCTTGGTGATGTGAAAGCTCCCTGACTGCACATCCATTCATAGGCTCTCTGCAGGGGGAAGCACATCACCTGCTGTTGGCTCATTCTGGCAGTCCAACCTGGCATTGTTTTTACACAATCCTGCATGTAATTTTGTATTTACAATTATCAGGAGCATTTCATCTTTTATTCCATAGTAATAGTTTCAGGGGGTCTCCCTATATTCTACTTGATTAGTTTCAGGCAGGGAAAAGAAATGAAAACCACTGGCTAACATAATGGCTAGAATTTGAAAATAAGGGCAATATCAAATGTTGGAGAAAATGTAGACCAACTGAAAATCACACTCACATCTGCTGGAAATGAAAATTGGGCAGCTACTTTGGAAAAACTGGTACCTTACCCAAAATTTAAACATACAACTATTTGTGACCCAGCAATTTCATACCCAGAAAAACTAGCTAAATACATTCACTGAAATAGATGTATTAACTCCCAAAAAACTCCACAGCTAGTCAAATGGCCTCTCATATCAATATGAAGAAACAGCTTATGCTGTATTTATACAAGGAAATACTCTAAAGTAATAGGAAAATACAAACAACAACTACACAAAAAATATGAATAAATCTCTAAACAATGTTAACTAAAAGCCACCAGAAACAAAATGTTAAATACTATCCAGTTTTCTTTAAATAAAGTCACAACATATGCAAAGCTAATCAGTGTTGCTAAAATCAGTCTTGTGCCTGTGCTCAGAGTAGGTGGTAACTATAGGAGGTTGAGCACAAGTTACTGGGTGCTGGAAATGTCCAGTTTCTTAATCTGAATGCTGGTGACATGATTTTTCTATTCAGGCAAATTCATCAAGCTGCATATATTGGTCTTTGCATTTTTCTCAATGTACATGATACACCAATCAAAAGTTTCTGAAGCCCAAAAGAGAGAGGGCAAAGTATTTTGGAGGAAGGGAAACAATTTATAAAATGACTACACAGGGGGAGATAACCTCAGCTGAACATATTTTACGTGGTAAAGTGAAAAGAAAAAAAAAACCTCAGAGTTTGTGTAGAGCTTCCTTTCTTTAAAGGTAGTTTATTTCTATTTCTATTTTAGCTAGAATGCTTTTCTCATTGACAAATAAAAATTGTATACACTTACCATGTACATCAAACTACATGAGAAAAAGGTAAATGTTGGAGTGATTTATTTTCACATGCAAAGGCAATGTTTCAGATAAAAGACAATCTTTATTAAGACTTTAATTCAAAGCTGTCTGGAAAATAATTTGGGTCTTTCTCCATGATCTTCTCCCAGCTCCTCACTGTGTCCTTCTCATAGCATTTGATAATGCATTGAACATATGTGCCAGTTACTAAACTATATATATACATATATATATAGTATATATAATATATATATATATAGCGACCTCTCTGGTTTGGTTTTATGCTTATTGCTATCTCCATGGTTGCTTTGACAACTCTTTGTCTTATCACAATTGCCTTTCAAGTCTTTTTCTAATTTTCTTCTTGTCCTAAGAGCTTTTAGATCCTCCGGACAGGTGAAACTGTTTCTGTGGTTTGCACCCACAAACACCTATTTTATGCCTCCTTTCCTTGTCTCCCTAGAGAAACCACAAAGTTTTGCAGGACATCCTCACCAAAGCTGTTACCCATTGCCTGATCCATAGATGACATCTCAAATTGTGTTGAGTTAATAGAAGATTTAAACGTCAAACAATAAGTTGGCAAATTGTACAAAGTGAAGAAGAATTTGCTTTTAAACAGGAGTCTGCATATGAGCTTTGCGAACCAAATAGAATTCAGTGCATCTATTTTAATCTTCATGCTGGGGATATCCCCATGTATATACATATGTATATATGCATATACATGTATATACATATGTATATATGCATATACATGTATATACATGTGTATATGTATACATATATGTACATATACATATGTGTATATGTATATACATATGTGTATGTACACATATATGTGTAGATGTATATGCATATGTGTATGTACACATATATGTGTAGATGTATATACATATGTGTATGTACACTTATATGTGTAGATGTATATACATATGTATATGTACACATATATATGTATATGTATATACATGTGTATGTACACATATATGTGTATATGTATATACATGTGTATGTACACATATATGTGTATATGTATATACATCTGTATATGTACACATATATGTGTATATGTATATACATGTGTAGATGTATATACATATGTATATGTATATGCAGAAACTCACCAGGCTTGCACCTTCTTGTCTTCATCAGTGGGTCCTACTTCATGAAGCTAAGACCCATGTTCTACAGTGTCGCAGCTCAAAGGGCACATGCTTTGTTTAATGCTCTGCTATTGTGGCCTTGAAATCCTTTATTTAGAAACACTGGGACATTCATTTTCATTTTTCCTGAACCCCATAAATTGTGTAGGTGGTCCTGTTCATCACAAATATAAAAATATGTTGCCAAGCAACATGAAAAAGTCTAAATGCCATTTTTTTTTTTCTAAAGACAAGGTCTAAAGCAGAAGGAAAGATTCATTTTGGAATGGATCTTTTTTTGCAGTTGCAGCATAGTAATGTAGAATTCAGGGCTATCGATATTTCACTATTTATTTATTGAGATAAGGTCTTGCTGTGTAACCCAGGCTGGAGTGCAGTGCTACAATCATAGGTCACTGAACCTTCAACCTCCTGGTCTCATGTGACCTTCCTGCCCCAGCCTGCCAAAGCACTGGGATTATAGGCATGCACAACTGCACCTGGCCTCTGACATTGTACAATTTAGTATTTCACACTTGTCATACCAAGACCCTAAGCATATTTTAAAACAAAAAAAATCTCAAAAATGGAAAGAGTATTATCTGCAACTAAGCACTAAAAAGGACATCATCTAGCCATTGCATCTTTATAGAACCAACAAAGAGAGCATCTAGGCAAATACTACATTTGCGATCTCACAATAAGAGTTACATAGCTCAGAGCCAGAACCATGTTGAGATGTAATCATCCATTTCTAAGCTCAGTCACTGCTTAAAATTTAAACTAATTTTCTCTGCCTTCAAACCTCATCGGTAAACTGGATCTCATGGGTAAGACAATCCTACTACAAATCATCTGAATGACAATGTAGTAAGTCAAACTCATATAGAAAATAAAAACCCATATACATCTCATATATGTTTAGAATCTTTAAATAATATAATATAGTATATTTTATATTACATATAACAGATTGTACTTTTTATTTATTTTTATTTTTTGGAGACAGAGTCTTTTTCTGTTGCACAGGCTGGAGTGCCATGGTGGATTTTGGCTTACTGCCACCTACACCTCCCAGTACAAGCGATTCTTCTGCCTCAGCCTCCCACATACCTGGGATTACAGGCATCTGTGACCATGCTCAGCTAATTTTTGTATTTCTAGTAGAGATGGGATTTTGCCATGTTGGCCAGACTGGTCTTGAACTCCCAACCACAAGTGATCTCTCTGCCTGGGCCTCCCAAATTGCTGATATTAAAGGCATCTTCCACCATGGCTAGCTAATTTTTGTATTTCTAGTAGAGACAGGATTTCACCATGTTGGCCAGGCTGGTCTGAAACTCCTAAACTCAAGTGACCTCTCTGCCTTGGCCTCCCAAAGTGCTAGGATTACAGGTGTAGGCCACCATGCCCTGCCTGTACTTTATATTTTAGTTGAGGAGTAAATGTTTCTGTTTATCTTGAAAATGGCGGTGCATGAGTTTTAAATAATACAACAAAAAAATCATGTTAAATCCAATTGTATTTGTGCTTGTCCCACAGGTTTCTGTGATCTTTAGAGCCATTTTATAATGATCTTCTCAGAAAGTATCATTCGTTACACTCTCCATCTTTCAAGGTTCCCTCATTACCTAAGGAGACAGTATGAAGGTCTGAAAATTGCTAATGATTTAAACATCTTTATATCTTTCTTGCATGTTTCTTTTTCTTTCTGTATTTCAGTGTATACCACTCACTCAGAGAAGGGTTGCCCTATTAGAGCCTTTAAGAACAATGGTGAATTTAAGAATTGGATGTTGAAATATTCAATTTAACAATAAATTTTAAAATTTAAAATTTATTTGGATTTTCTCCTTTAATTTGATTAGCTATAACAAAGACAATTTTGCTGGTGTGTTAGTCTGTTCTCACACTACTGAGGCTGGGTGATTTATAAAGGAAGGGGATTTAATTGGCTCACAGTTCTTCAGGCCAGTAGGTCTCAGAAAACTTACTGTCTTGGCAGAAAACAAGTGGGGAGGCAGGAACATTTTACATGTCTGGAGCAGGAGGAAGAGAGAGTGAGGAGGGAGGTGCCACACACTTTTTTTTTTATTTATTTTGAGACAGAGTCTCACTCTGTTGACCAGGCTGGAGTGCATTGGCTGGATCTCAGCTCACTGCAAGTTCTGCCTCCCAGGTTTTTATTCCATTCTCCTGCCTCAGCCTCCCAAGTAGCTGGAACTAGAGGCATCCACCACCACGCCCCACTAATTTTTTTGTATTTTTAGTAGAGACTGGGTTTCACCGTGTTAGCCAGAATGGTCTCATTCTCCTGAGACCATGATCCACCAGCCTCAGCCTCCCAAAGTGCTGGGATTACAGGAATGAGCCACCACACCCATCTGGTGCCACACACTTTTAAACAACCAGATCTCATGAGAAATCCATCATGAGACTGCACTAGGGGGTTGGTGCTAAACCATTAGAAACCACCCACATGCTCCAATCATCTCCCACCAAGCTTCAACTCCAACACTGGGGATTACAATTTAACATGAAATTTGTGTGGGGACACGTAGCCAAACTAAATGAGCTGGAGTCAGATACAAACTGTGTGTCTCTCAACAGCAGCAGCACTTACGAATTTCTTTAAGTATTTGGTCATCTCTAACTGTGTAAATAGAAAGCTATATAGCTTACATAAGTTTAACACAAGGTAGTATCCATAATACTCATCAAGATGTGTATATGGAGACATGGTATCCTCTCTTTATTCTTGTTATTATTAGAAGAAAGTCTTTGCTTTCTGGTTAAGTGGTTCAGATTTATTTAAAGCAATATGTGGGGTGTTTGTTTCTCGGTGGCAGGAACCTGTGGCAGATGTCCATTTGAACTGTATTTCAGTGCAGTAATATCCATAATTCACTGTTTCAGATTATTGTGGTTTAGCTGTATGGATGTCCAAGGCTGATAAATCCCTTAATTTTAAGTGAGATTTCTATAAGATTGGTTTTCCATACTATACTTCATGTTCTATGGTATCAACAACAAATTGCAAAATCTCTTGTCTTTCTTACATGTGGGTTTATTTCAGAAATAGTACAATAGACACTAGATGATGAAACATGAAACTTTTACTAAAACCATACTGTGTGAAGTTTTCTGTTATTCAGGAAGAATACAACAAAGCCTTGTCACATCAGTTAAACTGAGAAGTGTCATAGCATGCATTAAATTGAGTATTGTATAGAAGCTAATGATTGTGATTATTATTTCTTAGAATAATATAAGGAAACCCCAAGAATTCCTGTATTCAGATTTTGTCTTGATTTGGAAGAGATTGAGCTATTTCCTGCATTGGTAAGGACTGAATTGCTCCAGTTCATTTGTTGTTGTTTTTTTGTATTTGTTTTTGTTTTTTCTTGAAATCGTAGGATAAATGTGCCTGGCAGAAAAAAAGTGGAGAATTGTTTCACAAGTGTGACATCTATGGCTCATTCACAATCCCTAGTTGCTTCTTAAAATATAGATTAACAGACCTCATTTCTAAGGCTTCTGACTCAGCAGGTCTGAAACAGTGCCTGAGAATTCAAATCTCTAAGAAGTAACAAGTTATGTGGCTGATGGCAGAGGGATCTGAGCAGAACAACCTTTCATTATCTTTCCTAGTATAGCCAGATTTCCCACTAGCACAGCGTGCTTCCTTGTTTAATGTGAATCTGTTTCATCTCATGTTTCTCAAATACTTGGTATTTCTTGGGAACCAGAGCATCTCTATAATTCAGAATGTTGATCAGGACCAGTGGCTGGAATATCTCAGTTTGGCCACCTGAAACACACTCATGACCCAGGCAGAGAAGTGGGAATCCCATTGCAAGATCTAGCAATTTCCAAAAGGGTGGGAGCAGGGAGCTAATGGGATTGTTGCCACTTATCAGATCTGTCCTTTGCATTGTAATGCATGGAGGTGGTGGTTTCTTTCCATTGTGTGTGACCAGAGCAGGCAAGAACCACCCACTATCTGGCCCCAACACTAGTAGTCTCCTCCCATTAACAATTGCTACAAAGACAATAAAATACTTAGGAATACAACTTACAGAAGATGAGAAGGACCTCTTCAAGGTGAACTACAAACCACTGGTCAAGGAAATAAGAGAGGATACAAACAAATAGAAAAATATTCTGTGCTTATGGATAGGAAGAATCAATATTGTGAAGATGGCTATACTGCCCAAAGTAATTTATAGATTCAATGCTATTCCCACCAAGCTACCACTGAATTTCTTCACAGAATTAGAAAAATAAAATTTAAATTTCATATGGAACCAAAAAAGACCTTGTATAGTCAAGATAATCTTAAGCAAAAAGGACAAATTGGGAGGCACCATGCTCCCTGACTTCAAACTATACTCCAAGGCTAAGGTAACCAAAACAGGATGGTACTGATACCAAAACAGATATATAGACCAATGGAACAGAACAGAGGCCTCAGAAATAACACTACACATCTACAATCATCTGATCTTTGACAAACCTGACAAAAACAAGCGATGAGGAAAGGACTCCCTATTTAATAAATGGTGTTGGGAAAACTGGCTAGCCATAAGCAGAAAACTGAAACTGGACCCCTTCCTTACACCCTATATAAAAGTTAGCTAAAGATGGTTTAAAGATTTAAACATAAGACCTAAAGCCATGAAATCCCTAGAAGAAAACCTAGGCAATGCCATTCAGGACATAGGCATGGGCAAACACTTTATGACTAAAACACCAAAAGCAATGGCAACAAAAGCCAAAATTGACAAATGGAATCTAATTAAACTAAAAAGTTTCTGTGCAGCAAAAGAAACTATCATCAGTGTAAACAGGCAACCTACAGCATGGGAGAAAATTTTTGCAACCTATCCATCTGGCTAATATCCATAATCTACAAGAAACATACAAATTTACAAAACACACACACACACACACACACACACACACAACCTCATTGAAAAGTGGGCAAAGGATATGAACAGACATTTCTCAAAAGAAGACATTAATGCAGCCAAAAATCATGAAAAAATCTTATCATCACTGGTTATTAGAGAAGTGCAAATCAAAGCCTCAATGAGATACCGTCTCACACCAGTTAGAATGGTGATCACTAAAAAGTCAGGAAACAACAGGTGCTGGAGAAGATGCGGAGAAATAGGAACACTTTTACACTGTTGGTAGGACTGTAAACTAGTTCAACCATTGTGGAAGACAGTGTGGCGATTCCTCAAAGATCTAGAACCAGAAATACCATTTGACCCAGCAATCCCATTAGTGGGTATATACTTAAGGGAGCATAAATCATTCTTCTATAAAGACAAAGGCACACAGATATTTACTGCAGCACTATTCACAATAGCAAATACTTGGAACCAACCCAAATGCCCATCAATGATAGACGAGATAAAGAAAAAGTGGCACATATACACCATGGAATACTATGCAGACATAAGAAAACAATGAGTTCATATCCTTTGCAGGGACATGGATGAAGCTGCAAACCACCTCTCTATGGCTTCCATTTCTAATGTTTAGATGTGCTTTCATCTTGAATTGTACATGTGTGTATTCATGCATGTGCTAATGGTCCAGAAGTGTTCAAATAACTTCTTCTGATTCCTTTCATAAGTTATAATATGTGGATACCATGTTTGGTGTGAGACTAGTTACTTGATTTACATTCTTGGTTATGAAAAGAGAAGCTGAGTGGTTCAATGGGGCTTATATGCTTAGATGTCCAAACACTTATTGATATCCCCACATAAAATATTATAATGAGGATTAGACCATATATGCTCTTTTTTTTTCCATTTTTTTCACGTAATATGTAGTATGTTTTTTTCTTTCAGTGGCCCCATTACATATCATCATATGAATATGCTATTTATTCAATTTACATATGATCACATGTTTAGTTAATTTACATATTATTGCATATTTTGATTGCTTCTAATTTATAGGTATTATAAATAAATGACTATGACTGTCCAGGTAGTAAGACAAATCAGTTACTATATATCTCACACTTCCTGTAGGAAATATTTGGTTACTTGGTCAGAAACAAAGACTCAATTTCAATAACCTAATTGCTTTAAAGAAACATTCTAGAACATTCTCAGTCTCACCAGGAGTGTATGATATGCCAGTTACTTAGATAAAAATCTGTTCATACTTTTCTTACCATAAGGCATGTGATTGTTTCTCATGGTTAAGAGCCACCTACTTTTTCTATTCTAATCTGTATCTGTTGAGTATTATTTTGTTCTAGTGTTAGATATTTTCGACTTACTGGTTAATAAGTGCTCTTATAAGCTGACAAACTCCTTTACCATGTCTACTTTTATATCTACTACAGTTTTTTTTATTTTGTGCAATAGTATTTCTAATAAATTTGTTTAAAAAATTATATCATCCGAAACTATTCTAATCAATTATAATTGAAGTATTATGACCTCTGAGGATCTCACTTTGGTCTCTGACTTATAATTCTTGCTATTCCTTTTATAAATAACTCTTTGTATAAAGATATGAGTGCTTTTATAATCATCACAGCTATAGTTTGGCAATGAAAAACTTCCCATAGTTCCCTCTTGCATCATTTATTTAACCTATATTTAGAGTCAAAAAGAAAAAGAGAAAAAGTGTAAAGATTGACTTACTCAAGAAATGAGTTCATTACATTTTATATGTGTTTGTGTGACATACTTTGCAATGATGTGAGTTCTTGAAGATGGCTAACCATGGCTTTTTAAAAATGTATTAACTTATTTGTTTGGTTTATTTAAGAAAGTCTGACTACTTTAGTATTATTTTCTCACAGCCTTCTACTTTTTTCACTTGTATTGTATGTGCTATTTATTTTCTGTTCTATTTAAAATTGATTAGAAGAGTTTAGATAACATTCAAATCAGCTAGAGTATGAAAGAGTACATCCCAGCGGAGGTTTCTAGGACTAAAATTCATGAGATCAAATAAGTATAAAAAAACAATAAAATGGTTTGAATATTTGTGTCCCACCAAAATTCATTAGAATAGTATTAGGAGGTAAGGCCTTTGGAAGGAGATTAGGTCATGAGGGTGGTACACTTATTATTGGGATTACTGCCCTTATAAGAAGAGATTCAAGAGCTAACTCACTCTTTCCACCACATGAGGACACAGGGAGAAGACAGCTGCTTATAACCAAAAAAATTGCCCTCACCAATAACTCATCCATGCTGACCCCTGACCTCAGACCTTCAGCCTGCAAAACTGTGAGAAATAAATGTTATTTCAGCTGCCCAGTTTATGGTTATTTTGTTATAGCAGTTCTGAATGAACTAAGACAATGACTCATTCCAGAAGTCTTCCAGGTAAACGTTCACACTGATCATTAGTATATCAAAGTCCTTGACCGCTCTTGGTGATGGAGCAGATTTTATTTGTCCATGAAGCTCTTGTACGCTGTATACATAGTGTGTATGTGAATGTGTGAAAGCAAAACACCTATTAAACTCAGGAGAGTTCATCAGCATCCATGGAACATTTTGAGAAATGTTTTTCTATACTGTATTCACCCAATATGCTCAAAATTTCCCTCATGCTTCATTAAAAAAAGAAGCAAGATATATTAAAATATCTAGCCTCCAAGAAAATCAATGTATACTTAAAAATATATATAGTAAGTTTTGTTGCAATATTAAAGGTTCTCATATTTCACCATGTCCAGATTGCATTGCTTTATACTACCATAAGGCTTAGGCATCTTAACAAGGAATAATTTCATCAATATTCCTACAGGTTCCTGCTAGAAGAGAAAGAGTTTCATAAGCAGGGTATCTTTTTCCTTCTGCAGGAATGGCCTTTCTTCATACCTGAAAATCAACTTGTAACCGGACACCACCGATGATTTTTTTAATATGTTCATCTTTTAAAAGAAAAAGCTTAATGAGAAAAATAAGGCAGAATTCTTTAACTCACCCAGGTGCTATTCATTACTTATCTTATGTTTCTTAACCTTAAGGCAATTTCCTTAGCAATTTTATTTCCAGTATGCCATTAGAAAAAAGATCGAATCACTGTTTCAATTCTATTATGCATAGGATTCTTGCAACACAGACCAGCAAGTGTTCCTAGAGAGTGGTGCAGAGGAACCTAAACTATTCAGCAAAATCCTATGGGAAAAGCTGAGTGTTAACAGAAAATTCATTATGCCCTAATTCTGACAGCTTGCCTTTTTAGAAATGCGAGAGAAAACTCTTTTAAATCAGATTGTGCTTTGGAGCACGGATGGATGCAAAGGTAAGCTATAGCAGCATTCTCCAAATATAGCAGGCATTGTAATAACCTGAACAGCCCCCCTTCTCAAGGTCCTGATTCCTTTAAGTCAGGGGCAGGGCCTTAGAATCTGTATTTCTAACAGGTTTCCAGCTGAGGCTGATGCTGCTGACCACACTTTGAGAACCCCCAAAGCAGATAAATTCTTAAGACTCCTCAAAGAGATAGGATCTAGTCCTGATGTGCTAAATTATTTCTTCTTTGAAGTTATCAAGTCATGATTAGAGTGGGGCAGAAATCTCCCATAGACCTATAGAATTATGTATCTTAATATGACTGTAGTTATTTTGCACATGAATTCTTTGTTATTGCCCCCTTCAATATCCTAGTGGGATTAATTGTTGCTTTCACAAAGTTAACATTTTATCTTACAGGAGGAATATTCTGTGTGCTTTTATAGAAGTCTCCATCTACACCATGGAATATTATGCAGCTGTAAAAAAGGATTAGTTCATATATTTTGAAGGGACACGGATGCAGCTGGAAACCATATGTTACTGCCTTACAGTTTCTATCATAATTAGCCATTAGGGTTATCTTGAGTAGCTGTAAATATTCAAAGGCAACACTGTACCTAGAACTATATTTGGAAGAATACCAGAAGGTATGTGTGAAATAAAAAGAATATATAATGCTCTCTAATGCAAATCACCTCTTGCTGGCATATAGAAACTAAGTTTTAATTAGATCAAAGACTGAGATTCAAAGCCATGATTACTGGAATAATGGACACATTATAAATATGCATTAAATGCTTTTTTTTTTTCTCTCAGCACATTATAATGGGAGATCTCTGTATTTCTATTTATGTTGTCAATTTGGTTGCACTGTTGATTACTATTATATTTAAACCTAAAAATACTGTGGGTAATGATTAACTGGATACACGGAATAAAAGCGTAATTGTGGATGGATATGAGTAGTGTAAGATGGACCTGTTGTTAAGAATACTTTTTATTTTAATGTTGAAATCACTCAAAGAACTCATGATTTTCATTTAAATTTAGTAGAATAAAAATGATATGGCTGCTGGCATGGCACTAAAATTGTGAATATGCCCTTAAATGAAAATTGCTCATGTAAGCAAAAGTGGGTGTACTTGGAAATCAGAATGTAGGAATGCAATTTTGAAAACCGTAATAAACACTCGATTTAAGAGACAGCTTTACATTCACTCATACATCATGTTAAAGAGAATTAGTGTAGAAAAAGAAGTTCACCATAAAAACTAACAATTCAAATACACAATCTATGTATTATGGGAGGTTTAACCTCGCAAAAGTATCCTTTAATTGAGTGCACATCAGACTATTTAAGAGCAAATTAATAATGATGAACTTATGATTACATAAAAACATCAGTTTTTTTTTTTTTTTCCAGAGGGTCTATCAATAGATATACACAATGGAGTAGTAACAAATAATAAATCACAGGTAGATATTCCAACCTGAATAAATTTATCAGCATAACACTAAATTTTTAAAAAGGAAAATCAAAGAACAATTTGTCCAGTATGATCATACTTACATAAATATCAAAACATGAAAACTAGTGTGATATATTTATATTATCAATATATTTACATATAAATATCTATATACAAATATGCACATATATTTAAAAAAATATTTAATATAGATAAATATGTAAGCGACAGAGATATAAATAAACCTAGAAAAGGCCAGGGGTGGTGGCTCATGTCTATAATCCCAGCGCTTTTGTAGGCTGTGGAGGGAGAAACACTTGAGACCAGGAGTCTGGGACCAAGCTAGGAAACAGAGTCAACTCCATGTCTACAGAAATAAAAATAAAAATAATTAGCTGGGTGCAGTTGTGCATACTTGCAGTCTCAGCTGTTTGGGAGGCTTATGTCATAAGGTTACTTGAGCTCAGAGGTTGGAGGTTGCAGTGGGCCATGATCGCACCACTGCTTTCTAGCCAGAGACCCTGTTACCTCCCCTACCAAAACAAAATAAAACAAACAAAAAAATGAAAAGCAAATTACTTAATCAGAAGGAGTTCTCAGACCAAAATGTGCCACTTCCAAGGGACTTGAGTTGAATGATGATATTTACCTAAATGAATTCAAGACAGAAGAAGGGAAGGTAGGAAAAACTATCCCTAAGGGAAGAAATGGGAGAACATAAAAAGGCAGATTTCTTGTAGAATAAATAAATGCAGTGAGATGAGTGGAAGTCATGCAGAGAAATATCAAGAAAGAAGACAGAAAAGATGTTAGTCAGTGAGGATAACAACATTGTAGGTTACTATGGAGCTCATACTGACGTAAGCAAAACATAGGCCTGGGTTATTTTGTTTAATGTCTTTTTTTTAAATATTGTTGATAGAAATGTATGTGCTTATCAATATAAAGGGTAGATTAAAACACTGATATGTGATCATGCTATAACTGTCAATGGTATGTAAGGATGGTGTATTAGTCTATTTCCAGGCTGCTAATAAAGACATACCCAAGGCTGGGTAATTTATAAAGGAAAGTTGTTTAATTTACTCACAGTTCAGCATGACTGAGGAGGCCTCAGGAAATTTAAGATTATGGCAGAAGATGAAGCAGTCTTCTTCTTCTTCTCAAGATGGCAGGAAGAAGAATGATGCAAGAGGAGCTACCAAAGACTCATAAAACCATCAGATGTGAAAACTCACTTAGTATCATGCCAACAGCATGAGGGAAACCACCTCCATGATCCAATCACTTCCACATAGTCTCCTTTTACACAAGACGATTACGGTGATTATAGAGATTATAATTGGGACACAAAGCCTAACCATATTAGATGGTAACTGTAAAATTAGAAAATCCAGCATGCTCTAAAAAAAAGCCATAACCAATAATTTTTCTAAGAGTTTAAGATTATAAAATATAATCCTTATGTTCATCCTTTACACCCCTGGAGGATTGTATTTTATAATTTTAACTGTTTAGAGCAAAATTATAATATTACAAAATGGTTGATGACTATAGTCACAGAAAAAGTAAGTAAGCCAGCAGAATTTCTGTAAAAAAAATGAAATTAAAGCATGGAAACAATGAGGCCCAAAAAGTTATCATATGTCACCGAGAAACTCTGACCCTGTGAAAGCAGGAACTGAAACCTTGATTAGCAACATTATTCACAATGAGGAAAAAGTGAAAACAACCCAAATCTCTATCAACAGATGAATGGATAAACAAATTGTGGCCTTTCCATAAAATAGAATATTATTCAGCCTTAAAACGGAGTGCAGTACTGATACATGCAGAAATGTGAATGAGCTCTGAAAACACCGGGCTCAGTGAAATAAGTCAGACACAGAAGGCCACATATTGTGTGATTCCATTTCTATGAAATAGCCAGGTTTGCATGGGAGAACCATAGAGACAGAAAGTTGATTTGTGGTTGTTAGGAACTAGGGGTGAGGATGGTGTGGGAGGTGATGAGTGACTGTTGCATGGATATGGGGTTCTTTTTTTTTTTTTATTTTTGAGTCACAGTCTTGTTCTGTCACCCAGAAAGGCAGTGGCATGATCTCAGCAGACTGTAACCTCCACCTCCGAGGTTCAAGTGATTCTCATGCCTCAGCCTCCCTACTAGCTGGGATTACTGGCATATGCCATCACACCTTGCTAATTTTTTTTCTTTTTTTCTGGCATTTTCAGTAGAGACAGAGTTTTGCCATGTAGGCAAGGCTGTTCTCCAACTCCTGACCTCAGGTGATCCACCCACCTCAGCCTCCCAAGTGCTAACTCCCAGGCGTGAACCACCAAGCTGGGCCTGAGATTTCTTTTTAAGGTGATGAAAATATTCAAGAACCAAATAAAGGTGATGGTTGCATTACATTGTGAAAACATTAAAAGTCACAGAAGTGTACACTTTAAAATGGTTAATTTTATATTATGTGAATTTTATCTCCACCCAAAAAAAGAATGAAACTCTTCTGTGTAATAAAAATAGTCTGAAACAAAACCTTGTAATCTTTGTAACATATAAGGAGTACAGGTAAATGTCTGTATAACTTTTTAAAAAAATTCTAAGACAAAGGAAAAAGAATGCTTGCCGCACTCATAAAATGCCAGAGATTTGGTGGAATGTTGTTGTTCACACCTCTATTCCCAGCATTTTGGGAGGCCAAGGTTGGAGGATTGACTGATTTCAGGAGTTGAAGACCAGCCTGGCCAACATGGCAAAACCCCATCTCTACTAAAAATACAAAATTAGCCAGCATGTTGGCACATGCTTGTAATCCCAGCTACTTGGGGGGCTGAGGCAGGAGAATCACTTGAGCCCAGGAGGCAAAGGTTGCAGTGAGCCAAGATCACACTACTGCAATCCAGCCTGGACAAGAACACTAAAACTCTGTCTCAATTAAAAAAAAAAAAAAAAAAAAAAAGCCAGAGAGTTCCAGGATGGTTTTATTCTAAATAAATTAAGCCTTATTTATGTTTTAACACTTTGTTTGAAGATAACTATAGATTTTCCCAAAAGTTTCCCAACTAGTATAGAGAGTTCCGTTCACCTTTTGGAATGCTTTTTCTAACGTTAACATCTTTTGTCATCATAGTGAAATTATAAAACCAGGAAATTATCACTGATAGAATGCTGTCAACTGAACTACAGATCTAAGTAAAATTCTGACAATTTTATCCCTAGTGTTCTGTAGTTGTCCTTTTTCACACTGCTGTGGAGATACTACCTGAGACTGGTAATTCATAAAGAAAAGAGGTTTAATTGACTTTTAATTCTGCATGGTTGGCGAGGCCTCAGGAAATGTATAATCATAGCAGAAGGGGAAGGAAGGCATATCTTACATGGCAGCAGGAGATAGATCAGAGATAACTGACATTTTTAAAAGCATCAGATCCTGTAAGAAGTCCCTCACTATCATGAGAGCAACATTGTATAATTACCCATGTGATCTAATCGTTACCCACCAAGACCCTCCCTCAATAAGTGGGGATTACAATTCAAGATGAGATTTGGGGGGGGGACACAGAGCCAAACCACATCATGTTCTCTTACAGAAATGACCCAATCCAGGATTGCTCATTGTATTTAATTGTGATAGCTCCATACTCTCCTACAATCAGTGACAGTTTCACATTTATTCCTAGCATTTTATGACCTTGATGCTCTTGAACAGCTGTTGCCAGATACCTTGTATCCTGTCTCTTGGGCAATTTAAAAATATGTAAAGACCTCAAAAAAAGAAATTGGGTATTTAAAGATCAAGGTACTCATCTGAGAAATGTTTGGCACAGGAATGGGCAGAAATAAATGACAAAAAAAAACCACTCTCAAAAATTACAAATACCAATTATTTAAATGATATGTAGTTAAGCTGCGGACATGAACAAGGTCTCTAAAACATGGTACAGTCCAAGAAGTTCAGATAGTGAATGGAAGCTAACAGGGAGCACAGGAAAAAGAGAGATTTGCGTATATCATGCCATGAGGACCATTTGCAGTGGGTGAGGGATGAGGCTCTCTAGAGTAGTTTAGATGTAGCTCTTAGCTTAGCATCTCATCGGGGTGACATGACAAGGCCACCTTTGTCATGGCCCTGCTTTGCTTGTTAATATATCAAGTGTTCCTTAAACCCAGTCTCCTCAAAAACTAGGAACACCCAGTCCTCCCTTGCACTTGCTCCATGTTCACTAACTCTTGACTTTAATTTCTATATTTGTATTATTGCCTTGGGGATCACCTCTCCCCAGTAAATTGCTGGCCCACTACAATCTCTGAGCCCAATTCTCCCTCATGGCATGCTTTTTTACCAATGTTATTTTATCACTGAATATTTTCAGTTTCTTCTCTGAATATACTTTATCTCTGTGATATTTGTCTAACGCAAATCCAACTTATTTTGGAGTAGATGATAATTGCTATAAATCATAAGAAAATGTTCTCTTATTTGATTATACCATACTCCTTTATTCATTTGTTGTTATAGCACATTTATTTTAGCATGAATATGCTCTGATTCTTGCCCCATTTCTACTACCTGTAACTCTTTCTTGGGTTATTGATGTGCTTAAACATGACCAGTCATTTCACAGCAAAGATATTTGCAGGTTGATTATTTTTGTCTCAATGTGTACTTGTCAATAGTATATGCTATAATGCCTCTAGTTTCATCAGGGTACTCTGTACTAGAGAACATTCTTCATGGGATTTGTGGATGTTTTTTATTATTTATCAGTTGTACCTTCATAATTCAAATTGATCACCCTAGGCTTTGAAGTAAATCATTCAACATCCTATGAGAAAGCTTAGGAATCCTCAAGACAGTGGTAGTTTCAAAGGCACACCACATGTTAGTTCTCCTTCCAAATCCATTATTTAAAATTTCCCAGGAAAATAAATGTAGAGAGAAAGTAGAGTGAGATGTGAAAATCTCCCAGAGTTTTCAATTGCATACACTGGGCATCCCATTGTTCAATAACTCCAGCTCATACCAAAATTTGGTCTGGACAAATTTTGCCGAGAGAAACTATTTGCAAACATTTCCTAGGATAAGAATGTAAGACTGTATGGTATAGTTCACTTTTCTATTTCTTTACATCATCTTCCCTTTTGCTATGTTCTTGCAGGGAAGGATGGTTGCTAAAGATACTCAGAAGAGTTCCTTTCATCAAGGACACTAAAACGTGTTCTTGTGGTAGCTCACATCTGTAGTCTCAGCGCTCTGGTAGGCTGATGCAGGAAGATTCCTTGAATCAAAGAGTTTAAGGCCAGCCCAAACAACACAACAAGACCCCATCTCTACCAAACAACAGGCACTTTTATAGTACACACTGCTGCAAAAATGTAGACGAAAGCTCATTTCGCATTCATAACAATGTGTGACACGAAGAAGCATTTACCTTCCAGTAGAATTTGTGTTGAGTGTTTTTACTTGATCCACAAATAAACTACCAGGCAGAGGTCCAACTTTCTCTCTTCCTTTCCCACTTACATCTGAGATGACATAGAAAAGAAGACAGATATATTTTACAACATAAAATAAAATCTTTCTCCCTCTCTGCCTACTCTGCAAATAAATCATTTGTATTTTCAGGAAAACACTCATGTATAAATGACTATAACAGTTTAGTTGCCCAATGCTGAGAGTTTAAACTTCCAATGGAGATAGCCTTTTAGCATAGAAGGTTTTAAAATTCATAACTGAAATATCAGTATCTCATCAGTTTACAGAAGGTATGGCCTCTGGGAGAATATCATAATTTTCCAAAATTTGTATGGAGCTGAAAGCACCTTGTCTAAGAAATTGCCCATAATATACAAAAACACAATTAAAAATGTGGACCTAAAAATGGACTTGCAGAGCATGCAGCCTTGGAAAAGAGATGGTGATAAATATAAAAATATTAAGATAGAAAATAGTTTTACCACATCTATAATCAGCACCAAATTTCACTTGTACTAAAGTAATAGAATGAGCTGTGTTACCAAAAACATTGTTATCACAATATAGGTGTAAGATATTTGAAAAAGGAGAGGATTTTTTAAAAATCCAGCTTCATTTGGAGTATATCTTTGATACACAGCCATTGAATCAATCTCTTTAAACCATACAAAATGAAAACATTGAATGCACAAACATAAATGCATCCAGTTTCATAATATCCTGTAAGTACTCTCACATTCCTGAGACCTGCTGGGCTTTGAAAGAGTAGGTTAATTCCTCTGTCTCATCACAATGTTGGGGGAAAATGTTGTGACTTAAATGTGGATATCCTATTTATCTCCTGTTGGGAAGGAAGTATTTACATGTATTGTGAAGCTTTGAAATGATGAATTACAATGGTTAGAGGAAAATATAGTGCCTGGGTTCCACCACTGGGCAGACAAATTACCATAATGCTGTGTGAGTAACACTTTATAAATGTATTTGTCCCACAGGAGCAGTTTCACTGCTCCGGTAATATGATTCACTGCATGTAACAGATTAGGTGAAATCTACTTATATTTTCAGGAACTTGTGTGAAATAACTAACTTAACCTATCTGAAAACTGTATTAAATTTTTCAAATCTTGTAAGTGCTCTCTAGGACTACAAAATGAGAACTACTGGGCTTTCATTGGGACAACACAACTGGTATACAGAGGAACATCACAGTCTCCTACCACAAATCATCATAAAACAAGCCCATTAAGTTGTATGCTTTACATAGAAAAATTGTGTGGCACACATTTCATAGAATTATCTACACATATGCATGTGGTCTTGTGTCAAAAAAGTTGTTCCGTATTGAAGCTGCTGTCCCAGCTCAGAAAATATCTAAACCAATTTGTCTGAATGTTTCATTAACTGATGGATCTTAATGCTTAATGCTGTATTTTGGCTTCTTAAGATCCACTGCATATGCCATCACTGCTTCTGTCTTCATCTGTGGGGGTTGCTGTGACAGAATAACATAACCTGGATGAATTTTAAAAACACATGTAATTCTTAGAATTCTGGAGGCTGAGATGTCTGAGATCAGGGTGCCATGAGGGTAAGGTTCTGGAGAGGGCCTTCTGTAGAGTTTGTAAACAGCCACCTTTTTTCTCACTGTATCCTCACATGGCCAAGTGGAAGAGAGATAAAGAAAGAGGAAAAGAGAAAGAGAAAGGGAAAAAGAGAAAGAGAAAGAAATTGAAAGAGAAAGCTCTTGTGTTTCTTCTTAAAAGTACACTAATCCCATCACAGGCTACACCCTTATGGTCTGCTCACCTCCAAATTTCCCCCACCTCCTAATCTCATCACACTGGGGATTAGGGTTTCAACATATGCATGCTGGAGGAATACAAACACTCAGTCTATAGCAGCAGGGGAATTGTCTCCCTTTCATTGTGTGAAATTGAGTGCTAAGGTAGACCAAGTCAACTCTCTCCACTTTAGAAAGCCCAGTGAGACAAATGTGGTCTCTGGCCAAGGAGCAGGTATTTGACTTGTCTCCCTAGTCAGGGTATTACCTCTTGTGCAAGGGAGGAGCATGAAACTGATGGCTCATGCCTCATCACTGCATACTGGTGTGGTGACAAATGGCTTCCAGGAGCCTCTATAAATATCTTTGTATGCACTGGATCCCAAGTCTTTATCACTACACTAAGGTGGATTTTGTATCTTTTCAATTTATTTCTCCCAAATTCCAAAATGAGCTTCAATTGCTTTGGACTAAAACCCATACTGATACAGATGTTCCCCCAAAGCAGGTGTGTGGCAGGAGGTAGGAATAAACATTTGAAGTTAAATTCCATACTGTTTATCTAATGAGTATTAATTTCATCCAAAAAATGACAATAAACTTTATAAGGAATTAATAATCTCATTCTCAGGTTGTCTTTTAAGACAGGGACAATATCCAGAAAAGACACTGGACTAAATGCCAAATTCTATCAGTTTTTTAAAAATAATGTTTCATTTTTAATTAATTGTTTTTTCTGAATTTATTATTTTTTTTAGAGAAGGATCTTGTCTTGCTGCCCAGGCTGGAGTGCAGTGACATCATCACAGTTCACTGCAGCCTTGCCCTCCTCAGCTCAAGGGATCCTCCTGCCTTGGCCTCCCACGTAGTAGGGACTACAGGTGGACAACTCCATGTCAAGATAATAATTTTTCTTTTTTTGGTAAAGACAGGGTTTTGCCAAATAAATTTTGGCACAAAGAATGCTGTTTGGTGGTGTGGTTATGTATGTATTAGTCCGTTTTCTTGCTACTGATAAAGGCATATCTGAGACAGATAAGAAAAAGATGTTTAATGGACTTACAGTTCCATATGGATGGGGAGGCCTCATGATGGAATGCAAGGAGGAGCAAGCCACATCTTAAATGAATGATGGTGAATAAAAAGACCTTCTGCAGGGAACTTCCCCTTTTTCAAACCATCAGCTCTCACTAGACTTATTTCCCATTATGAGAACAGCACAGGAAAAACCTGCCCCACATGATTCAATTACCTCTTACTTGGTCCCTCCCATAACATGTGTGAATTCAAGATGAGATTTGGGTAAGGACACAGCCTAACCCCCATGCCTGATATCTATCTATGTATCTATCTATGTATCTATCTATGTATCTATCTGTCTATCTATCTATCTATCTATCTATCTATCATCTATCTATGTATCTATGCATCTATGTATCTATGTATCTATCTATCTATCATCTACTATCTATGTATCTATCTATGTATCTATGTATCTATCTATCATCTATCTATGTATCTATCTATGCATCTGTCTATCTATCATCTACTATCTATGTATCTATCTATCTATGTATCATCTATCTGTCTATGTATGAATTAGGGTGATTCAGGAAATAGCAGATATAAGACCTTGGTAGAAACAAGAGCTCTAGGTAGAGTTTTGGAGAACTCTTGTGTTCTTTGATGCAAATCTATTCTCACCTGGGAAAGAGAAAAATCCTACTCCTCATCTACCATTTTCCATGAGGGGTTTAATCTTTTGTTCCCCTTAAAACAAAAAGCTGAAATTCATCGAATATGTGATTTTTAATATATGTTATGATATATGACATATATGAATATGATATATATAGGAAAAATCATATATATTATTTTTAATATATATTAGGACATATGATATATATTACATAGGTTTTCATCCACAGTTCCTGGGTCATAAGTCCCAAAACCCTTGCTATATTTTGGAGTGCTTTTGTCCTCAGAAGCAGACTTCAGAAAACAATCTCTTCCTCACTGAACTTCTCCTGCCTTCCTTCCACCTGCCCAAAGCAAGACTCTAACATTTTCCCAACTTCTGATCCATAGTCCAGTGTGTTATTTTTTGCCCCATTGACCCTCTGATATGATTTGGTTGTGTCCAACCCCACAGTCTCACCTTGAATTTTACTTCCCATAGTCCCCATGTGTCATGGGAGGGACCTGGTGGGAGGTAATTGAATCACTTATGCTCTTCTTATGATAGTGAGTGAGTTCTCAAAGAACGGATGATTTTATAAGAGACTTTTTACCCTTTTGCTCAGCACTTCTCTCTCTTGCCACCAAGTGAATAAGGACATGTTTGCTTCCTGTTCTGCCATGATTGGAAGTTTTATGAGTCCTCCCTAGCCATGTGGACCTATGAGTCAATTAAACCTCTTTCCTTTATAAATTACACAGTCTTGGGTATTTCTTCACAGTTACATGGGAATGGACTAAGATATCCTCCTTCCCCTAACTGTCTTGCTGTGGGACTTAAGACATTTATTTCAGAATGTAGCCTGTTCCTTACCCTGGAGGAAGCACTACTGCACAGAGAGGCCAAGAGGGATCTGAACAGATAGGTCTTGCTCTGTCCCCTTACTCAGCCTACTAGTGTTAGATAATAGCCTTTTTGTACAATCACGTTTCTACTTGTTTGTCAATCATGCCTATCAATGAAATCTCCATAAAAAGACCAAGAAGATTGTATTTGTAGACCTTCTAGAGAGCTGAACACAGGGAGGCTGGCAGGCAGGTGGACAAGAACTCACCCATGTGCCTGGAGTGTGGTGCACGACAAACTCTGTGGGGACAGACACTGCTGTGCTCGGCACCTGCCCAGACTTTGCCATATGTATCTCTTCATGTGACTCTTTGTGTCCTTTAAAATATCTTATATAATAAACCACGAAGTGTAAGTAAGTATTTTTCTGAGTTCTGTGACCCACTCCAGGAAATTAATCCAATCCAAGAGAGGGTCGTTGGAATGCTCCCAACTTGAAGCATATTTGGAGAAGTTCTGGAGACCCACACTTGTGACTGTGCAGATGGAGTTAGCTGTCTTCTATGACTGAGGTGGTGTCCCCTGCAGAACTGCTTGCTTGCTTGGTGTGTGGGTGGAAACCCCCAAACATTTGTTCATAGACAGCTTCTATGTTGATTGTCATTGCAGTGTGAGAGCAGAGAAAAACACTTTGAGTTTGTGTGAGAGTTTGTTTTTTATCTTGAGAAAATTTAGATTAACATTTGAAATTCGGAGTGTACTCTGGTTGGGCTGGTCAACAGGTGTGCCATTTTTGTCTTCCAGTAAATTTCAGCTTTCTGTTTTGAGGGGGACAATGGAATTAAACTACAATAGAAAATTGCAAGAGAAGAATGGAATTAGAATCTCATGGTTCTCTTTCCAAGGCGAGAATAGGTATGTGGCAAAACCCACCAAAACACTTTAGACTCTAGAGATAATTTCTATAATACTAGTGTCATATACCTGTTGTTTCTCAGGTCATCTCAATTCAGGTCATCATTGTCTCTTGCTCCAATTATTGTGAAAGACTCCTAATTGACAACCTGCAGGACTATGAGCCAGTAAACCTCTCTTTTTTTGTAAATTACCCAGTATCTTGTATTGTTTTATAATAGTTCAAGAATGTACTAGTATCCCTGCCAAATGTGAGCTGTAGATTGTCAAACACCATGAATTAAAAAACTACAGAGGTGATCCAAGTAGGAGGAGGTGAGATTGTAGATGCTGTCCATGGCACAGTCATCACCACACAGTGAAAAGAGCTTATTGGAGGCATATTAAAGATAAGGATGATCTAAGACTAATAACCAGGTTTGGAACATATGGCAGACAGAATACAAATGTGCATACCCTAATCCTTGGAACCTGTGAATAGTTGATCTTTCTTGCCAAAAGGGAGTTTGTGGATGTGATTAAGTTAAGGATGTTGAAATCAGAAGTTGATCCTAGACTATCCAGGTGGTCCAGTGTCATCAGAAAAGTCCTTATAAGAGGAAGGCAGTAGGGTCAGAGTAAGAGAGAGATTTGAAGATGCTATTGATCTTACAGAAGGAGAAGAAAATCATGAACCAGAAAATTCTGGTGGCCTCTATGCACTGGAAGTGACATGGAACAGATTCTTCCTTATAGTTTTCAGAAAGGGACAGTGCTGTATTAGCTGTTTTTCATGTTGCTTATAAAGAATGAGTAATTTACAAAGAAAAAGAGGTTGAGTGGACTCACAGTTCCATGTGCTTAGGGACACCTCACAATCATGGTGGAAGGAAAAAGGAACATCTTACATGTGACAACAAGAGAATTTGTACAGGAAATCTCCCCTTTATAAAACTAACAGGTCTCATGAGACTTATTCACTATCATGAGAATGGCATGGGAAAGTCTCACCCACATGATTCAATTGCCTCCCACTGGGTCCCTTCCACAACATGTGAGAATTACAGGAGCTACAGTTCAGATGAAATTTGGGTGGGGACAGAGACAAATCATATGAACTGCACTACCAACTCCTTGATGTTAAACCAAGTCAGACTTTCATCTCCAAAACAGTAAGATAGTACATGGGTGTTGTTTAAAGCCCCTGAGTTTGTGGTAGTTGGTTACTGCAGCCACTGGAAAAAAAATACAGGACAGGTGAGGGGAGAGATAGCAGGATGACTCCCAGGTTATAGAGAACAACTACTTGTTTGGTAGATCTCTTACCTTGTCCTTCGAAGGAGGAGCACTTCTAGGAATAGAGACACTTTCTCTTTTGCACACACTGCATTTGTAACCATACCAGAGCAATCTGGTTCAACTTTTATGTAGAAAGGTTGTGAATTGTTTTTCAGTTGTCCTGGATCCCCAGTTTAAGGTCACATAACCTGGGCATTCCAAAATGAACCAAGGTGGGACTTAAGTCCCACAAGGAATGGGGACTGCATTAAGAAGCAAACACTCACGGTGGGATTCAGGGTCCAATCAGATTGAGCCCTGATTTCACCCTGTGGCAGAATCCACTAAGTTGATTCCTCTCAGCATTGCCTCATTGCAAGATCCAATCAGATAATGCTTTATTATTCCATGCTTATAAAACCCAACCTATCCCCATATTAGAGAGACAGATTTGAACATTTCCTTCTGTCTCCTCACCAGTTGACTCACAGTAAAACTTTTCTTTTCTCAAAAGCCAATGCCATGGAATTGGCTTCTTTCTGCATCAGAAAAGAGCCCATTTATTGCTCAGTAACACATTTGAGAGGGAAATAGGTGGTAGACAAATGGCTAGATATCCAGAGTTCTGAGACCAGGTCTGACCTGGGAGCAGAGAAGAGCTGATGTTTAAGCTGTTTGACGATGGGTCTGAATGGATTTATGATGGCTTTCTGGCCTTAGAAAAACAAAATAGTTGTATGTGTGTGAGATTTTTTTCAATTGGGTGTGCAAGTCTTTCAGACAACAGCCAACATACACACCATCCTTGTAGATGGTTCAGATGGACACATAGCCAATGAGAACATCTTGGAGAACATCAATGTTTAAGGCACCAACTATAAGTCACACAGTGTATTTTTTATTATACTTTAAGTTGTAGGGTACATGTGCACAATGTGCAGGTTTGTTACATATGTACACTAGTGCTGTGTTAGTTTGCAGCACCCATTAACTCATCATTTACATTAGGTATTTCTCCTAATGCTATATCCCTCCCCCAAAACCCCACCCCATGTCAGACCCCAGTGTGTGATGTTCCCTGTCCTGTGTCCAAGTGTTCTCATTGTTAAATTCCCACCTATGAGTGAGAACATGCAGTGTTTTTGGCTTTCTGCCCTTGTGATAATTTGCTAAGAATGATGGTTTCCAGCTTCATCCATGTGCCTACAAAGGACATGAACTCATCACTTTTTATGGCTGCACAGTATTCCATGGTGTATATGTCCAACATTTTCTTAATCCAGTCTATTATTGTTCGACATTTGGGTTGGTTCCAAGTCTGTGTTATTGTGAATAGTGCCGCAATAAACATACATGTGCATGTGTCTTTATAGTAGAATGATTTATAATCCTTTGGGTATATACCTAGTAATGGGATGGCTGGGTCAAATGGCATTTCTGGTTCTAGATCCTTGAGGAATCACCACACTGTCTTCCACAATGGTTGAACTAGTTTACACTCCCATCAACTATGTGAAAACGTTCCTATTTCTCCACACCCTCACCAGCACTTGTTGTTTCCTGACTTTTTAATGATTGCCATTCTAACTGGTGTGAGATGTTATGTCATTGTGGTTTTGGTTAGCATTTCTCTGATGGCCAGTGATGATGAGCATTTTTTTCCTGTGTCTGCTGGCTGCATAAATGTCTTTTGAAAATGTCTGTTCATATCCTTTTTCCATTTTTTGATGGGGTTGTTTGATATTTTCTTGTAAATTTAAGTTATTTGTAGATTCTGGATATTAGCCCTTTGTCAGATGGATAGATTGTAAAAATTTTCCCCCATTCTGTAGGTTGCCTGTTCACTCTGATGGTAGTTTATTTTGCTGTGCAGAAGCTCTTTGGTTTAATTAGATCTCATTTTTCAATTTTGGCTTTCGTGGCCATTGTTTTGGTGTTTTAGTCAGGAAGTCCTTGTCCACGCCTATGTCCTGAATGATATTGCCTAGGTTTTCTTCTCAGGTTTTCATGGTTTTAGATCTAAGATTTAAGTCTTTAATCCACCTTGAATTAATTTTTGTAGAAGGTGTAAGGAAGGGATCCAGTTTCATCTTTCTACATATGGCTAGCCAGTTTTCCCAGCACCATTTATTAAATAGGGAATCCTTTCCCCATTGCTTGTTTTTCTCAGGTTTGTCAAAGATCAGATAGTTGTAGATATGTGGCATTATTTCTGAGGGCTCTGTTCTGTTCCATTGATCTATATCTCTGTTTTGGTACCAGTACCATGCTGTTTTGGTTACTGTGGCCTTGTAATATAGTTTGAAGATAGGTAGCGTGATGCTTCCAGCTTTGTTGTTTTTCCTTAGGATTGCCTTGGCAATGCAGGCTCTTTTTTTGTTCCATATGAACTTTATAGTAATTTTTTTTCAATTTTTGAAGAAAGTCATTGGTAAATTGATGAGAATGGCATTGAATCTATAAATTGCCTTGGGCAGTATGACCATTTTCACAATATTGATTTTTCCTATCCATGAGCATGGAATGTTCTTCTATTTGTTTCTGTCCTCTTTTATTTCATTGACTAGTGGTTTCTAGCTCTTCTTGAATAGGTCCTTCACATATCCTGTAAGTTGGATTCCTAGGTATTTTATTCTCTTTGAAGCAACTGTGAATGGGAGTTCACTCATGATTTGGCTCTCTGTCTGTTATTGGTGTTTAAGAATGCTTGTGATTTTCACACATTGATTTTGTATCCTGAGAGTTGGCTGAAGTTGCTTATCATCTCAGGGAGATTTAAGGCTGAGACGATGGGATTTTCTAAATATACAATCATGTCATCTGCAGGCAAGGACAATTTGACTTCCTCTTTTCCTAATTGAATACTCTTTATTTCTTTATCTTGCCTGATTGCCCTGGCCAGAACTTCCAACACTATGTTGAATAGGATTGTTGAGAGAGGGTATACCTGACTTGTGCCAGTTTTCAAAGGGAATGCTTCCAGTTTTTGCCCATTCAGTATGATACTGGCTGTGGGTCTGTCACAAATGCCTCTTATTATTTTGAAATATGTTCCATCAATACCTATTTTATTGAGAGTTTTTAGTATGAAGCGCTGTTGAATTTTTTGAAGGCCTTTCTGCATCTATTGAGATAATCATGGGTTTTTGTCTTTGGTTCCGTTTATGTGATAGATTACATTTATTGATTTGCATATGTTGAACCAGCCTTACATTCCAGGGACGAAGCCCACTTAATTTTGGTGGATAAGCTTTTTTATGTGCCCTCTATTTTTATTGATTGGAATAGTTTCAGAAGGAATGGTACCAGCTCCTCTCCGTACCTCTGCTAGAATTCAGCTGTGAATCCATCTGGTCCTGGAATTTTTTTTGGTTGGTAGGCTACTAATTGTTACCTCAATTTCAGAGCCTGTTATTGGTTTATTCAGCAATTCAACTTCTTCCTGATTTAGTGTTGTGTGGGTGCATGTGTCCAGAAATTTATTCATTTCTTATAGATTTTCTAGTTAATTTAATTTGTGTAGAGGTGTTTACAGTATTCTGTGATGGTAGTTTGTATTTCTGTGCAATCATTGGTGATATCCCCTTTATCATTTTTAATTGCATCTATTTGATTATTTTCTTTTCTTATTAGTCTTGCTAGTGGTCTATCAATTTTGTTGATCTTTTCAAAACTGTATTTTCACACTGTATTTTTTACTTCAGATATCATTGCATTTTCCTCTGGTTCCTGCACATATTTTAATCTATCAGTCTTTCTTTCTCCTTTTCAACATGATTCCTGGTTTTCTATAACCGTTGCTAAGTGCTTTGCATTTTAAATAAATTGCCACTTATTTTCTTAGTATGACTTCCATCAGTCACATTAGTGAGAGTCATTGCAGAGGAGATAGGAAAGAACACAATCCAAAGAGCATTTAGTATAGAAGAGAAGCCGGAGCTATGACAAGGAGAGTGTAGAGAAGAAAAAATTCATACCTGGGCACCAGTCTATGGAGATGCTACAAAATCACCAAGGGGGGTGTTTTCTTCCATTTTGTTTTCCTATGCGTTGCTGATTTTAGGTTTGTTGAATAATGAACCCAAGTCTGGTTATGCATGTACTCATTTCCAAACAAAATCTAGTGTGGGGGCTGGTGCAGGATTGGGGAGCACTTGAAAGTGGGCATTTTTTTTATTCCTAACACCATTTATGCACATGACACTATTTGAGTAGATTCAGCCTCCTTTATACCTGGGAAACGACTCCCTCTCCAGTAAGCCCCAGTTTCCAGAAAGCACTATTGTATAATATCCAACTCAATCTGATCAATAACATTGCTAGCCTCAGCCTTGAACATCCATGGATTTATAGACCTTGAAATAAAAGACATTCTGTAGGTTCTAAAGTTGTCTATATTTTCTCATCCTAAGAAAAAAAGAAAAGTGGCAAAGAAGGAAGGGGAGAGGGTAGAAGGAAAGAAAGAGCAGGAAGAGGGCTGGTCATAACACTTAGCCTCCATGGCTAAGAAAGTTCAGTTCCAGCCTGAAACCTCTTTGGCATGTTGAATGATGTTCTGCTTCTATGAGTTCATGTTTACACTGGACTATCTTATTGTTTTAGGATGCTTATAGCTGAGCCTAAATTGTTATTCCATTACTTGAGTACTGAGGTTTCATGAAGTAATTGGAACACAAAAGTCCACTAACAGATTGCTTCTGTTATTGTTCTAATCTGAGCAGTGTTGAGTTTTCCTTCTTCTGTTAATGCTCTAACCTGAGCAGTGTTGAGTTTTTCTTCTTTCTAGGACAGACATTGGCAATTGATGGTGCTAATCCAACCCAGACTACTTCTGTTTTTGTAAATGAAGTTTTATGGACAAGAAATCATATCATTTGTTAACACATTGCCTATGGCTCTTTTCATGCTGCAGAAGTAGATTTTAAAAATTGTAGAGAACCTATGGCCAAAAGAGCCTAAAATACATGCCCTCTGGCCCTTCACAAAAACCACTGGTTAGTCCCTGCTATATAAGATCAACAATTTTGTGTAACAAAGTGGGTAGCAAAACAGATTCCTCATCAGTGATATGCTTCAGATATTACTGTTTAATATTTTCATGACTAATATGATATTGGCTAAATAAGAAAATAATTGAGAGAAAATTACAGGCCCTCTACTAATCCCTAAAGGAAATATTCAACAGAGAGAAAGGAAGAAAAGAAACAGGAGGAAGGGAGAAAGAGGAAGGAAGGGAGAAAGTGAGAGAGGAGGAAAGAAAGGCAGGGAAGGATGGAGGGAGGGAAGGAAGGAAGGAGGAAAGGAAGGAAGGAAAGAAGGAAAGAAGAAAGGAATGAAGGAAGGAAGGAAAGAAAAAGGGAGAGTGGGAAGAGAGGAAGGAAGGAAGAAAGAAAAAGGAAAAAAGGAAGGAAGGAGGGAGGGAGAGATGGAAAGATAAAAGGACAATGGGAAGAGAGGAAGATAGGAAGGAAGGAACAAAGGAATGAAGGAAAGAAGGGAGAAAGGGAAGGAGAAAAGGAAGGAAGGAAGGAGGAAGGGAAGGAAGAAAGAATGGAGGGAATGAAGGAAAGATGGAAGGAAAGAAGGAAGAAGGGAGGCAGGAAGCAAGGAAGGAAGGAAAGAAGGAATAAGGGAGAGAAGGAGTGAGGGATGGCAGAAATGAGGAAGGGAAGAAAGAAAGGGGAGAAGGAAGAACAGATGGAGGGAGAACTGGAGAGACGGAAGGAAGAAAGGGAGGTGAGGAAGAAAGGAGGGAGGGGAGGAAGAACGGGCGGAAGTAAGGAAGAAAAGAAGGAAGAAAGAAAAAGGAAAGAAGGAATAAAGAAGGGAAGAAAAGAAGGAAGGAAGGAAGGACAAAGGGAGGAAAGAAAGGAGGGAGGGAAGGAAGTAAAAACGGAATGAAGAAATGAAGAAATGAATAAAGGAGGGAGGGAGAGAAGGAAGAAAGGAAAAAGGGAAGGAAGGAGGGAGGGAAGAAGGAAGGAGGGCTAGAAAGAGGAAAGGATGGAGGGAATAAAGAAGGGAGGAAGGGAGGAAGGAAGGAAGAAAAAAAGGAAGGAAGGAAGAAAAAAAGGAAGGAAGGAAGAAGGGAGGGAGGGGAGAAGGGAGATGCCATACAAAAAGCAGTGCGACCATGTGGGAGGAATAAGTTCTACCCTAAATAAGAGCAATAAAATACGCAAGAAAAAGTATTTACTTCCATAATGTAAATGTCTTTCTACACATAAAATATCTGTCTGGACCACCAGTTGTATTAAAAAAAAAAAAAAACTACTGATGTTTACATACAGGGTTTCTTTCAGTATTCTGACTCCAATTTCATTCTTAACATTTTTTTCTCTGTGATATAAGACTAATTAAGCCTAACATTTGCTGTTCTTGGGAAAGATGGTTATTTCAACCATATCTAATAACATCTTATGGGTCTTCAGAATTGAAGAAGAGCTATATTTTCATCTGAATATGTTGATATATTTTAATATGGTTAGGATTTGTGTCCCCAGCCAAATCTCATTTTGAATTGTAATCCCTATAATTACTATAATCTCCATGTATCAAAGGAGAGACTTAGTAGAGGTAATAGGGTTATGGGGGAATTTTCCCCCGTGCCAATCTCACAATGGTGAATGAGTTCTTATGAGATCTAATGGTTTTATAAGGGGCTCTTTCCCCTTAGCTCAGGAGGTTTTCTTTCCGTCACCTTATGAAGAAGGTGTCTTACTTCCCCTATGCCTCCTGCCATGATTGTAAAATTCTTGAGGCCTCCCCAGCCATGCTAAACTGTGAGTCCATTAAACTTCTCTCTTTATAAATTGCCCAGTCTCAGGCAGTTCTTTGTAACAATATGAAAGTAGAGTAATATATTCAGCTAGAATTTGGATGGTAGTTCTCCGTATGTGCAGCGATATAGTTTGGCTCTGTGAGCCTACCAAAATATCACGTTGAGTTTTCATACCCAGTGTTGGGGGATGGGCCTGCTGGGATGTGATTGAATCACGGGGCTGGATTTCTCCTTTGCCGTTCTCATGATGGAGTTCTTATGAGATCTTGTTGTTTGAAAGTGTGGGCCAGTTGCTGTTGCTCATGCCTGTAATCCTAGCGTTTTGAGAGGCTGAGGCGGGCAGATCGCCTGAGGTCAGGAGTTCGAGACCAGACCGGACAACATGGCAAAACCCCATCTCTACTAAAAATACCAAAAAATTAGCCAGGTGTGGTGGCAGGAACCTGTAATCCCAGCTACTTGGGAGGCTGAGGCAGGAGAATTGCCTGAACCCAGGAGCCAAAGGCTACAGTGAGCTGAGATTGTGCCACTGCACTCCAGCCTCGGTGATAAGAGTGAAACTCTATCAGAAGGAAAGAAAGAAAGAAAGAAAGAAAAGAAGGAAAGAAAGAAAGAAAGAAAGAAAGAAAGAAAGAAAGAAAGAAAGAAAGAAAGAGGAAATGTGTCACATTTGAAATTTGATTACATAAGTATGTTAACACAACCCACTTCAGCCCTTCACTGAAAATAACCTGCTGGATTTCATACCTACATTTCTGGGACATACACAGCATGAAAGCACTTGTGTATTTTTCCTAGGTCAGACCTACAAATTTTAATGATTTAATATTGCCTCTAATGAGTTAAGAAACAGTGACTACCTTTCCACAGCAGTTTCCAGTTGCTATCCAAGTTTCAATGTAGGCTATGTCAATACTGAGAAGTGAATATCAGTTCAGAGAACTTTGCTAGATATCTTTCTTTTTTCTGTTTTTTTTCTTTCACCTTCTGCTCTTCACATGATAATAACCTTCCTTCAATAATGTGGAACAATACAATAGCTGTTCTTCAGCAATGTTTCTGCCAGACTTTAACAACCATAATCTTTAGTACCAAATTCAAAAAGAATTACACTTTCAACATTGAAAGAATTACACTTTCAAAATTGTGCAGTGGCACAATCTTAACGAGGTCATGGAGTGAATATTTATATGTATTTTTCTTCATTTGTCATGAACATCCTAACTGTTTCATATCACCAGACTATCAAAATCTGTCATATTAAAATGCATATTAGAAAATTTAATATTCATAGTATAATGGATAATTTTTTTCCATTTCTGGAAAATATACAGTTGGAATTAATTATCCAATAGTGATATTTTAAAAAAAACTTCACTTAATCTGTGAAAATAAGTGAGTAACTACAGAAAAATACACATGGGGCCTGAGACTGGAGTATGGGGTGAAAATAAGACAAATGTGTCAAGTATAATGCAAGATTAGAGTGAGAAGTCTGCAGTAAACTTAGACCAGACCACGTGTTCTTTTTCATCAAGTCTGCCTTAGGCACTGATAACTCTGAACATGGTCCTTCATGTCTACAAACTTCCTTGTTCTCCATTGTTCTTGTTACAAAATTAAATTTCTAATGAAGAAATACACAAACATTACTGAAAAACGTAGAAGACAACAAATATAAATAAAGTCATATGGCATGATTTTGGATGAGATTTTTCAGTATTCTTAACATATTAAAACTTTTAGACTTAAGCTATCATGTTTGACACAACAATAAAGAGAACCACAGTGGAATTTTGTTCCATTCTTTAGATTAAAAAGTTATTTTTCTACTCATCTGGAAGGAGAAACATACAAGCATAGTCATGGCAATTTGAGAAAGAAGATCAATAGAGTAAGAGAGGGAGATTTGAAATATCTTGGTATAAATTTCAAATTATTAAAATACTGTTGTATTATAATAGCTGTATGGTGACTGATTATGCCAAAATGAAGTAGACAAAAGAAAAAACAAATGAAAACACAAAAAAAGCCAAAGAGAATTAGATTATCTTGTAATGCAAAGTTATAAGCATTTGGATTAACTCTTCAGGAAAAAAATCATTTCTTATCTAATTGAACCTCAGGATTAAATATAGTTATTAGGAGTCACTCTTCCAGTTCAAGAAAAAATATTACTCTCATCCTAATAAACAAAACAATAGACATTTATTTAAAAGATCTTTTAGTCAAAATTTTTATGATTTTTTGTTTGTTTGTTTGTTTTTTGAGATGGATTCTCTATCTGTTGCCCAGGTTGGAGTGCAATGTTGTAATCTTGGCTCACTGCAAGCTCCGCCTCCTGGGTTCTTGCCATTCTCCTGCCTCAGCCTCCTGACTCGCTGGGACTACAGGCATCCACCACCATGCCTAGCTAATTTTTTGTATTTTTAGTAGAGACGGGGTTTCACCATGTTATCCAGGATGGTCTTGATCTCCTGACCTTGTGATTCACCCACCTCGGCCTCCCAAAGTGTTGGGATTACAGGTGTGAGCCACCATGCTGGGCCAAAAAATTACGTTTTTTTAGAAAACTTTTGTGGTTTTTTAGGTTTGTTTTGGTTTTGTTTTGAGACAGGGTCTTGCTCTGTTGTCCATGTTAGAGTGTAGTTGTACAGTTGTAGCTCACTCTAGACTTGAACTCCCAGCCTCAAGGGATCCTACCACCTCAACCTCCAGAGTGGCTTGCACTACTAGCATGCTCAGCTAATTTTTAAAGATATTTTTATGCCGGGTGTGATGGCTCATGTCTGTAATCCCAACACTTTAGGAGGCTGAGGTGGGCAGATTACCTAAGGTCAGAAGCTTGAGACCAGCCTGGAGAAGATGGTGAAACCCCATCTCTAGTAAAAATACGAAAACTAGCTGGGCATGGTGGCACATGCCTGTAATCCCAGCTACTAAAGAGGCTGAGGCAGGAGAATTGCTTGAGCCTGGGAGTTGGGTGTTGTAGTGAGCCAAGATCATGTGACTGCACTCCAGCATGGCTATCGGAGTGAGATTCTGTCTCAAAAAAAAAAAAAAAAGAAGAAGAAGGGGCTCACTAAGTTGCCTAGGCTTGTCTTGAAGTACTGGCCCCAGGCAATCTTCCTGCCTTGGCCTCCCAAAATGCTGGGATTATAGGCGTGAGGCCCTGTGCCTAGCTTAAAAATGTAATTAAAGTTCAGGAAACAATGAAACACCTATAAACTGAATTCAAAAAGTAACAAGATCTATATAAGAAAGAAAACACACCTGACTATTTTCATTTTGGATTTGGAGAGGCAGAGGAAGCTGCTAATGTGGTAAAGAAGACACTAGCTAAACTTTTTATAAGGTGCAGTGACCACAGGCAGGTAGGCATGTCAGTTTAGACAACTGAGGAGTGCTAGTCTGTGAACGGATCCTCATCCACCTGCAAACTGCTTCCCAAACATCTCTACAGAGGGTAGAGTGATAGTATGTCAAATATGGTGCATACAGGAGGAGAGAGCTGGGAAGCATAGCTCCTCAGGCACAATCTACCCCAAGTTCATGGCAGCCTCTCTCAGAAGGTTGAGGTCAGGGAAGGAGAACTTAATGAAACGCTGCATGGACATCTCTGACCTTTACAGGATATAAGACAATAGCCCTCCAAACATTGAAGGCAGTGTCACAAGGTGGAGAAAATTCTCTTGGTGTACAGAAAGCTGGGCATGACAGACAGAGCAAATAGATACTCCAGCAATTCTCACAAAATGACATTGAGATTTTCCATGAAAAAATCCAGAAATAAATACATCCCAAATTTTAAAGTACATGTTGTCCTAAGTAGCATGTATTAGTCCATTATCACAGTACTATAAAGACACTACCTGAGACTGGGTAATTAAAAAGAGAAAAAAAGCTTAATTGACTCACATTTCCATATGGCAGGGAAGCCTCAGGAAACTTACATTCATGGCAGAAGGCAAAGCAGGCACATCTTACATGGCGGCAGGAGAGAGAGAGCATGCAAGCAGCGGAAAGGCTAGATGCTCATAAAACCATCAGATCCCATGAGAACTCACTATCACAATAACAACATGGGAAGCCACCCCCCTCGATCCAATCACTTTCCACCAGGTTTCTCTCCATAAACACATGCAGATTACGATTCAAGATGAGATTTGGGTAGGGACAAAAATCCTAACCATATCATAGCAGGATGAAATCTCCCATCATTACTCTCTATCCTGCCAGGGACAGGAATCATCTTTCTCTTCAGTATATCTGTTCTGTAGACAATTAGGAGTCATCTCAGTTATTGGAGTCATTGCCCTGGTATGGAGTGCTTATGGTCAAATAATCTTTATTTTCCTTAGTAATGGCCCCAAAGTATAAGACTAGACATGCTGGCATATTATTATAATTGTTACCTTTTTTTATCAATTCTCTCACTGTCCCTAATTTATAAATTAAACTTATCATAAGTATATAGCTATAAGAAAAAATATAGTATCTATAGCGTTCAGTATTATCTTCAGTTTCAGGGATCCACATGGGCCTTCAAACATATCACCCATAATAAGGGGAAATTACTGAAGTATAATTTTTTAAATGTTGACTAGGATATGTTAAAGATAAATATTGAATTCTCTACAGTCATACTTTCAGCAGAACTTTCTGAGATGACAGAAGATGGGTTAGTGTCTTGGAAATGCTACAACAAAAATACCAGAGACTGGGTAGCTCATAAATGACACTAACATATTTCTCATAGTTTGGGAGGCTGGAAGTCCAAAATTAAGACAGCCTCAGATTCAGCGTCTGGTGAGGACTTGCTTCCTGCTTCATAGATGGCACCTTCTTGTGTTCTCACATAGTAGAAGGGGTGAGGGAGCTCTCTGGAGTACCTTTTATGAGATTTCTAATCCCACTCACAAGGCCCACTTTCACGACCTCATCACCTCCCAAAGGACACACATTCTAATATCATCACCTTGACGGTTATCTTTCAACACAGGAATTAAGTGGGAGGACACAAATATTTAGTCTATAGAAGTATTGCATTGTTCAATATGGTAGCCATCAGCAACCTTGGATAGTGAAAGCTTGAAATGTGGCTAGTGTGAGATAGGGGCTGATTTTTGACATTGCTATTTAATTCTACTTTCTTTTTTTATTGTTATTATACTTTAAGTTTTAGGGTACAGGTGCACAATGTGCAGGTTAGTTACTTATGTACACATGTGCCATTGTGGTGTGCTGCACCCAGTAACTCGTCATTTAACATTAGGCATATCTCCAAATATTATTCCTCTCCCCTCCCCCACCCCAGCAACAGGCCCCAGTGTGTGAAGTTACCCTTCCTGTGTCCATGTGTTCTCATTGTTCAAATCCCACCTATGGGTGAGAACACACGGTGTTTGGTTTTTTGTCCTTGTGATAGTTTGCTGAGAATGGTGGTTTCCAGCTTCATCCATGTCCTACAAAGGACATGAACTCATCATTTTTTATGGCTCTATAGTATTCCATGTTGTATATGGCCACATTTTCTTAATCCAGTCTATCATTGTTGGACATCTGGATTGGCTCCAAGTCTTTGCTATTGTGAATAGTGCCACAATAAACATACGTGTGCATCTGTCTTTATAGTAGCATGATTTACAATCCTTTGGGTATATACCCAGTAATAGGATGACTGGGTCAAATGGTATTTCTAGTTCTAGATCCCTGAGGAATCGCCACACTGATTTCCACAATGGTTGAACTAGTTTACAGTCCCACCAACAGTGTAAAACTGTTCCTATTTCTCCACATCCTCTCCAGCACCTGTTGTTTCCTGACTTTTTAATGATCACCATTCTAACTGGTGTGAGATGGTATCTCATTGTGGTTTTGATTTGCATCTCTCTGATGGCCAGTGATGAGGAGCATTTTTTCATGTGTCTTTTGACTGCAAAAATATCTTCTTTTGAGAAGTGTCTGTTCATATCCTTTCACCAATTTTTGATGGGGTTGTTTGTTATTTTCTTGTAAATTTATTTGGGTTTCTTGTAGATACTGGATATGAGCCCTTTGTCAGATGAGTAGATTGCAAAAATTGTCTCCCATTCTGCATGTTGCCTGTTCACTCTGATGGTAGTTTCTTTTGCTGTGCAGATGCTCTTTGGTTTAATTAGATCCCATTTGACAATTTTGGCTTCTGTTGCCATTGCTTTTGGTGTTTTAGACATGAAGTATATATCCATGCCTACGTCCTGAATGATATTGCCTAGGTTTTCTTCTAGGGTTTTTATGGTTTTAGTTGTAATATTTAAGTCTTTAATCCATCTTGAATTAATTTTTGTAGAAAGTGTAAGGAAGGGATCCAGTTTCAGCTTTCCACATATGGTTAGCCAGCTTTCCCAGCGCCATTTGTTGAATAGGGAATCTTTTCCCCATTGCTTGTTTTTGTCAGGTTTGTCAAAGATCAGATGGTTGCAGATATATGATATTATTTCTGAGGGCTCTGTTCTGTTCCATTGGTCTATATCTCTGTTTTGGTACAAGTACCATGCTGTTTTGGTTACTGTAGCCTTGTAGTATAGTTTGAAGTCAGGTAGCGTGATGCCTCCAGCTTTGCTCTTTTGGCTTAGGATTGACTTGGCAATGCGGGCTCTTTTTTGGTTCCATATGAAATTTAAAGTAATTTTTTCCAATACTGTGAAGAAAGTCATTGGTAGCTTGATGGAGATGGCATTGAATCTATAAATTACCTTGGGCAGTGTGGTCATTTTCACAATATTGATTCTTCCTACCCATGAGCATGGAATGTTTTTCTATTTCTTTGTATCCTCTTTTATTTCATTGAGCAGTGGTTTGTAATTCTCCTTGAAGTGTCCCTCACATCCCTTGTAAGTTGGATTCCTAGGTACTATATTCTCTTTGAAGCAATTGTGAATGGGAGTTCACTCATGATCTGGCTCTCTGTTTGTCTATTATTGATGTATAAGAATGCTTCTGATTTTTGCACATTGATTTTGTATGCTGAGATTTTGCTGAATTTGCATATCAGCTTAAGGAGTTTTTGGACTGAGATGATGGAGTTTTCTAGATATACAATCATGTCATCTGCAAACAGGAACAATTTGACTTCCTCTTTTCCTAATTGAATACCCTTTATTTCCTTCTCCTGTCTGATTACCCTGGTCAGAACTTCCAACACTACGTTGAATAGCAGCGGTGAGAGAAGGCATCCCTGTCTTGTGCCAGTTTTCAAGGGAATGCTTCCAGTTTTTGCACATTCAGTATGATATTGGCTGTGGGTTTGTCATAGATAGCTCTTATTACTTTGAGATATGTCCCATCAACACCTAATTTATTGAGAGTTTTTAGTATGAAGGGTTGTTGAATTTTGTCAAAGACCTTTTCTGCATCTATTGAGATAACCATGTGGTTTTTGTCATTGGTTCTGTTTATATGCTGGATTATGTTTATTGATTTGTGTATGTTGAACCAGCCTTGCATACCAGGGATAAAGCTCACTTGATCACAGTGGATAAGCTTTTTGATGTGCTGTTGGATTTGGTTTGGCAGTATTTTTCTGAGGATTTTGGCATTGATGTTCATCAGGGATATTGGTCTAAAATTCTATTTTTTTTTGTTGTGTCTCTGCCAGGCTTTGGTATCAGGATGATGCTGACCTCATAAAATGAGTTAGGGAGGATTCCCTCTTTTTCTATTGATTGCAATAGTTTCAGAAGGAATGGTACCAGCTCCTCCTTGTATCTCTGGTAGAATTCGGCAGTGAATCCATCTGGTCCTGGACTTTTTTTGTTTGGAAAACTATTAATTATTGCCTCAATTTCAGAGTCTGTTATTGATCTATTCAGAGGTTAAACTTCTTCCTGGTTTACTCTTGGGAGGGTGTATGTGTGGAGGAATTTATCCATTTTTTCTAGGTTTTCTAGTTCATTTGCATAGCGATGTTTACAGTATTCTCTGATTGTTGTTTGTATTTCTGTGGGATTCGTGGTGATATCCCCTTTATCATTTTTTGTTGTGTCTATTTGATTCTTCTCTCTTTTCTTGTTTATTAGTCTTGCTAGCAGTCTATCAATTTTGTTGAACTTTCCAAAAAACCAGCTCCTGGATTCATTAATTTTTTGAAGGGTTTTTTGTGTCTCTATTTCTTTCAGTTCTGCTCTGATCTTAGTTATTTCTTGCCTTCTGCTAGCTTTTGAATGTTTGCTCTTGTTTCTCTAGTTATTTTAATTGTGATGTTAGGGAGTCAGTTTAATATATTTCCTGCTTTCTCTTGTGGGCATTTAGTGCTATAAGTTTCCCTCTACACACTGTTTTGAATGTGTCCCAGAGATTCTGGTATGTTGTGTCTTTGTTCTCATTGGTTTCAAAGAACATCTTCATTTCTGCCTTCATTTCTTTATGTACCCAGTAGTCATTCAGGAGCAGGTTGTTTCAGTTTCCATGTAGTCGAGCAGTTTTGAGTGAGTTTCTTAATCCTGAGTTCCAGTTTGATTGGGCTGTGGTCTGAGAGAAAGTTTGTTGTAATTTGTGTTCTTTTACATTTGCTGAGGAGTGCTTTACTTCCAACTATGTTGTCAATTTTGGAATAGGTGTGGTGTCCTGTTGAAAAGAATGTATATTCTCTTGAGTTGGGGTGGAGAGTTCTGTAGATGTCTATTAGATCCACCTGGTGCAGAGCTGAGTTCGATTCCTGGATATCCTTGTTAACTTTCTCTCTCATTGATCTGTCTAATGTTGACAGTGGGATGTTAAAGTCTCCCATTATTATTGTGTAGGAGTCTAAGTCTCTTTGTAGGTTTCTAAGGACTTGCTTTAGGAATCTAGGTGCTCCTGTATTGGGTTAATACATATTTAAGATAGTTAGCTCTCCTTGTTGAATTGATCCCTTTACCATTATGTAATGACCTTTTTGGCATTTTTAATATTTGTTGGTTTAAATTCTGTTTTATCAGAGACTAGGATTACAACCCCTGCTTTTTTTTTGTTTTCCATTTGCTTGGTAGGTCTTCCTCCATCCCTTTATTTTGAGCTTATGTGAGTCTCTGCACGTGAGATGGGTTTCCTGAATACAGCACACTGATGGGTCTTGACTCTTTATCCAGTTTGCCAGTCTGTGTCTTTCAATTGGACCATTTAACCCACTTACATTTAAGGTTAATATTGTTATGTGTGAATATGTTCCTGTCTTTATGATATTAGCTGGTTATTTTGCTCGTCAGTTGATGCAGTTTCTTTCTAGTCTTGATGATCTTTACAATTTGGTATATTTTTGCAGTGGCTGGTACTGGTTTTTCCTTTCCATGTTTAGTGCTTCCTTCAGGAGCTCTTTTAGGGCAGGCCTGGTGGTGACAAAATCTCTCAGCATTTGCTTGTCTGTAAAGGATTTTATTTCTCCTTCACTTATGAAGCTGAGTTTGGCTGAATATGAAATTCTGGATATGAAAATTATTTTCTTTAAGAATGTTGAATATTGCCACCCACTCTCTTCTGGTTTGTAGAGTTTCTGCCGAGAGATCCGCTGTTAGTCCGTTGGGCTTCCCTTTGTGGGTGACCCGACCTTTCTCTCTGGCTCTCCTTAACATTTTTTCCTTCATTTCAACTTTGGTGAATCTGAAAATTATGTGTCTTGGAGTTGCCCTTTTCGAGGAGTATCTTTGTGGCATTCTGTATGTTTCCTGAATTTGAATGTTGGCCTGCCTTGCTAGATTGGGAAAGTTCTCCTGGATAATATCCTGCAGATGTTTTCCAACTTGGTTTCATTCTCCCCATCACTTTCAGGTACATCAATCAGATGTAGATTTGATCTTTTCACATAGTCCCATATTTCTTGGAGGCTGGGTTCATTTCTTTCTATTCTTTTTTCTTTAAACTTATCTTCTTGCTTCATTTCATTCATTTGATTTCCACCACTGATACCCTTTCTTCCAGTTGATCGAATCAGTTACTGAGGCTTGTGCATTCATCACATAGTTCTTGTGCCTTGGTTTTCAGCTCCATCAAGTCCTTCAAGGACCTCTCTGCATTCGTTATTCTAGTTAGCCATTCGACTGAATTTTTTTTCAACGTTTTTAACTTCTTTGCCATTGGTTTGAACTTCCTCCTTTAGCTCAGAGTAGTTCAATAATCCTAAGCCACCTTCTCTCAACTCATCAAAGTCATTTTCTGTCCAGCTTCCTTCCGTTGCTGGTGAGGAGCTGTGCTCCTTTGGAGTAGGATAGGCACTCTGATTTTTAGAGTTTCCAGTTTTTTTGCTCTTTATTTTCCCTGTCTTTGTGGTTTTATCTACATTTGGTCTTTGATGATAGTGATGTGCAGATGGAATTTTGATGTGGATGTCCTTTCTCTTGGTTACTGTTCCTTCTAACAGTCAGGACCCTCAGCTGCAGGACTGTTGGAGTTTGCTGGAGGTCAACTCCAGATCCTGTTTGCCTGGGTATCAGCAGTGGCGGCTGCATAACAGAGTATATTGGTGAACAGCAAATGTTGCTGCCTGATCATTCCTCTGGAAGTTTTGTCTCAGAGGAGTACCTGGCCATGTGAGGTGTCAGTCTGCCCTACTGGGGGATGCCTCCAAGTTAGGCTACTCAGGCGTCAGGCACCCACTTGAGGAGGCAGTCTGTCCGTTCTCAAATCTCCAGCTGCATGCTGGGAGAACCACTACTCTCTTCAAAGCTGTCAGACAGGGACATTTAAGTCTGCAGAGGTTTCTGCTGCCTTTTGTTTGGCTATGCCCTGCCCCCAGGGGTGGAGTCTACAGATGCAGGCAGGCCTCCTTGAGCTGCAGTGGGCTCCACCAAGTTCGAGCTTCCTGGCTGCTTTGTTTACCTACCCAAGCCTTGGCCATGGCTGGTGCCCCTCCCCCAGCCTCACTGCAGCCTTGCAATTTGATCTCAGACTGCTGTGCTAGCAATGAGTGAGGCTCTGTGAGCATAGGACCCTCAGAGCCATGCACGGGATATAGTCTCCTGGTGTGCAGTTTGCTAAGACCATTGGAAAAGTGCAGTATTAGGGTGGGATAGACCCAATTTTCCAGGTGCTGTCTGTCACCCATTTCTTTGACTAGGAAAGGGAATTTCCTGATCCCCTGCACTTCCTGGGTGAGACAATGCCTCGCCCTTCTTCAGCTCATACTCGGTGTGCTGCACCCATTGTCCTGCACCTGCTTTCTGACACTTCCCAGTGGGATGAACCTGGTACCTCAGTTGGAAATGGAGAAATCATTTGTCTTCTGTGTCACTCATGCTGGGACCTGTTGACTGGAGCTATTCCTATTCAGCCATCTTGAATCCACCCTCTAATTCTACTTTCTTCTATTATCCATATATGACTAACAGGTACCATATTGGAGAGTACAGCTCCAGGTTAGAGGTGGGCAAACATTTTCTATTAAATACCAGGCAGTAGGAGGGGTCTATAGGAGGGTTGTCCAACACCTGGGCCACAGACCTGTGCTGTGGTCACAAAGCAGGACAGTGGTGGGGAAGGAAGCAAAGCTTCATCTGTATTTACAGCCACTCCTCATCACTCACATTACTGTCTGTCTGAGCTCTGCCTCCTTTCAGATCAGCAGCAGCATTAGATTCTTAAAGGAGTGCAAACCCTATTATGAAACATGCATGCGAGGGATCTAGGTTGTGTATGTCTTACAAGAATCTAATGACTGATGATCTGTCACCATCACCCATCACCTCCAGATGGGGCCACCTCATTGCAGGAAAACAAGCTTAAGGCTCCCACTGATTCTACATTATGGGGAATTGTAGAATTATTTCATTATAAAAATAAACCTCATGATAAATGTCGTGCTTGAATTATCCCAAAACCATCCACCCCAGCCCAGTCCATTTTCTTCCATGAAACTGGTCCCTGGTTCCAAAAAGATTGGGGACAGTTGTTCTAGTTTTTGGTTTATAGATTGAGAGGCAAAATCAAGGATATCATGTTGGTAAACATGTAACTATTTAAAGTCACCCATTTAAAAATATAGAAACCCTTCTTAGCTAGTAGATGACACAAAACAAGGTAGTGGGCTAGAGCTTTGCTATAGAATAATCACTAATATATGTATGTGTATGTGTGTGTGTGTGTGCATGCAGATGTGCATATTCACGTATATGTATATATGTATATGTATGTATGCATGCATGCACATACATATATGTATTTGTACATACATATATGTGTGTATACTTTTTTAGTAGAGAAGATTAAATCACATACTAAGTGCATAAGTATTCTTATACTGCTAATAAAGATATAACTGAGAATGGGTAATTTACAAAGGAAAGAGGTTTAGTGGGCTCACAGTTCCACATCCAAAAAGAGCATGTGCACCAGGACTCCCATTTATAAAACCAGCAGAACTAGTGACACTTATTCACTATCACAAGAAAAATATGGGGAAAATTGCATCCATCATTTAATTAATTATCTCCACCTGACACTGCTCTTGACGTGTGGAGATTATTACAATTCAAAGTGAGATTTGGGTGGAGATGCAGCCAAACGATGCCAGTAAGAAAGAATTAATCCAAAGGAAGGTATGAAAAGAGTAATGGAATAATACAAAACAGATGGAAAGAACTATGGTAGAATTATACCTAACTGAAATTCACACTCACATTTTGGTGGAATAGTAAATGGGAAGACTACTTTTTTGAAGCACCTAGAGTATTTTTTGTAAGGTAAGACATATGATGATGCCACAACCAAACACTTCCTCACCTAGATATTTATTCAAGAGGAATGAAACTACAAGTCCTCGAGAGAGGAGCCAAGATGGCCGAATAGGAACACCTCCTGTCTAGAGCTCCCAGCATGAGCAACGCAGAAGATGGGTGATTTCTGCATTTCCATCTGAGTTACCAGGTTCATCTCACTAGAGAGTTCCAGACAGTGGGCACAGGTCAGTGGGTGCACACACCGTGTGCAAGCCAAAGAAGTGTGAGGCATTGCCTCACTCAGGAAATGAAGGGGGTCAGGGAGTTCCCTTTCCTAGTCAAAGAAAGGGGTGACAGATGGCACCTGGAAGATCAGGTCACTCCCACCTGAATACTGCGCTTTTCCAATGGGCTCAAAAAATGGCACACCAGGAGATTGTGTCCCGCACCTGGCTGGGAGGAACCTATGCCCACGGAGTCTCACTGATTGCTAGCACAGCAGTCTCAGATCAAACTGCAAGACGGCAATGAGGCTGGGGTAGGGGCGCCCGTCATTGCCCAGGCTTGCTTAGGTAAACAAAGCAGCCAGGAAGCTCGAACTGGGTGGAGCCCACCACAGCTCAAGGAGGCCTGCCTGCCTCTGTAGGCTCCACCTCTGGGGGAAGGGCACAGACAAACAAAAAGACAGCAGTAACCTCTGCAGACTTAAGTGTCCCTGTCTGACAGCTTTGAAGAGAGCAGTGGTTCTCCCAGCATGCAGCTGGAGATCTGAGAATGGGCAGACTGCCTCCTTAAGTGTGTCCCTGAACCCTGACCCCAGAGCAGCTTAACTAGGAGACACCACCTAGCAGGGGCAGACTGACACCTCACACGGCCAGGTACTCCAACAGACATGCAGCTGAGGGTCCTGTCTTTTAGAAGGAAAACTAACAAACACAAGGGACATCCACACCAAAAACCCATCTGTACATCACCATCATCAAAGACAAAAAGTAGATAAAACCACAAAGATGGGGAAAAAACAGAGCAGAAAAACTGGAAACTCTAAAAAGCAGAGTGCCTCTCTTCCTCCAAAGGAACGCAGTTCCTCACCAGGAACGGAACAAAGCTGGACGGAGAATGAATTTGACGGGCTGAGAGAATAAGGCTTCAGATGATCAAATTACTCCAAGCTACGGGATGACGTTCAAAACAAAGGCAAAGAAGTTGAAAACTTTGAAAAAAATTTAGAAGAATGTATAACTAGAATAACCAATGCAGAGAAGTGCCTAAAGGAGCTGATGGAGCTGAAAGCCAAGGCTCGAGAACTACATGAAGAATGCAGAAGACTCAGGAGCCAATGCAATCAACTGGAAGAAAGGGTATGAGCGATGGAAGATGAAATGAATGAAATGAAGCAAGAAGGGAATTTTAGAGAAAAAAAGAATAAAAAGAAATGAGCAGAGCCTCATTTGTGACTATGTGAAAAGACCAAATCTACATCTGATTGGTGTACCTGAAAGTGACGGGGAGAATGGAACCAAGTTGGAAAACACTCTGCAGGATATTATCTAGGAGAATTTCCCCAATCTAGCAAGGCAGGCCAACATTCAGATTCAGGAAATACAGAGAATGCCACAAAGATACTCCTCAAAAAGAGCAACTCCAAGACACATAATTTTCAGATTCACCAAAGTTGAAATGAAGGAAGAAATGTTAAGGGCAGCCAGAGAGAAAGGTTGGGTCACCCACAAAGGGAAGCTCAACGGACTAACAGCGGATCTCTCGGCAGAAACTCTACAAGCCAGAAGAGAGTGGGTGGCAATATTCAACATTCTTAAAGAAAAGAATTTTCATATCCAGAATTTCATATCCAGCCAAACTAAGTTCATAAGTGAAGGAGAAATAAGATCCTTTACAGACAAGCAAATGCTGAGAGATTTTGTCACCACCAGGCCTGCCATAAAAGAGCTCCTGAAGGAAGCGCTAAACATGGAAAGGAACAACTGGTACCAGCCGCTGCAAAATCATGCCAAAATGTAAAGACCATCGAGACTAGGAAAAACTGCATCAACTAATGAGAAAAATAACCAGCTAACATCATAATGAAGGATCAAATTCACACATAACAATATTAACTTTAAATGTAAAAGGACTAAATGCTCCAATTAAAAGACACAGACTGGCAAATTGGATAAAGAGTCAAGACCCATCAGTGTGCTGTATTCAGGAAACCCATCTCACGTGCAGATACACAAATAGGCTCAAAATAAAGTGATGGAGGAAGATCTACCAAGCAAATGGAAAACAAAAAAAGGCAAGGGTTGCAATCCTAGTCTCTGATAAAACAGACTTTAAACCAACAAGGATCAAAAGAGACAAAGAAGGCCATTACATAATGGTAAAGGGATCAATTCAACAAGAAGAACTAACTATCCTAAATATATATGCACCCAAAACAGGAGCACCCAGATTCATAAAGCAAGTCCTGAATGACCTACAAAGAGACATAGACTCCCACACATTAATAATGGGAGACTTTAACATCCCACTGTCAACATTAGACAGATCAATGAGACAGAAAGTCAACAAGGATACCCAGGAATTGAACTCAGCTCTGCACCAAGCAGACCTAATAGACATCTACAGAACTCTCCACCCCAAATCAATAGAATATACATTCTTTTCAGCAGCACACCACACCTATTCCAAAACTGACCACACACTTGGAAGTAAAGCTCTCCTCAGCAAATGTAAAAGAACAGAAATTATAACAAACTATCTCTCAGAACACAGTGCAATCAAACTAGAACTCAGGATTAAGAATCTCACTCAAAACTGCTCAACTACATGGAAACTGAACAACCTGCTCCTGAATGACTACTGGGTACATAACGAAATGAAGGCAGAAATAAAGATGTTCTTTGAAACCAATGAGAACAAAGACACAACATACCAGAATCTCTGGGACACATTGGAAGCATTGTGTAGAGGGAAATTTATAGCACTAAATGCCCACAAGAGAAAGCAGGAAAGATCTAAAATTGACACCTTAATATCACAATTAAAAGAACTAGAAAACCAAGATCAAACACATTCAAAAGCTAGCAGAAGGCAGGAAATAACTAAAATCAGAGCAGAACTGAAGGAAATAGAGACACAAAAAACCCTTTAAAAAATTAATGAATCCAGGAGCTGGTTTTTTGAAAGGATCAACAAAATTGATAGACTTCTAGCAAGACTAACAAAGAAAAAAAGAGAGAAAAATCAAATAGACACAATAAAAAATGATAAAAGGGATATCAGCACTGATCCCACAGAAATACAAACTACCATGAGAGAATACTACAAACACTTCTACACAAATAAACTAGGAAATCTAGAAGAAATGGATAAATTCCTCAACATATACACTCTCCCAAGACTAAACCAGGAAGAAGTTGAATCTCTGAATAGACCAATAACAGGCTCTGAAATTGTGGCAGTAATCAATAGCTTACCAACCAAAAAGAGTCCAGGACCAGATGGATTCACAGCCGAATTCTACCAGAGGTACAAGGAGGAACTGGTACCATTCCTTCTGAAACTATTCCAATCAATAGAAAAAGAGGGAATCCTCCCTAACTCATTTTATGATGCTAGCATCATCCTGATACCAAAGCTGGGCAGAGACACAACCAAAAAAGAATTTTAGACCAATATCCTTGAAGAACATTGATGCAAAAATCCTCAATAAAATACTGGCAAACTGAATCTAGCAGCACATCAAAAAGCTTATCCACAATGATCAAGTGGGCTTCATCCCTGGGATGCAAGGCTGGTTCAATATATGCAAATCAATAAATGTAATCCAGCATATAAACACAACCAAAGACAAAAACCACAGGATTATCTCAATAGATGCAGAAAAGGCCTTTGATAAAATTCAACAACTCTTCATGTTAAAAACTCTCAATAAATTAAGTATTTCTTGGATGCATCTCAAAATAATAAGAGCTATCTATGACAAACCCACAGCCAATATCATACTGAATGGGCAAAAACTGGAAGCATTCCCTTTGAAAACTGGCACAAGACAGGGATGCCCTCTCTCACCACTCCTATTCAACATAATGTTGGAAGTTCTGGCCAGGGCAATTAGGCAGGAGAAGGAAATAAAGGGTATTCAATTAAGAAAAGAGATAGTCAAATTGTCCCTGTTTTCAGACAACATGATTGTATATCTAGAAAACCCCATTGTCTCAGCCCAAAATCTTAAGCTGATAAACAACTTCAGCAAAGTCTCAGGATACAAAATCAGTGTGCAAAAATCAAAAGCATTCTTATACACCAATAACAGACAAACAGAGAGCCAAATCATGAGTGAACTCCCATTCACAATTGCTTCAAAGAAAATAAAATACCTAGGAATCCAACTTACAAGGGATGTGAAGGACCTCTTCAAAGAGAACTACAAACCACTGCTCAAGGAAATAAAAGAGGATAGAAATGGAAGAACATTCCATGCTCATGGGTAGGAAGAATCAATATCGTGAAAATGGCCATACTGCCCAAGGTAATTTATAGATTCAATGCCATCCCCATCAAGCTACCAATGACTTTCTTCACAGAATTGGAAAAAACTACTTTAAAGTTCATATGGAACCAAAAAAGAGCCTGCATTGCCAAGTCAATCCTGAGCCAAAAAAAACAAACCTGGAGGCATCACACTACCTGACTTCAAACTATACTACAAGGCTATAGTAACCAAAACAGCATGGTACTGGTACCGAAACAGAGATATAGATCAATGGAACAGAACAGAGCCCTCAGAAATAACGCCACATATCTACAACTATCTGATCTTTGACAAACCTGAGAAAAACAAGCAATGGGGAAATGATTCCCTATTTAATAAATGGTGCTGGGAAAACTGGCTAGCCATATGTAGAAAGCTGAAACTGGATCATTTCCTTACACCTTATACAAAAATCAATTCAAGATGGATTAAAGACTTAAACGTTAGACCTAAAACCATAACAACCCTAGAAGAAAACCTATGCATTACCATTCAGGACATAGGCATGGGCAAGGACTTCATGTCTAAAACACAAAAAGCAATGGCAACCAAAGCCAAAATTGACAAATGGGATCTAATTAAACTAAAGAGCTTCTGCACAGCAAAAGAAACTACCAACAGAGTGAACAGGCAACCTACAAAATGGGAGAAAATTTTCACAACCTACTCATCTGACAAAGGGCTAATATCCAGAATCTACAATGAACTCTAACAAATTTACAAGAAAAAAACAAACAACCCCATCAAAAAGTGGGCCAAGGATATGAACAGACACTTCTCAAAAGAAGACACTTATGCAGCCAAAAAACGCATGAAAAAATGGTCACCATCACTGGCCATAAGAGAAATGCAAATCAAAACCACAATGAGATACCATCTCACACCAGTTAGAATGGCGATCATTAAAAAGTCAGGAAACAACAGATGCTGGAGAGGATGTGGAGAAATAGGAATGCTTTTACACTGTTGGTGGGACTGTAAACTAGTTCAACCACTGTGGAAGTCAGTGTGGCGATTCCTCAGGGATCTAGAACTAGAAATACCATTTGACCCAGCCACGCCATTACTGGGTATATACCCAAAGGACTTAAATCATGCTGCTATGAGTACACATGCACTTGTATGTTTACTGTGGCATTATTCACATTAGCAAAGACTTGGAACCAACCCAAATGTCCAACAATGATAGACTGGATTAAGAAAATGTGGCACATATACACGATGGAATACTATGCAACCATAAAAAATGATGAGTTCATGTCCTTTGTAGGGACATGGATGAAATTGGAAATCATTATTCTCAGTAAACTATCACAATAACAGAAAACCAAACACCGCATATTCTCACTCATAGGTGGGAATTGAACAATGAGAACACATGGACACAGGAAGAGGAACATCACACTCTCAGGACTGTTGTGGGTTGTGGGGAGCGGGGAGGGATAGCATTGGGAGATATACTTAATGCTAGATGATGAACTAGTGGGTGCAGTGCACCAGCATGGCACACGTATACATATGTAACTAACCTGCACATTGTGCACATGTACCCTAAAAGTTAAAGTATAATAATAAAAAATTAAAAATTAAAAAGAAAAAGAAAAAGAATCTACAAGTCCTCACAGAGACTCTTTGAGAATGTCTACGACAGGTTTATTCGTAGTAAAGAAAAACAGGAAACAACCCATATGTCTATGAAAAGGGAAATGCATAAAGAAATTGTAATAGATTTACACAATGAATACTGTAGTACTTCATTTTCATGCTCCTGATAAAGACATACCTGAGACTGGGTACTTTATTACAAAAAAAAATAAAAAGGTTTAATGGACTCACAGTTCCACATGGCTGGGAAGGCCTCACAATCATAGTAGAAGGCTTACATGGTGGCAGAGAAGAGTGATAATGAGAGCCAAGTGAAAGGGGTTTCCTCAAATACTATTCATCAACAAAAGCCAATGGAAAAATAGGGGCCCATCTTGTTAAATGTTTAGAAATTGGACACACCAGTATAATCACTACACAAGTCAAAACCTGGAATAAAATGAGCAACCTTGAAATGCCCCTCATGTCCTTCCTAAGGAGACTAATTTTGCTTCCTTTTAAAGATTTCTGTATTTTCCAAACATTCTACAATGAATGTAAACATTTTTAAATAAGTGTTTCTCAGTAAGTTCTTTGTTTTTAAGTAATTCTGTACCCTTTTTTCCTAGAATTGACATCCTCTGCTACTTTGCTTATAAGAACTGACATATTTAAAATAAAATATTATCTTTTAAATGATTATCCTAGAATTGTCCTCTGAAGCAATCTGGAATAAAAGTAAAGATTTAATTTAATGTCTCTGAACTTTAATTTCTAATTTGAATCTAGGCTGGAGCAAATAGATTCTAAAAAACAAATTTTAACACAAATTAATATTGTTTCTCATATCATCTCATAATGATTTGATGATTTATCCTATCCTTAATGACTTTGTATCTCTGAAAAATACATTAATGGAAATGGATTTTCCTGATTATTTCAGGGAAGTATTTGGAAGGCAGCATATTTTAGTGACACTCTGAATAATCTCCACTATACCCTCTATGTTACCCAGGACAACAGCTGCTACAGAAAGAAATTTCTTTGTACCACCCACCTTTGTTCAGCCAGAAACTTTAAAAAGAGTGCTTTGATTGGTCTCTCTGACCTACTTTTGTGTAGGTGTCCAAACAACGTAAATTCCCAAAGTCATGGGCCTTGGGCAACTATACAGGACTTTCCAATTGGTCCTCATAACTTTAGGCAGGGTCCCACCTCCACTATGCTAGATTCATATAAGACTATTTTTCCTAGAAATATGCAAGGATATTGCCCCTTTCACTTTGGATTGTCTCTCAGTTATGGAAGTGCCTGGCTGTTTTGTATTCCAAAATATAATATGTAAGCAGTTCATTTAATGACATTATGAAGTTTCAGAGTTGTGCAATGCAAAGAGGGACTGTGCACAGGACATTTGGACTTAAAATTTTGTCTGTCACCCACTCTAGTTCTATCAGTAGTTCACAGCACCCATTTTTAAGAATCATTACTACATCAGGATCTATCCAGAAAAATCAGCATCCTTACCTGGTCAGTGGCTGATGTCACCCTGATAGGTAACCTGCCTCCCAGGCCTTGCTTCCCTCTTTACTTTGGACATAAGAGATTCACAGGATTGTTTTCAGTGCTTGGCTTTAAATAGTGTGTCCTGTTTCCTGACCCTTTCATTCATTTCAGCCACATTCTTTTCTCCAGCTAACACCCATAGTTATGATCTATAGACTGGCAGCTTCCTGACATTGGACCTCAATTCTGAGTCTTTTCAGAGTCAAAAGAACCCTCATGAAAGACCACCTGGCATACATGTGTATCAAGTTCCAGAAGGGACCCTTGACTGACCTAACACACTTCCTTCTTCATTTTTATGCCTTCTCATGCACCATCAGTAAGTTCTCTTGATTCTGAAATCTATATATGTGTACATGTGTGAGTACATATTTTTGTCTTTGTACTTTGTTTTGTTCTTTTTTCAAATTTGTGCATTTCCTTAATTTTTACTGCCACCACCCAATTTCATACCATTGTCTTCTTCTGCCCGGCTGTTGTAGTAGACTCTCAACAAGGCATCTCAAATCCCCTTATACTCACCTCAAATCCATTCTCTTCAAGGCAGCCTGACTTAAAATTCTAAAAAAAAACTTGGATTGGGCCACTTCCCTGCTTAAAATCTTGCAATTATTTTATTATTTATTTAACATTGGAATAGCCCAAAATGTTTAGAATGGAATATGTAGCCTCTACTTCATTAATCTTGCTCCTGATTCTGTCCCTTAGAACATTGTACTATAATGATAAAATGTTCCTAAAGAGACAAGCAAGCGTAAAAGTGGAGTAACTTAAAATGTTTTTGTAGGATTTAAAGCAATTTCTACTGTTATTTTGATAGCTGGATTTTTTTTGGAGACAGACTCTCACTGTGTCATGCAGGCTGGAGTGCAGTAGTGCAATCATAGCTTACTGCAGTGTCCAACTCCTGGGATGAAGCAATCCTCCCACCTCAGCCTCCAGGTTAGCTGGGTCTACAGACACAGGTCACTATGCCCAGCTCATTTAAAAAATATTTTTGGTAGAGGTGAGGTCTCACTATTTTGCCCCGTGCTCAGGGACTCTTTCTGTCAGGGTTGAGCACCTAGGCTCAACTGATCATCCAGCCTTGGCCTCTCAAAATGCTGAGATAACAGGTGTGAACTACCACTCACAGCTTGATAGCTAAAATTTTAACTTTGTGATAGTATTTTCTCAAAACAAACAAACAAACAAAAAAAGTGTGGAATATCCTGCTCCCAATTTCCTGACTCAAGGGAATTAGATTATAGTTTAGATTTAAAAAAAAATACGGAACATATTTGGAATGCTATTGCATCGATTCTATAGAGAAACTGTAGGTTCATCACAGAATTAGAAAGATTTCCTCTCTCCTACCTTCTTGTCTATCTGATTACACCACTCCATTAGCCTGTTCTCACAACCAGGGACATGGTCACTTTTCACCATTTATACTGTCCAAATGAGAAATGGAAGCTTATTAAAATAAAATAAAAAATTTACTCACCAGATTTCCTAGATCTGTCATAACCAGGTACAGCAGACTGGGTAGCTTAAAACCAACCGAAATTTATTCTCTCCCATTCTGGGGGCTGCAAATCCAAGATCAGGGTGTCCCCAGGATTCATTCCTCCTGAGCCCCCTCTCCTTCACTTATAGATGTTGCCTTCTGCCTGTGTCCTCAGAGGATTGTTCCTTTGTGTGTGTCTGCGTCCTCATCTCCTCTTTTCATGATGTGTCTTAGTCTATTTCATGCTGCTATAACACAATACCATAAAATCAGTGGCTAATAAAAAATAGCCATTAATTAACCCACAGTGCTGGAGGCTGGAAGTCTGAGATGAAGGTGTGGGCAGGGCTCATTCCTCCTGAGGCCTCCCTCCTTGGCTGGTAGATTCAATCTTCTCCCTGTGTCCTCATGTGGTGTTTCCTCTGTGCATGTCTGTGTTCTCATCTCCTCTAATAAAGACACCAGTCCTAGAGGATTAGAGTCTGCCCTACTGAGCTCATTGTATCCTTTTTTTTTTTTTTTTTTTTTTTTTTTTGAGATGGAGTCTCGCTCTGTCACCCAGGCTGGAGTGCAGTGGCGCGATCTCGGCTCACTGCAAACTCCGCCTCTTGGGTTCACGCCATTCTCCTGCCTCAACCTCTGGAGTAGCTGGAACTACAGGCGCCCGCTACCACGCCCGGCTAATATTTTGTATTTTTAGTAGAAACTGGGTTTCACTGTGTTAGCCAGGGTGGTCTCAATCTCCTGACCTTGTGATCCACCCGCCTCGCCTCCCAAAGTGCTGGGATTACAGGCGTGAGCCACCAACCGCGCCCGGCATGAGCTCATTGTACCTTAATCACCTCTGTAAAGACTGTATTTGCAAATACAATCACATACTAAAATTCTGGGGATTAGGACTTCCACACATGAGTTTTAGGGGATAAAATTCAGCCTGTAATAAGCACTTTAAATATGAGTGCAGTTCCCGATACCCTCTTACACAGCCTATCCCTCTGTGTTACTAGAGTGTTCTGATCACCGATGTTGGCCAGACATCGATCTTTTCTATTGGCCTGAATTCCTATGAATATGCAGAAACAACTAATTTTGTCATCAGAGTATTCTAAAAGTATTAAGTGGGGTTGGATGCACGAGTCTGAGTGTTTCCTAGATTGTCAATGAATGTCAGTGAGCCTTCATCAACATTTCCTCTTCTATGTTCACTTTTCTAAAACACTGACTGAGAAAGTGTCTTAAAACTTTAGACATGGGTAGATTTATTTGCCAAACCCCAGGTCTCTGGAGAGCACATTACATTAAAACCTGAAAAAAAATTAGCCACGTTTCAGAAGCAAATTTTATTTTTAAGGAAAGTCAGAAAAATATATTCATCATTTGATAGTTGGACTCTTGCCACCGGTGGGTTACTTGAAGTACTATTATTAATAGAATCACAAAATCACAATTCAGATCAAGCCCAGTTTAATTCAAGCCATGAGACTTTGGAGAAGATACTGACCTAGTCACTGGGATTAGAAAATTAATTAAACATAAAGTGAACTCACTTCTATCTGTTGGATAAGTTTAGAGAGAACACCTTTACTAATTTATAGCAGCATAACAGAGAAATGCCAGTTTTGGGAAAGAAAAAAGCTCACTACCACAACCTTAAATTGTTAGCAATAACATCTCAACAAGTCAAAACCACAGTTCTTTTGCGCATCCTGTAGGCTAGTTAGTATTATTCAGGATTAAGTGCATGGTTGATGAAAACCATGATCCACTGGACAGTATTTACAGCAGGACTTCTTTCTACTTTAAATACTGAGGTTTTTACATTTTATTTAGAAAGTTTATCTGCCCACCTTCCCCCATCCTACCGTCTGTTCTCACTTGATTCCTATCATAATCCTGAATTGGTTGAATCACAATTAGTTGCCATGGAGATGACTGCAATGTCACAAACAAGATTCTGACTTCAAGTGGGGAATGAACAGTAGGCATTCTGAACTCTTCACAAATGAAATCTTGTCATTATGCAAATAGCCTTCAAATACTCAAGTGTGACCCAAAATGCATAATTTTCTTTTGTGGGATTTTTTTTTCTTCCTTTGGTGTAGAAATTACATTATCACCTACTAAATTCATTTCTAAAAGGAAAATGCCATGGAATTTCAAAGATACATTTTAGGTTGAAACATCCTCATATATAACAATTAAACATCATCAACATGCTATAGAGATCATTTTAGAAAATGCAGTGATTTGTCCAAATTTAACCAGATAATCTTTCCCCATTCAGAAGAGTAACAGCAATCATACTAAATAATTGCCAGATTATGGGTTTAAAATTAAGGAACTTACAATAGATATGAAATATTCCTAACTTGGCTTCTGAGATTATATTAGTTGCTGATCACTCTCACATAGTGCCTAAATTCTGACCAAAGATAGACATTTGGGTAATAGATAAATTGATAAGTGTTAGATATATATAGATAATACATGACAGGAATAGGTTGATAGATTATAGATGATAGAAAGATTAGATAGATGATAGATGATAGACAGATGATAAATAGATAGATAGATAGATAGATAGATAGATACATACATACATACATACATACATACATACATACATACATAGAAAAAATGATGTAATGATGTTTAGGGCTCCATGAAAATCTTCTTCGACCAAAATACATCTGAATAAATGTGGAATAGCATCTAAATTTTCCATGTGAATCAGTCTTTAAAATAAACAGAAAAAGAATGGGGATAATAGTGACTAAGAATCCACTTGCAGATATAATTTCAATTACTGTATATGTGTTCATTGAGTTCTCACAACAAAATTGGTCATGTTGCTGGTAGACAAAATATCTACAGGACATGCAGCTTTGGGAAATTTTTTTGTAAACACCTAACTGTTATATTCTATGACTAGAAATGTTGTCACATCTCTGAATCTTGGAGTTTCTGTCAAACGGACTGGGGTGGGTAAATTTTACACAGAGGATAGGTCCCCTAAATATTCCCTGGTAACAGACACCTTGATGCAGAGTTTCGGGACTCTTAGAGGATGGACTCATGAAATACTATAGGATAGGTATTGATAGGTGAGATACCATAAGATAAGAATACTATAGGATAGGTATTATCTGTTAGTTCTTTTAAAACAGATTAAAGTGACTTCCATCATAACCACATAGTTGATTTCCATTGTTGTTAATACTTAAAGATACAGGGACTTTTGTGTTGAAGTAAGTGGGGAAATCTGTTAGAGAGAGAATAGACTAGCATAGAAAGTTATTCATATTTCTTTACAAGAGCCATTCAGGAAGGTTGGGAGAGGTGGGAAAATGTCTGAGGGTTCATGTACCTATTACAAAAACACCATTCACTTTTATTTATTTATTTAGAGACAAAGAGTTGTTCTGTTTACCAGGCTGGAGTGCAGTGGTTCAGTAACAGCTCACTGCAGATTTGAGCTCCTGGGCTTAAGTGATCCTTTTACCCTTAGTCTCCTAAGTAACTAGGACTACTGGCACAAGTCACCACAACCTGATAACATTACCATTCTTAAGCTATTGATGACTGCTCTTTGAGGTCATGAAAGTTACAGTGAAGGGTCACCCAAATCTACCATGTTGGCATGCATCTCTCTATTTGTCCATTCTCACATTGTTATAAACAAATGCCTCAGACTGTTTTTTAATAGAGAATAGAGAGGTAATTGGCTCACAGTTCTCCAGGCTGTACAGGAAACTTGATGCTCATGTCTGCTCAGCTTCTGGGGAAGCCTCAGGAAAATTATAATCCTGGCGGAAGAAAAAGAGGGAGCAGGGACATTACATGGCCAGAGCAGGAGTAAGAGAGAAAAGGGGGATGTGCCACTCACATTTTAAACCACCAGCTCTCGTGAGAAGCCACTCACTATCTCCAATACAGCACCAAAGAAGTGGTGCTAAACTATTCACCAGAAATCCACCCCCATGATCCAATTACCTCCCACCAGGCTCCACCTCCAAAATTGGGAATTACAATTCCACATGAATTTCAGGCAGAGACACAGATCCAAGCTCTATCAACATCTTAGGAATTGTACCCTGTGTGTTGGTACTGGATTAGCCCTGTCATCAGCCAGTAATAAGGACACCATCCAAGGCAAGAATTAACAGGATGTGTCTGTAGTGCCAGCTGGGGCCCTCACTGTTTCCTCTTACATCTGTTCTGTTTAGGGAGCAGAGCCCTTGGCCCACATGGTGAGGATGGCAGGATGCCTGCTTCAACAGCCTATGACATCACTGGCCAACATTGGCCTCTCATGACTGATTGCCTGTGCCTGTGTGGAAAGGAGACCTTCTAAGAAAGTCATTACTCAGTATTCCAGAGATCTGTTCTCCTCTGATGCCATTAGGGTCAAAAACAGTACCTACTACTTCCACCCCATGGCTCCTGGATGCCAGGATGACTGCTTCACCAGCCTATGCCATCACTGGCCAACATCAAGGGAACAAGGAAAATCAGTCAGCTGGTGGTGGATTTCCTTGGCTCCTGGAAAGTTAGAAATGCACTTCAATTTCGTGAGGAGGTTGCACACTGTCTTCTACAATGGTTGAACTAATTTATGCTCCCAAAAACAGTGTAAAAGTGTCCCTATTTCTCCCCTGCCTCACCAATATCTGCTGTTTCCTGACTTTTAATATTCACGATTCTAACTGGCATTGAGATGATATCTAATTGTGATTTTGTTTGCATTTCTTTAATGACCTGTTATAAGGACCTTTTTTTCATGGTTAGCTGCATAAATGTCTTCTTTTGAGAAGTGTTTGTTTATATCCTTTGCCCACTTTTGGATGGGGTTGTTTCTTGTAAATTTGTTTAAGTTCACTGTATATTCTGGATGTTAGAACTTTGTCAGATAAGTAGCTTGTAAAATGTTTCTCCCATTCTGTAGGTTGCCTGTTCACGCTGATGATAGTTTCTTTCACTATGCAGAAGCTCTTTACCTTAATTAGATCCCATTTTTCAATTTTGGCTTTCGTTGACATTGCTTTTGGTGTTTTAATCATAAAGTATTTGCCCATACCTATGTCTTGAGTGGCATTTCCTAGGTTTTCTTCTAGGGTTTTTACGGTTTTAGGTCTTACGGTTAAATCTCTAATCCATCTTAAGTTAATTTTTGTAAAAGATGTAAGGAAGAGATACAGTTTCAGTTTTCTGCATATGGCTAACCAGTTTTCCACATATGGCTAGCCAGTTTTCCCAACACCATTTATTGAACAGGGAATCATTTTTCCATTGCTTGTTTTGTCAGGCTTCTCAAAGATCAGATGATTGTAGATGTGTGGTTTTATTTCTGTTCCATTCATCTATATATCTGTTTTGGTACCAATACCATGTTGTTTTGGTTACTGTAGCCTTTTAGTATTGCTTGAAGTGAGGTAATGTGATGCCTCTAGCTTTCTTCTTCTTGCTTAGAATTCTCTTGGCTATATGAGTTCTTTTTTGGTTTTATGTGAAATTTAAAGTAGTTTTTTTCTAATTCTGTGAAGAAAGTCAATGGTAGCTTAATAAGAATAGCACTGAATCTATAAATTCCTTTGGGTAGTATGGCTATTTTCATGATATTGATTCTTCCTATACATGAGCATGGAATATTTTTCCATTTGCTTGTGTCCTCTCTTATTTCCTTCAGCAGTGATTTGTAATCCTGCTTGAAGAGTTTTTCATGTTCCTTGTAAAGCTTTATTCCTAGGTGTTTTATTATCTTTACAGCAGTTATGAATGGAGGTTCAATAGTGATTTGGCTCTCTGCTTTTCTATTATTGGTATATAGGAATGTCTGTGATTTTTACACATTGATTTTGTATCCTGAGATTTTGCTGAAGTTGAGTATCGGCTTATGGAGTTTTGTGGCTGAAACAATGGTTTTTTTTTTAAATATACAATCAGGTCATCTGCAAATAGAGACAATTTGACTTCCTTTCTTCCTGTTTGAATACACTTTAATTTTTTATCTTGCCTGATTCCCCTGGCCAGACCTTCCAATTCTATGTATAGGAGTGATGAGAGAGGATATCCTTGCCTTGTGCCAGTTTTCAAAGGGAATACTTACAGATTTTGTTCATCTAGTATGATACTGGCTGTGGGACTGTCATAAGTAGCTCCTATCATTTTGAGGTGTGTTTCATCAATACCTAGTTTATTGAGAGTTTTTAACATAAAGGGCTGTTGAATTTTATCAAAACCTTTCTGCATCTATTAAAATAACCATGGTTTTTTATCATTGGTTCTCATTATGTGATGGATTATGTTTATTGATTTGCATATGTTGAACCAGCCTTTCATCTGAGGGATGAAGCCAAGTTGATCATGGTGGATAAGCTTTTTGATGTGCTGCTGGACTTGGTTTGCTAGTACTTCATTGAGGATTTTCACATCGATGTTCATCAGGGATATTGGCCTGAAATTTTCCTTTTTTGTTGTGCCTCTGCCAGGTTTTGGTATCAGGATGATGCTGGCCTCATAAATTAAGTTTGGGAGGAGTCCCAAACATTCCTTTCAAAAGGAATGTTACTAGTTTCTCTGGTAGAATTTGGCTGTGAATCCATCTGGTCTTCGGCTTTTTTGTTTTTGTTTTTGTTTTTGGTCAGTAGGCTATTAACTAGTGCCTCAATTTCAGAACTTGTTATTGGTCTATTTAGGGATTCAATTTCTTCCTGGTTTAGTCTTGGAAGGGTGTGTGGATCCAGGAATTTATCCATTTCTTCTAGATTTTCTAGTTTATTTGCATAAAGGTTTATAGTATTCTCTGATGGTAGGTTGTATTTCTGTGGGATCAGTGATGATATCCCCCATATCATTCTTTAGTGTGTCTCTCTTGTCTTCTTTATTAGTCTAGGTAGTGTTCTATCTATTTTGTTAATCTTTCAAAAACCAGCTCCTGGATTCATTGATTTTTTTGAAGGTATTTTTCATGTCTCTATCTCCTTCAGTTCTGCTCTGATCTTGGTTATTTATTGTCTTCTGCTGAAGTATTGCTCCTCACAAGACAGCATTATCTGCAGGGGTCTGCCCACATACCATGATCCAAATGACCGATGAATACAACCTACACTGACACACAGATATTGTGTTTTGCCAGTCCTGCTGAGTGTCTGACCACCTGCACACCAAGAGAGGTTTGTCACTGTGGCTGGCCTTGAGCAGCTCACACTCCAGACATTCATGTAGCATACAATTAACAACAGAAGTGCTGAGTCAACACGCTTGTGGATAATTAACATGATTATGAGAGTAGTTCTATGAATGATTAAGGCTCAGTTACCACAAACTAACCTAAATACCATTAGGGGGCAATTTCCCTGATTGTCCTGCCCACTGAGTGGGCCAGCTGGCTCAAAGTTTAGTTAATGGAGTTAGGGTAAACAGACTTAACTGGGGAAGCCTCTATTACCCCTAGTATTTACCCTGTGACCTAATGCTCTAAGGTAAAAACTGGCTGCCTTCAGCCTGTTCAATCATTTCAAGCTATGTGACCTCTCAGCCTTCCAAAATGTTTGTGACTATTCCTTATAACTTTCCTTAATATTTCTCTTTAATATTTCTGCCACCATCCTGAATGAATCCCAACATTCTGCTAGCTTCAAATTTGTTTGCTTTTGCTTCTCTTCTTCTAATTGTGATGTAAAGGTGTCAATTTTAGATCTTTCCAGGTTTCTGATGTGGCCATTTAGTGCTATAAATTTCCCTCTAAACAGCTGTGTCCCAGAGATTCTGGTACATGGTCTCTTTGTTCTCATTGGTTTCAAAGAACTTATTTATTTCTGCCTTAATTTCATTATTTACGCAGTGGTCATTCAGGAGCAGGTTGTTCAATTTGTACATAGTCGTGCAGTTTTTGAGTTAGTAATGGCCTCCCAAAATGTCTACATCCGAAAGCTAGAAGGTGTGAATGTGTGGCATAACCTGGCAGAAAAGACTATGCAGATGTGATTAATAATCCTGAGATGTGGAGACAACCCTGGATTATCTGGTACTAATGTACTCACAAGAGATTTGTTGTTGTCATTGTTGCTCTTGTTTGAGACCTTGTCTCACTATTTTGGCCATGCTGGGGTACAGTTGGGCAACCATGGCTCATTGCATCTTCACACTTTCATACTCAAGCTATCCTCACCCCACAGCCTCCCAAATAGCTGAGACTATGGATACCTGTCACTATGCTCAGCTAATTTTTTATTTTTTGCAGAGATGGCATTTTGCTATGCTGCCCAGGCTTGCTTTCACTCTTAAAACAGACCCATGTCCTTCAAGGCTCCTCTGTGAAAAATGACACTGGTTCTTAACTGATTCATTAGCTTTTCAGGCTAAGTCATCAAAAGAGGAAACCCACTGCTTTATTGTCCCTAATGCCTCATCTTGCTGGGTGAACATTAAAAGAAACATTTACAGTTGTGGATAAGCTTTTTGATGTGCTGCTGGATTTGATTTGCCAATATTTTATTGAGGATTTTTGCATCAATGTTCATCAGGGATGTTGGCCTGAAAGTTTTTTTGTTTGTTTGTTTGTTTGTTTGTTTTTATTGTGTGTCTGCCAGGTTTTGGTGTCAAGATGACGCTGGCCTCATAAAGTAAGTTAAAGAGGAGTCCCTGTTTTTCTATTGTTTGGAATAGTTTCAGAAGGCATGTTACCATCTCCTCTTTGTACCTCTGGTAGAATTCTGCTGTGAATTTGCTTGGTCCAGGGAATTTTTTTGGTTGATAGGCTATTAATTACTGCCTCAATTTCAGAACTTGTTTTTGGTCTATTCAAGGATTAGCCTTCTTCCTGGTTTAGTTTTGGGATGGTGTATGTTTCCAGGAATTTATCCATTTCTTCTAGATTTTCTAGTTTATTTATATAGAGGTATTTACAGTATTCTCTGATGATAGTTTCTATTTCTGTGGGATCAGTGGTGACATCCCCTTTATCATTTTTACTGTATCTATTTGATTATTCTCTCTTTTCTTCTTTATTAGTCTGGGTAGCAGTCTATCTATTTTTGTTAATCTTCTCAAAAAAAACAGCTCCTGGTTCATTGATTTTTGAAGAGATTTTATCTCTCTAGCTCCTTCAGTTCTGCTCTGATCTTAGTTATTTCTTATCTTCTTCTAGCTTTTGAATTTGTTTGCTCTTGCTTCTTTAGTTATTTTAATTCTAATATTAGGGTGTCAATTTTAGATCTTTACCACTTCCTCCTGTGGGCATATGGTGCTATAAATTTCCCTCTAAACACTGCTTTTAGCTGTGTCCCAGAGATTGTGGGAGGTTTTGACTTTGTTCTCATCAGTTTCAAAAAACTGTTTTATTTCTGCCTTAATTTTGTTATTTACTCAGTAGTCATTCAGGAACAGGTTGTTTTGTTTCCATGTAGTTGTGCAGTTTTGAGTGAGTTTCTTAATCCTGAGTTCTAATTTTTTTGCACAGTGGTCTGAGACACTGTTTGTGATGGATTCCATTCTTTTGCATTTGATGAAGAGTATTTTTCCTCGAATTATGTGGTTAATTTTAGAATAAGTGTGATGTGGTGCTGAGGAGAATGTATATTCTGCTGATTTGAGGTGGAGGTTCTGTAGATGTCTATTAGATTGGCTTGGTCCAGAGTTGAATTCAAGTCCTGAATATCTTTGTTAATTTTCTGTCTCGATGATCTTTCTAATATTGACAGTGGGGTGTTAAAGTCTCCCACTATTGTTGAAGGTTGAGTCTCCCACTATTATTGGTGTCTAAGTCTCTTTGTAGGTCTCTAAGAACTTGCTTTATGAATCTGGGTGCTCCTGAATTGAGGGCATATATATTTAAGATAGTTGGCTCTTCTTGTTGCATTGATCCCTTTGCCATTATGTAATGCCCTTCTTTGTCTTTTTTGATCTTGTTGGTTGAAAGTCTGTTTTATTAGAGATTGTCATTGCAACCCCTGCTTTTTATTGCTTTTCACTTCGTAAATATTCCTCCATCACTTTATTCTGAGCCTATGTATATTGTTCCACATGAGATGGGTCGCCTGAGTACACCACACCAATTAGTCTTTATTATATTTATTTATTTATTTATTTATTTATTTATTTATTTATTTATTCATTCATTCATTTATTTATTTAGAGATGGAGTCACTCTGTAGCCCAGGCTGGAGTGCAATGGTGCAATCTCTGCTCACTTCAAGCTCCGCCTCCTGGGTTCCTGTCATTCTCCTGCCTCAGCCTCCTGAATAGCTGGGACTACAGGTGCCTGACACCCTGCCTGGCTAATTTTTTGCATTTTTCGTAGGGACAGGGTTTCACCATGTTAGCCAGGATGGTCTCGATCTCCTGACCTCGTGATCGACCTGCCTCGGCCTCCCAAAGTGCTGTTACTACAGGCATAAGCCACTGCGCCTGGCCCACACCAACTGGTCTTGACTCTTTATCTAATTTGCCAGTCTGTATCTTCTAATTGGGTCATTTATTGTATGTATATTTAAGGCTAATATTACTGTGTGTGAACTTGATCCTGTCATTATAATGCTAGCTGGTTATTTTGCTCCTTAATTGATGGAGTTTCTTGATATTGTCAATGTTCTTTACAATTTGGTATGTTTTCACAATGACCGGTACCAATTTTTCCTTTCCATATTTAGTGCTTTCTTTGGGAACTCTTGTGAGGCAGGCTTGGCGGTGACAAAATCTCTCAGCATGTGCTTGTCTGTAAAGGATTTTATTTTTCCTTTGCTTATGAAGCTTAAGTTTGTCTGGATATGGAATTCTGCGTTAAAAATTATTTTCCTTAAGAATGTTGAATATTGGCCCGCCACTGTATTCTCTCTTGTAGGGTTTCTTCAAAGAGATCTGCTGTTAGTCTGACTGGCTTCTCTTCATTCATGGGATGCAAGTCTGGTTCAAGGTATGCAAATCAATAAACATAATCCATCACATAATATAACCAATGACAAAAACCACATCATTAGGTCAATAGATGCAGAAAAGGCCTTTGATAAAATTCAGCACCCCATCATGCGAAAACCTCTAAGTAAACTAGCTATTGATGGAATGTATTTTAAAATAATAAGAGCTATTTATGACAAACCCACAATCAATATCACACTAAATGGGCAAAAGCTGGAAGCATTTCATTTGAAAACCCGCACAAGACAAGGATCTTCTCTCTCACCACTCTTATTCAACATCATATTGGAAATTCTGGCCAAAGCAATCAGTCAAGAGAAAGAAATAAAGGGTATTCAAACAGGAAGAAAGGAAGTCAAATTGTCTCTGTTGGCAGGTGACATGACTGTATATTTAAAAATCCCCATCATCTCAACCTCAAATCTCCGCAAGCTGATAAGCAACTTCAGCAAAATCTCAGGATACAAAATCAATGTGCAAAAATCACAAGCATTCCTATACATACACCAATAATAGACCAACAGAGAGCTAAATCATGAGTGAACTCTCATTCAAAGTTGCTACAAAGATAATAAAATACCTAAGAATACAACTTACAAGGGATGTGAAGGACTTTCTCAAGAAGAACTACAAAGCATTGCTCAAGGAAATAAGAGAGGACACAAGCAAATAGAAAAATATTCCATGCTCATGGCTAGGAAGAATCAATATTGTGAAAATGGGCATACTGCCCAAAGTAATTTATTGTTGTCCCCATCAAGATACCATTGACTTTCTTTATAGAATTAGAAGAAAACGACTTTAAATTTCACATGGAACTGAAAAAGAGCTCATATAGACAAGACAATCCTGATTTAATAAATGGTGTTGAGAAAACTGGTTAGCCATACTCAGAAAAATGAAACTGGACTCCTTTATTATACATTATACAAAAACTAACTCAAGGCAGATTAAAGACTTAAACATAAAACCTAAAACCATGGAAACCTTAGAAGAAAGCCTTGGCTATACTATTCAGGACATAGCCATGGGCAAATATTTCATGGCTAAAACAACAAAAGTAATTGCAACAAATACCAGAATTGACAAATGGGATCTAATTAAATGAAAGAGCTTCTGCACAGCAAAAGAAACTATCATCAGACTGAACAGGCAACCTATAGAATGGTAGAAAATTTTTGCAATCTATCCATCTGAAAAAGGGTAAATAACCAGAACCTACAAAGAACTTAAAGAAATTTTCAAAACAAACAAACAAACAATGCCATCAAAAAGTGGACGAAGGATATAAACATACTCTTCTCAAAAGAAGACATTTATACAGCCAACAAACATATGAAGATAAGCTCATCGTCACTTGTCATTATAGAAATGCAAATCAAAGCCACAATAAGATATCATGTCACACCAGTTCGAATGGTGATCATTAAAAATTCAGGAAACAACAGATGCTGAAAAGGATTTGGAAAAATAAGAATAGTTTCACACTGTTGGTGGGAGTGTAAATTAGTTCAACCATTGTGGAAGACAGTGTGGAAATTTTTCAAGGATCTGGAACTAGAAATACCATTTGATCCAGCATTCCATTACTGGATATATATCCAAAGGATTATAAATCATTTAACTATAAAGACACATGCACAGGTATGTTTACTGCAGTACTGTTCACAATAGCAAAGACTCGGAACAAACACAAATGCCCATCAATGATAGAATGGATAAAGAAAATGTGTCATGTATACATCATGGAATACTATGCAGCCATCAAAAAGGATGAGTTCATGTCTTTTGCAGGCACATGGATGAAGCTGTAAGCCATCATTCTCAGCAAACTAACACAGGAACAGAAAACCAAACATGGCATGTTCTCACTCATAAGTAGGAGTTGAACCATGAGAACACATGGACACAGGGAGGGGAACATCACACAATGGGGCCTGTCCAGGAGTAGGGGGCTAAGGTAGGGATAGCATTAGGAGAAATACCTAATGTAGATAGTGAGTTGATGGGTGTAGCAGATCACCATGACACGTGTATACCTGTGTAACAAACCTGCACATTCTGCATATGTATCCCAAAACTTAAAGTATAATTTAAAAAGTAAAAAAAGAAGCATTTACCAATGACCAAACTTTATCCTGTAATCAATTGTTTATATCTAAACTGAGGAGTTTGGCGTCCTTTCTGATTTTTGTTTAGCTATTTTTCCAAACTGACATGCTATTTACATATCCTAACTCATCTTAAAAAGTTGTTTCAGATGTGACTAAAGAAAAGAAAAAAGTCTCAAATATCAATGAAAGATTGCAAATATTAGCATGCAGTTTATATTCAACCACTTTTGAACTATAAACCAAAGTGGCAATTTCTTGTAGTTCAACCTAGAAATAATTTATTAACTTAGAACTCACTTGGTGTTTATGTTTCCTTTCCATAGTAGAGTGGGAATTGAAAGAGATGAGAAATGGACACTTTAGTTTCATTTTCTGAACTGCTTTGTATTTAATTCAGTAAGTAATGGTTTGTTGATTCACTGACTCACTCGTGCTATGAGGATTTATGGATATTCATTGTGTATCCACAAATGTACTATATTGTGTGACTACCATAGAGAAGAAAACTATGCGTTAAATAAAAATCTGATGTGAACTGGTTTTAGCCATGTTCAAAAAGAGGTGATTAACTCAGAAAACTTAGCACAGCACCAGTGTTAGTCCATTCTCACAGTATTAATAAAGACATGTCTGAGGCTGGGTAATTTATAAAGAAAGATGTTTAATTGACTCACAATTAGGCATGGCTGAAGAGGCATCTGGAAACTTAAAATTATGGCAGAAGAGGGAGCAAACACACCTTTCTTCATATGGCAACAACAAAAAAAAATTTCCTGGCAACAGGGGGAAAAGCGCCTTGTAACTTATAAAACCATCAAATATCATGAGAAATTGATGGATGGATGGATGGATGGATGGATGGATGGATGGATGGATGGGTGGGTGGATGGGTGCATAGATAGATGGATCGATTGATGGATGAGTGGTAACACTAGTACAAGAACAACAGCATGAGACTAACCAGCCTCATGATTCAATTATCTCCCACCAGTTTCTTCCCAGGACATGTGGGGATTATAGGAATTCAAGATGAGATTTGAGAGGGGACACAGCCAAACCATATCAACACCATTCTTGAGAACTTCACCACTGGTGTTGTAAAGTTTTGACTAAACTCTCAGAGTATTTTAAAGAGCCCATAGAAGACATGCTTAGTTTTTTTTTTTTTTTTCTTTTTTAGAAAAATTCTTGGTTAACAACTGGAAGGTTATTACAGCATGAAAAAGTCATGCTGGATATAAAGAATTTCCTAACTAAAAGTATGATATCCGTAGAAAACACATTTAAATGTTCATTTTCCAGGAGAGGGTTAATCTCTACATACTTTCTCATAGAGTAGAGACATCTCAAGTTTTATTTGTTGCATCCTGTGATTCTCCTCCAATGCATCACATTTTTATTTCCCTGTCCCTGTGGGGAAAAATAAAGATAGAGAATGAAGCACTTTTACAACTTCGATTAACTTTACACAGAAGGATGAGATCATGTATTTGGAAGGTAAACTTGGGATTTCTAGGTTGATGAGTGTGTTTAGTAACACCTTAAGGAATAATGACCCCACTATAAAAAGTGGTTAAGCAATGGGATAATGTCTCCAACTCTTTATTTGCTGGGAGATAAAAAATTCTAATGATGTTTATTATATTTTATAATGGATTTAGTGGCTGACTAATTGTGTTTTGATTTTCTGGGATTAGGGCTTAGTGCCATAATGGTAATTTAATTTCTTCTGATTTCTGACTCCACTGTGGTTTTCAACTACTCAATTTCTTCTGAGCACCAGCATCTAGGTTCTTTTGAGGTTAATGTGAATGCAACCTCAAAATATAGAAGCAATCTGAATATAGACATTTTGCAGAAGTTTTTATTTTTGGCTAAATGTTAAGTGTATATTTTCCTATAGTAAATGCTGCTGACCGCAAAGGAAAAAAGTGGATTTTCAGAAGAAAGTGTTTGAAACCTGTCTTGGCTTTAATAAGTATCATCTCTCCTCTGTAACTCAAATTCCTTTAAATGCAAATGAAGAAGAAATTCCTTTAAATGCAAATGAAGAAGAAATTAGAAAATGGACTACATTTGCCAAAGTCTATTCCAGTGCCATCAAATATTTGATGTGGAGTACAATAAGTAAGTTAGAGAATTCCCAAATTTACACTTTAAGCAGTAGAAATTTTGGTACAGATAGATTTGGGAGCATAAACAACTCAATATCCTAGCATACTGAATGTCTGGCCCTCAAAGAGCAGGTATATGGAATGGATACTTGCTTAAATCAAACTCCTGGTCCTACTTTATGTCCCTATTCTAGTTCTCTTATTTCCATCCTCAATGAGTTTAGCATTTCGTTTGTTCACTATTTTATTCATTTATTATTCATTTTCTATATTTATTTTGTCTTCCTATAGCATCTCAAATCCTTTGTGGAAAAGAGAAAGCGGATGGATGGATGGATGGATGGATGGATGGATGGATAGATAGAGAGCAGGTGGATGAATGTGGGGATGGATGAATGGATGGATGGATGAATGGATGGATGGGATGGATGAATTGATGAAGAGATGTGTGAATAAATAGGTAGATGGATTGACAAAAGGAAACAGGTGTGGATGGATGATGGATGGATGGAGAGTTGGTTGATGAATATGGAGATGGATGAATGAATTGATGAAGAGAAAAGCAGGTGGAGAAATGTATACTTACGTAAGTGAATCTTTTGAATAACCACTGTATACTACCACATGGTCATTTTATTTCCAGTCCTTCTTTTCCACTATGTCACCATCAACATTGCCATTGCTTTAGTTTGGTTCTTTATTCCTCAGCTCAAACTATTTCTTATCCCTGAAATGTCTTTTCTCTGAGAAACCTTTTTTTTTTTTTGTGCCCTTCTTTTGATTTATCAGAATTTAGACACTCCCTTTTTTCTATGTATAAATCATCTTGGATGAAACTGAACATCTCACACCTTTTGTAATCTTTCAATCTCCTTTAACAAAGAGTGGGTCACTTTGAGGCTCTTGTTTTGGTATCATCTCAGAATTCCAGATGCCAGACATAGTGTTTTGCACACTGCAGTAATAGAAGCTAGCATTTATGTTTTTCCTACAATCCACCCAGTCTGTTATATGTACTTCAAGTATCTTGTGTCTTTAATCCTCATAAAAATCATAAGTGGTAGGTGCTATTGTGATTCTCATTTTACACTTAAGAAGCCTGAGGTTCAGACATGTTCAGTGACTTGCCTATCACAATGCTGACAAGTGATGGGATAGAATGAAACAAAGGTAGTTTGACTCTGTAGATGATCCTTGGGCATTTTTAATGGGAATAATATCTTCCCAAAGGGGATGAAAATTAATTCCTGGGAGGTGACAAAATCATTTATTTTATGTATGAAGCTCAGAGATACATACACAGATAAGGAGTATACAAGTTTGTATGGGTGTAGGTTAGAAAAAAAATGTGTAAAATACTACTTAGTGGGCAATGACCCCAATCTGGAGTGTGAACTGCCCTACTGACTTGATTCAAACCCATAGAACACATCAAAGATGGCAGGATATCACTTCCATAATGAGTTACCTAGGACAATGGCTTCTATCTTTCTACTAGAGTTTCTTCTGCTGGCTGTGGCTAAAATATATTGTCGTATGGAGAGATCTACAAGACAAGAAACAGATGCTGACCTCTTGCCAATAGCCAGCAATGAAATGAGCCATTTTCTCTAATTATCTGCAGGGAACTGAATCCTGCCAACATAGACATGAGCTCAAAAGAAGATCCCACCACATTCAAGACTTCCTGTGTCTTGTGGTCAGCACCTTGACTGCATCCTTGGGAGACCCTGAAGCACAAGACCCATCTAAGCTATCACTGGAGTCCTGACCCACAGAAATTGTCAAATAAATATGTGTTGCTTAAGCTGAGAATGTTGCAGTTACATGTTACACAACAATAGACTATGAATCCAAGCAGTTTAAAATACTTGGTTTAGACACATAAGAAAAACCCAAGGTAGCTACTGTGGAGCCTGTGTATTAGTATGTTTTCACTTCACATGAGATTAGCTAAATGAATTCCAGCCAGACTTAAAATTTATGTTTGAAGATACTTGAGTTAAAGGATGAGGAGATCACAGATTTTCCTGGTTGAGGAGCTAGCACTGTGCATTTTAAAATCCTTTCCAAGAACAGCTACAGGCAATAGTGGAGCTGATTTGTTTATAGAGTGAAATGTGGGAAACTTCAGGATAAATATATTGAATAATGATTAGCTAGTTGGCTGGCAAGGCTGATGTTTTATTTTGGTGTCCAGCTGGACTCTGGTCAGTCCCCTGCCCAGAGGTTCATGAATGCACAGACAGATGACTCTCAGGTACAAATTTATGTCTATCCATTTGTGATCTCCTTATTGAGGGTGGGTCTGCGTTTACTAGTCCACTGACTCAAATGTTAATTTTCTTTGGCCACAACCTCACCTACACACCCAGCAACAATACTTTGCATCATTCAATCTAATCAAGTTGGCACTCTCTGTTAACCATCTCATGACTGCATCATATCTAGAATGTCTGTGTTCCCCCAAAATTCTTATTTTGAACCCTAACTCTCAGGGTGATGGTGTTGGGAGGTGGGCCTTAAAGACAATTGTGTCCACCAGCCATAGCTACAAGAAACAGGACTGTAAAGTGTAGTTCTGTCTTGTATTAGTTTAGATTGAGGTGAGATGAGAAGAAATTATGAGAGCCATGGGTAGGCAAGCAAATAATGTTACAATAGAGGACTGGTGAGAATTAAGGAAGCAGAGAGGGTACTTATAACAACAAATTTTGTGTTTTCCTAGTCTGCCTAGGATGAGGACTTGGCTGCTGCATTTTAGCTAACCTGTCTCCTGGACAAATCCCTGGCTGGGACTCACAAAATCCATCCCACTCTTTATTCTATACCTTGAATCAGACCTTCTTCTTACTAACAGGGTAAACAGAATCTTATTGAGACATCTGGCTAATGTCTATAGCTTATCTGCATAGAAATGTGACTGTAAATCCATCCACCAGCAAAATGAATGTGTACAAGGTGTGAGCAGCATTCCATGACAAAAAAAAAAAAAGAAGAAGAAATAAAAAAAAATAGGTAATGAGAAAATAACTGCAAGGGATTGAAAATAATTTTCAAGCTCTGCTACAGCTATTTACATTAGGATATGAGCCTGGTAAAGAGGCTATTTGTCAACTCACCTATGCATTTATGCGAAGAAAGTAAACAGAACTGATATTAGGAGAGGCAGCCCCATGGTGATTTTTAAACTGTGGCAACATGTGCGTTTTCAACCATGCATTTGTGATTTTCGGAGATCAGGGAGCCCCAGTTTTAAGAATGAAGCTCTTTTTCTTTATTGCAGCTCCTTGAACTCCACACTTTTCTATAATGGATTCTTTTTATTATTATTATTATTATTATTATTATTATTATTATTATTATACTTTAAGTTCTAGGTTACATGTGCACAACATGCAGGTTTGTTACATAGGTATACATGTGCCATTTTGATTTGCTGCACCCGTCAATTCATCATTTACATTAGGTATTTCTCCTAATGTTATCTCTTCCTCAATCACCCATCCCACAACAGGCCCCAATGTGTGATGTTCCTCTCCCTGTGTCCATGTGTTCTCAATGTTCACCTCACACTTATGAGTGAGAACATGCAGTGTTTGGTTTTCTATCCTTGTGATAATTTGCTGAGGATGATGGTTTTCAGCTTCATCCATGTTCCTGCAAAGGACATGAACACATCCTTTTTGATGGCTGCATAGTATTCCATGGTGTATACATGCCACATTTTCTTTATCCAGTCTATTATCGATGGACATATGAGTTGGTTCCAAGTCTTTGCTATTGTGAATAGTGCCACAATAAACATACATGTGCATGTGCATGTGTCTTTATCATAGAATGATGTATAATCCTTTGGGTATATACCCAGTAATGGGATTGCTGGATCAAATGGTATTTCTAGTTCTAGATCCTTGAGGAATGGCCACACTGTCTTCCACAATAGTTGAACTAGTTGACACTCCCACCAACCATGTATAAACTTTCCTAGTTCTCCACAGCCTCTCCAGCATTTGTTTTTCCTGACTTTTTAATGATTGCCATTGTAACTGGCATGAGATGGTATCTAATTGTGGTTTAGATGTGCATTTCTCTAATGACCAGTGACGACGAGCATTTTTTCTTATGTCTGTTGGCTGCATAAATGTCTTATCTTGAGAAGTGTCTGTTCATTTTTTTTAAAGTAACTAATTCATTCATTTTTAAAAATATTTTTAGTCTTTTCTCCTACATGGTTTCTAATCCACTGTGAAAATTAAGGTTAATTTTAAGCTCTGCCTGATGAGATAAAAAGAATGGCAGACATGACTTTTTGTGTGTGACCAACTATTTCAATAAGAAATGGTCTAATGAACTGAAAGAGATAGATTGGAATGCAGCTATACAGAGAACTCACTCAGTATATTTAGTGATGTTCACATTAGCTATTTGCATCAGAAAAGTATATAAATCATACCTGTCCAGATAAGTGAGTGATTACAGATGAACACACCCACAGAACCACTACCAAAGTCAAAATTTAAGCGCTGCATGCATCTCCAAGCACCCACATCCATTCTCAGACTGCTATAAGGACCTACTCTAGACTGGGTAATTTATGAAGGAAAGGGGCTGAATGGTCTCTTTCCTTTATAAATTCAGGGCTAGGGAGACCTCAGGAAACTTACAATCATGGCAGAAAGAGAATCAAACACATCCTTCTTCATATAGTGGCAGCAAGGAGAAGTGCTGTATGAAAGGGGGTAAATCTGCTTATAAAATGATCAGATCTCATGAAAACTCATTTAACTATCATGAGAAAAGTATGAAGATAACCGCCCCCATGATTCAATTACCTCTCACTGTGTCCCTCTCATGACATGTGTAGATTATGGGAACTCCAATTCAAGAAAAGATTTTTGTGGGAACACAACCAAACCATATCAATTCACCTCCATATTCCCTTCCAATAATTACGACAACCCAATGCCAAAATAATTACATTTTAATACCATCAATTGGGTTTGTCCATTCTCAAACTCTACATAAATGGAATAATACAGCATTTATTATTCTGAATAGCTTCTTTTGTTAATATGTTTCTGAGACCTAGCCACATGGATGTATAGACTGGGTTGTATATTCATTTTTTTCTCTCTATACACTATTCTGTTTTATGACAAATGTGGCCTTACAGAGGACTGGTACAGTTGACTTAGTGATAAATATCAACATCAGTATTATGTTGGCTCTTCAAAGGAGAATGATTGCATCAGTCATTGTAAATAAACACAAATACTAGCCTTTCTTATTTGCTTTTAGCACTTGGGGTCAGGCTAAGAAAACGTGGTGTCAATTATTCTATTCAATTAAGGATCCAAAAAATGTACCACATTGTAAACAAACATTCCATTATGGAAATCTGATGAGAGAAAATAGATCACATTTATATCTTCACTAGTCTCTTGCCCCACCTAGTTTCAAAACACTAGGCACATCAAGTTTCAGAACTCTCCATATGGATAGGAATGAGCTGAAAATCAGGCCACGTGTAAAGCCATGATTTCAGGAAAGAAAAAAATGGAAGCAGGCATGTTACATCGTAAGAGTGGGAGCAAGGCTGGGGAAGATGCCTCATATTTTTAAACAACCAGATCTTGTGAGAACTCACTCACTATCCCAAAGACAGCACCAAGTCATGAGAGATCCATCCCCATGTCCCACTCCCATCCTCCTAAGAGGCTGCACCTCCAATATTGGGAATTACAATTCAATATGAGAACTGAATGGGGCGTCCAGACTGTATCATGTGTGCATTGGGCATTTGAATGTCCAAGGTGTGAAGTGCTGGTTAAAATCCTTTGCCCATTTCTTAATTGGGTTGTTAGCCTCTCACTTATTGATTTACAGGAGCACATTGTATATACAGAACATGTGTGCCTTTTGTTATTTAAACAGGTTGCAAATACCATCTCTGGGTATGGCCTTTTCACTCTCATCATGGTATTTCATGATCAGTGCACCTTGCTCATTTATCTTTTCCTTTTAACAGTAGTGCTTTTCATGTCCAATTTAAGATGCCTTTGAAAATTCTCCCCTTCTTCATGGCTCTCTAATGTTGTTAATCTTCTTACTTGCATGTTTCTCTTTGTTATCTGTAGATTGGGTAGTTTGAAGCAACAACATGTTTCTAGAAGCAGAACTGTGATCAGATAGTATTTTGATTAAACTAGAAGTGTTCCTCAATTCTTTATTTGTATTATTTATTTATTTACATTGGATATTGACAAATTACTATTGTATATATATTTGTGAGGTAAAAACTGATGCTGTGATGCATATATATCCAGAGAAATGATTGAGTGAAGCTAATTAACATCATGTTCATCACCTCAGTTCTTATTGTTAACCCCTCCTGTCTAACAGAACCATCATACCCTTAGACCAGTATTTCCCCATGTCCCCTCCTCCCTTTCTTTACTTCTTTTTACATGAACTTTATTCTCCTGTTGTATGTAGTGAAACCAACTGAACTTAATTTCTTTCTTTTTCTTTTTGAGATGGGATCTTGCTCTGTTGCCCAGGCTGGACTGCAGTGGTCCAATCTTAGCTCACTGCAGGCTTGACCCTCTGGGCTCAATTGATCCCCCACCTCAGCCTCTCAACTAGCTAACACTACCAGGTGTGTGCCACCATATCCACCTAATTTTTGTACTTTTTTGTGGAAGTAAGTTTTCAGTATGTTTTCCAGGCTGGTCTGGAAATCTTAGATGATGCTCCCTCTTCAGCCTCTCAAAGTGCTGTGATTACAGCTGTGAGCCACTGCACCTGGCTTAATTAATTCCTTTATGTTAAGCCTTTCCCCTTTAGTAAAATACACTGATTCTTTTCATACAGAACCATTATCAGTCACTTAAAACTTAGTACAAATAAGTTATAAAATTCATCTCATTTCTATGATGTTAGGAATATAAACACTATGAAATAAAAATTTACTGTGCACCTATTAAGGGGAGGAAAGAGGACCAAAAGTCAAGTTAGAGAAAATAAAAAATAATTTCAGCGACTTCGATAATGGACAACTCTCCAAATCTTGAAATATACTGCTAGTCAAATAAGATCAAATCATTAATTCAATAGCAGTTCTTATAATATGAGTAAGAACTATTAGTATAATGAAGACAGCAACAATTCAGTAAGCACTCTTCATTGTTAAATACTGACATGTGAGAATTCATTGCCTTCAGAACTCACCTGACTATAGTTCATAACTTTGCTTCCACAGATGAACAAAAAACTCATACAAGTTTTCATGCTAGCATAGATTGTCCTATATAAAGTAAGAATGGCATTATAAAGTGATGTATATAGGAGTAATTAATCTGATTTATTTTAATCTGTAAGTCTATACCAAATTCTGATTCTTATGAAAAATAAATTATGATTCTATGTAAAATTCCTGATAATATTCAGTTTGGACTTCTATTACATCACATTTTCTTAGCTAAATTATTTTAATGAGTGCTTTACTTAAATATGATTCTTTAATGAAGAAAATCTGAGTAAACATATTTTTATATAAACAAAATGAATAAGCATTGGCAAAGAAAACATAACTTATTAATTCAAGGTTACACATGCTTTTCAGGGATACATTCACTAATGCACAAAGTCATTGAAAAATATTTTTATTGTTCTGTTAAAAAACATTAGGTTTTTGGATTACATTTTAAATCAGATTAAAATTGATCAGCTTTTGCTCTGGCAAATAATAAAATATGTAGCAAGGCTAAAAGATTAATTTTTGGTGACCATTACAAACAATAAATGTAAGGATGGAATAAGAGATATATTCCTATCTTCATCTATATTCAAATCTACCCTTATGGGAAACTTGAGTGAGGTCCACTACTTTTATATTTACAGATGCTAGGTTATATATGAATTACGTATGCCTGCCAAAAATGTACAATTTAAGGCTTGCATTTGCACCTGGACACCTTTATTTATTTTTCAAATTCAGCCTAAAATGAATTTCACCCTGAATGTCATCAGTGAATTTTTTTAAAGGATATTGGCAGAAAAGGAATAACAGGGGTGATAGAGATTCATTCTAGTGACAGAATGGGCTTTCAATAAATAGAAAAAAGTAATGTGAGAGAAATATACAAACACCATTTTATCTGATGTGTCCCACTTGGAGAAATTGCTTTATTATCAATATGTGTAGTTGTAAAATAATCTTGCACAGATTAAAATTTCAGAAGACAGAATGTTTTTGTGTATCTGCTCAATTCAAAGTTGCCTTCAAGGGAGCTAGAAGACTGAAGCAATTTTCCAGGCAATCAGTTGGAATTTCCCTGTTTCACCTAAAGGAGAAAACAGAAATACTTGAAATCTATTATGTCTTTTTCAAGTTGGTCATTAGGGTGATTACTCTGATTTATGAAGTACCCTCTTTGGAAACTTTAGTCCTTCCACTCTATTTCCTTTTATGTCAGGAATTTTTAGCCCAATGGCTCTTTTTAAGTCTTATCATTGCAAATAGAAAAAGATGGAAAGACATTTGTAAAAAGAACAAGGAAGGGAGGCATTGGAAGACATGAAGAATAGTCTTTGAATTTTAGCTTTGGAAAAGATTAACAGGAATGAGGCAAAGTCCATTTGCAAGGAGGGAACTTCCAGCTGTGGCCAGAAAGACTGCTGGATGCCTGCAGAATGGCCTACTTTGTTCTGATGAGAGACTGCATAAGGCTATCTTATAGGGGTCACATAACCATGGCCATTAGGAAGAAGTATTTTTTAAATGAGTTTTGCAGATTAAATAAATGAAAGATGTCGGACATTTTCATCTTCAACCAATCAAGTAGTATCATTCAGGGACCATGTTTAGTGCAGGTCAGCAGCCCTAACCGTTGCATTTTTCATGAGTCAATTGTATGTAATTGTATACATTTATACACTAGCCAGCAATGTAGGCATAGTTACTTAGTCTGGTCCTACTGCTATAGCAAAACAGCTTAGACTGGATAATGTACAAAGAACAGGTTATCTTGGGGCAGACATCCATCCAATGAAAGGGGATGCTATCTCGGGGCCGGCGTGTATCTGGTTAGGGAGGCGTTTGGAATGTTTCTGACTGGAAATGTCATTTGTGATTTATCGTCATAGCATTAAGCTGATACCCTTTGGACTTAGAGACTTTTTGATCAAGATGAACGTTAGAATGATAGTGATCATTCAAGATGGTAATGCTTCCGCTCTGTCAATCCAGACCCTATAGTTATAAAAAGGATGGGGGCAGTGTATTCTTTCTGGCTCCTTCCTGCTGACAAGGGAATGGAGAGATTTCAGGACTCAGATTGACTGTAAGAGTTTCCATCTGTAGATGATTTTGGGTAGTTGTCTATGAAATGGCCACGATCCTGTTAAAAATCTTTGAAAAAGTTTAATTAGGCACAGGAAGAACATTAGTCCTAGAAGTATTATTAGGAGAGGGCCCAGAAATGGGATGATCCATGCTATGATTTTGTTTCCAAACCAAGAATCTATTTGGTTGTTTTGGTACTTCCTTAGCTTTTTAGCCCTTTCTTTAAGTCTTTCATCAGCAGTGTCTCTTCCTAGGCCCAGTCGATTGAGATAGAAACAACATTCCTCACTTAATGAAAGGGAGAGGTGCAAGTTTGGAAAGACCCATGCATTATTTTCTGTTAGTAACCATTATTCCTGCTATGAGAATAATAAGAAAAACACTACAGTAATTGAGATTTTTGTCAGATATTCCACCTGAGGGTAGTACAGTATGTAGTTCTACTGCAAATAGTAGAGTAAAGCAATTCCCAGAAGGGTGGCATAATAAATCTTACGAGGAGAGGTAGGAATGATGAAAACTATTTTATGAGACAGGGGTGAGACTGAATAAGATGAGTAGTTCTCAGTTACTTATTTTTTATGATTTTCAACTTAAGATTTCCTATTTTTTTACATTGATATTTAGGACATTCCTTTGGGCTGTCAGAGGTTGCTTCATCAGCTTTCCAGGCTTTGACTCAAGTGTGATGTATTTGGGAGTTGATTCCTGTAACATATACTGTCTTAATTACCCTGAGTTCCACTGACTCACTAGATGTGGGGGCAAAGGATACTGGGCACCCTCAATTATTAGTTGTTGGTGCCAGCATTAAAGAGATTTCCTTCTGTGATGGTCTGGTCGGGTGGAGGCAGGATCTGCTGAAATATCTAGTTTTCAGTTTATGGGCCTTTAAAAAAGCACAGATTATCTTGGAAAATTGTCACCAGAAAAATTAGAATTTAATTTAAACTGTAGAAAATAATAAAAATTGAGAAGCATTAGGCAACATTAGAATTTAACAAGTGTGTTACAGTTCTTGAAACATAATTTTCTCTCTCCAGTTTTCCATTTTTATTAAAAGGTAAATTATGGTAGGACTGATTTACTTTACTATACTTTGTTAATTATTTGCATACAGTGCAGGAAGAATAATTATTTGTTACACAGGCCTTTTAAATGTGCATTGATGGAATTTTGTTCCATAGAAGAAATCTGACATAAGACTTTTTAAAGGTGAGTCAAGCCATGGAATTTACCATTAAATACCTATGTGTTGCCTCTGGAGGGATCAACATAACTTGGGGTTCCTGGCCTGTAAGAAAGTGACATTCTTTACTTCCCACAGATCAGAAACCCTGTACAGGAACTGTGTACACAAAATATGAGGACAGTTTTCTAAGGGCTTTATTGGCTTCATAAGGCAAGTTTCATTCCTCAAAGAAAGAACACTATTACAGTCAAAACCTTGGTAAAATTACCAGTTTCTCCAATTGCATCCTGTTAGAAATGAAAACAGATTATTATGGCATTTAGGCAAACAACTGTATCACTATAACTTAATAATATTCACAGATAGTTTCCAAATTCTGGAGAAAATCAGGTAGAGAGAAACAAGTATGCTCCAAATTTTGTTCACAGGAGTATACTAAATTATTAAAAGCTGTTAATAGCTCTAAAAAGAAGTTTCTTTGTCTTTTGAAAGCAAAACAAAATGTTTGCAATATTTTAAGCAAACATAAAAAAGATCCTCCAGTCTCCTATTAGTTCAGTTCAGGAGGTTAATTTGTATCCTGCCTGATATTAATGAACATTTTAGCTCTTCAAGAGTCCTGAATGTTTTTCCTTGATTCCAATGTTATAATATGCAAACTTATGAGAAATCTGTATTAAAGAACACTTTTTAGAGCTTTATAGCTGATTATGAAACCACCTTCAAAAGAGAACCAAAATAAGACAACAATTGTTCATGGATGACAAAAAGTATTAGGGTAGCCAAAATTAAATTTACAATTGACAAGGATATCTGTTGCCTTTGTGGCACACAATAACTTTACCATAGCAATTATAATTATTACTGATAATGTACACAAAGATATATCAGAAATATAGCAGTGTCTTACAACTTTGGAACACATACCAATAATGTATTTGTACAAATATAGCCCAAAGAAATCCAAACACCATTTTATATTTGACAATGCTTCCTGTATGATTTTATACCAAATAAGCCAAACTTTAACTTTATATTAGTGTGCTATTAATGTTAAACTCAATTTGTAATAAAACCTTGTAGACACATTTACCCAATTTTCATGTTTGACAATAGGTAGGACTTTTGTAGACCCATTTAAATAAACTCTTTATAATTTTTGTCAAAGAGCACATTAGTGCTTTAAGAAAAACCCTTTGTGCTTCTATTTTAATGCTTAATTTACAGAAAAACTGGATGATACCCCGTAACTTTAGCCAATGTGTTTACACAGAATTTCCTTTAGAATTAACCTTCCAAAATTGCTTAAACCTTCATTTTTATGTTGTTCAACTTAAAACAATTCTTTAATCTTTTAATCTTGGTAAAAATCCACATTTGCATGCCTTCTTACAATCTTTCTACTAAAAGTATATGCAAAGTGTGTTTCTCAATAGTATTAAATACATGTCACAGTGTTAACTTTTAGCAACCTTTAATTAGTTGGTAAGTTTGGGGTTTTAATTTAATTATGCACTAGGTGGAGAGCCTAGGACCTAGATAGAAGTGCAGATAAGGTCTTCTTCCAGCATTTAACTCTATGTGTCCTAGATTTTTACCTCACTGAAAACATGCAAGCTGTAAAGCTAGGAATTACCATTTTAGAGGCCTAATCACTTTTAAATTGTACCACACTTCTTGGATAAATTCCCTTTTATAAAATTTTTAATCACTTTCATAGACAATCTCAGACATGCCTCAACTATACTGTATTTAACACAGTTTATAGTTTAGCTTTGAAACAAACATGATAACAGTCCTTTCCCAGAACAAACTACCTTCAGGTCTGTGGAACAGACTGTTTTAAGGCCACAAGATTAGAAGTTATGGTATTTTACTAAATAGTTCAAGATGTAGCTACCTTCATTAAACCAATATTAATGTTTAATTTATTTAAAAATTATACAAGCAAAGATTATGTATATATGTATATATGTGTGTGTGTATATATATATGTATATGTATATATATATGTATTTTTTGTGCTAATTTCCCAATTGGATTACCGGCCTTTGGGTGAGGCCCTTTAAGAACAGGCCTAGGAAAACAGCTTTCAGCAGCTTTCAGGGCCTAATAAACAAGCATAGCTGGAAAACAGAGACGGATTTTGGGAGGTACTTACTCAATTCTAATTCCAGGGATTCCATAAGGAAAACAGAGATTTTTTCCATAATGGGATTTGTGGTGCCTTTTCTGTTTCCTCAAGGAGTCCCAGGCCAGGATAAGTCATTTTAGGGTTTTTCATGCTTGCACCAAGAGTGGCAAGACAGAGTGGAGAAAACTAATTCAGTTCACTGAGAATTAACCTTTTCCAGGAAAACAAGATTTATGAAGAGGAAAACATAAAAGCTTTTGAATATACTCATAGCTTCAATATCAATTTTAATGAAGCTGAGTGCTCTTTTTCATTAGGGGTGAGAGTGGAGGTTAGAATTATGTAAATATCATGCCAAGTTAAGTTAAAGGATTGGGTTATGTGCAGGAATTCCCTGTGATAATTAGAGGGATTTTCAGAGAAACATCACAGATGCTGTTCACTCTGTGACAAATCAGACATGGAGAAAGGCACAAGAAAATGAGCAATGCCTGCAGCCAGACATTTCCCTGAGAGGGAGAATGGCCAAGGTGGTTTGACTGGTAGTATTTGAATGGGCAATGGCAGAGAAGAGGGAGAGTGGCAGTTTGGGCTGGAAGGCTTGAGGGCAAGAGGGGTCAGTGAGGCGGAGAGTTTGGACAGGTAAGGAGTGGATGCAGGGGGAGGAGAATATGGAGGGGGTTCATCTGCAGAGTCAAAAGGAGATTTGGAGGAAAGAGAGACCTGGAGAGGGTTTTCATTAAGAAGAAGGATTTCACGAAGGGTGCAAGCTTGACACAGGGTGGGTTGGGATTTAAGGTAGAAGAAATCCTGAATATAGAGAACCTCTTGTCATTTGTCATTTCTGGTTATGAAGTTGTCAAGTTTCCTGAGAATCTGAAAGTTAAAGGTGCCATTTTCAGGCCATTGGCTGTCATTAACTAATCTTTACCAGGGCCAGGCCATGGTGCAATAAAAAAACCAAATGCTTTGGCTTCATTTTTCCCATAAGACACGTTTGGTGAGGCTGTGAAGGAAACAGCCCAGTGGAGAGAACATTTGACACCTTTGTGGGCTGGTAAGGAGAAAACGAGGCTGTCAGTTTTTGATCTAGACATCCCCAGAGAAAAGACAGAGACCCAGAATCCTCTTCCCAAAGAGGATGTTCAAGCTGAGATGAAACTGGACATCCCCAAGATTTCTTCTAGCTTAGAAGCACTGGTCCTCTGAGGACTGGGATGGCAGACCTTAGTTTCCTGGGTACCATAAGAAAACCAGAGGAGGGCAGATCTTACCAGTCAGCTGCATTAGTGTCTGATATTGGATGTTCTAGTTGGAATCAGCAAAGTTCCTTTTAGACTGTTGCCACACAAGGAAAGAGAGAAGGAAGGATGAATGAAATACTCATTGCAGGTGGTCAGAGGTGGATTCCCAAGACCTGAAGGTTTTGAAAACCCACTGCAGGAGACGTTTATGGCAGGGTTGGAATGTCTCCAGCCAGAGGGGAGGTTATCTCAGGGCTGGCATATCTCTGGTCAGGTGGGTTTGGAATGTTTCTGGTTGAAGATGTCATTTGTGATTTATGGTCATGCTGACCTTAGCCATCAGGCTGTTGCCCTCTGGATTTAGATGGTTTTTGATCAAGGTGAACTTTAGAATGATGGCACTTGTCCAAGTTGGCAATGCTTCTGCTCTATCATATACAGTATGTTTTATATATTATATAAAACATATATTAAGACTTGTGATATATATTACAACAGTTTTAATCCATATAATGTAATACAACTGCATCTAAAACATGCTGTTTGTAATTCATATAAATATATAAGTATATATATAAGTATGCATATATATATAGACAATTACTATATATGGTATAAATATATATTGTGTAAGTAAATATATATGTATGCAGTAATTATATATGTATATGTAGTCATCATTGACTTAATGATGGGAATACGTTCTGAGAAATGGGTCATTAGATTTCATCATTGTGCACCTCATAATGCCTTTCACAAACCTAAAAGGGGTAGTTACTACTCACTCAGGCTGTATGGTACAGCCTACTACTGCTCCTAGCCTGCAAACCTTCACAGCATTTTACTGTACTGAATATTGTAGGCAACTGTAACACAATGGTAAGTATTTGTGTAACTAAACATACCTAAACCAAGAAAAGATACATTGAAAACATGGTGTTATAACCTTACGGGATCATAATTATCTATACAGTCTATTGTTACTAAAATATCATTATATGGTACATGATTGTATATTTATATTTATATATATGCATAAAACGAAGAGTACCTCTTAGATTCATTTTTCTAACATTATATGGATTAAAATTGTTGATGAAAAGAGTCAAACTCTGTAAAATATTTGAAGAGATTTATTCTGAGCCAAATATGACTGACCATGTCCCATGACATAGCCCTTAGGATACCCTGAGAATATACAGCTTGGTTTTATACATTTTAGGGGGACTTGAGATATCAGTCAAATACATTTAAGATATACATTCATTTTGTTCAGAAATGTGGGACAACTCAAAGTTGGTAGGGGGCTTTCCAGGTTATAGATAGATTTAAAATTTTATTATCAATAAAAAGGAATATCTAGGTTTGAATAAGAGGTCGTGGAGAATAACGTTTCATCATACAAATGAGACCTCCAGGTAGCAAGGCCCCAGAGAGAATAGACTGTAAATGTTTCTTATCAGACTTAAGGTTTCTGTTAATGTTAAATGCTGGTCAGCTTTTCCTGAAAAAAAGGAAAAGGGAGCAGGGTATAATAAGGCATGTCTCACCCAGCTTCCAGTCATTTGCTCTGGCATACAGGAGGAAGTTGATGCAAATGTTTGGGCAGGGTTGGGGGTGTGTGCTTAATTTTGATGTTAACCACAATTTTTCACAATTTTTTTCAAGATGTGAATTTGGGGAGACACATGCATACCCTAGCACATTTGATACCTCTATTTTCTAGGTACAGAAGGAAAGTTACAAAGGTTAAATAAACTGCCTAAAATTACACAGCTCACCTGCAGGAAAAATAATTGCATACCAGATCTGTCTGACTCTAAACCAGACCGATGTGATATTCAATTTTAATCTATAATATACATATAATATATAAATATAGAATATAAATGTTTTTGTATTTAAATATATAGTTTACATGTGTGTATATATGTATATACACATATTTTATATATATAATATAATATATAATTATATATAATATATAAAATTATATATAATATACAAAATCCACACATGTATAAAACATTCTTATCAGAACTCATGTAGATTATTACAACCATAATCCTTGGAGTTTATATTGAGAGTTATTTAATTCACTTCCAAGAGCTATATTTTTTTGTTCTATGATCCCACAGAGTGTATATGAGTGTGTGCATGCATGCACACTATTTCTCTGGAACCCTTTCAGCTGTTTTCCCATGAAAATTGAAGTCACACAGAGTTGGTGCCATGGGATGACTATTGTTGCCCCTCCAGTATTGGTGCCAGCCTCTGGAATTTACCAGTCTCTGTACTTCTTGCATGCCCAGTAAATGAACAATGATGTAGCACCTAGAAGGCATACCAGTGGTTCTGCAGCTATTGTGTGCAGCAAACACAACAAAACCTTCAGAACAGCCTTTTAACTCCAAACAACTGTCGTTTGAATTAGAAACAAAAAGAGAAAATTATGAATACTTTAATGCTAAGATCATCATCTGGAAGAAAACTGAAGAGATGAATTGACATTTAATGCATTTTCCAGTATAATTTATGTCAATTTAATATGAACATTTTAATTCATGTAAAACTTTTTTCTGTTTTCTTTTTCAGTAGCTTTTGCCCCATTCAAGTAGAGACCTGACTTTGTCCACACTGTGGAAGCTCAATCTCTTCACTGAGTTGACAGAACAAAGACCTAGAAATATTTTTCCAGGAATCTTAGAATTGTTAACTACACTCTGGCCTGTCATATTTTTCTGTAAAAGAACAGAAAACTGCTTTAAGAGATGCAAAAGAAGATAAATGTGAATGACACTGTTAACATTTAAAATTAAGGGAAAGGCCAGTACAGACCAGCAATAGAAATGATTGTCCTTTTCTCTGACAGTTAAATGAAGAACTTTGTCTATACTCCTTCTGTGATTTAAATGTAATTTATCTTTTATTTAATCCTTGGAGGAATTTTCATTTGTCTACATGGAAAGCATAAGTTCTAGCTTCAGTTTTCAGGACTGTAGCTGGACTCAGGTGTGGCAATAAATGATCGCAAATGGATTCTTGGTGGGTAAAGTCTTATTAGCACAATGGCTCAGACATGCTGAAAACAAAGATTTTTAAAATTCAAGCAGGCTGAGATGGAGAAAAGTATACTTAATCAAATTCACAACTCTAAGTAATACATAATAATGTTATATTTTTAGATAAAGCACTATCTTTTGAAAAGGAAATTTAAAAGTTTTGCTCTAAACACATCTATAAATACTGAAAATAATTGTTGTTTAATGTAAACCTTGGTAAATAGAGACAAGTCATCTTACTGCATTACAGACCCAACAGCCTTCAGTGAAAATGTTACAATGTTTTGTTTCATTTTGTTTTGTTTTTCTCTTGGTGCACTGAAACATGCTCTGCAGGGAGGGTGCCATGGCTGATGCCTATAATCCCAGTACTTTGGGAGGCCAAGGCAGGGGGCATCACCTGAGGTCAGGAGATTGAGACCAGACTGGCCATGGTGGTACACTGTCTCTAGCAGGAATACAAAAAATTTAGCCAGGCATGGTGGCATGTGCCTGTAGTCCAAGCTACTGGGGAAGTTGAAACAGGAGAATTGCTTGAACCCTGGTGGCAGAGGTTGCAGTGAGCTGAATTAGTGCCAATGCACTCTATCTAGTCTGGGTAACAGAGCAAGACTCCATCTCAAAATAAATAAACAGGAGGAAGCATACTCTGCAATTTTCCCTGAACATGTTCTACTGTCAGATCTGCTCTGGAGCATTTGATCAACTCATTTCATTACTAACCCAGCATTTCTTGTTCCTGTAAGTGTTAGATGAAACTAACCCAAATGTTCAATTTTGCAGGCAAAGGATCACCTTGGTTAGTTGAGCCTAAGATGGCAAAAACAAAGCAGTTGCCTGGCTGAATTTATTACATTTAGACTTATTTATTATGTTACTTTACATTTTTATTTAAGGCTAGAGAACATAGGTTATACAATTCTGATTCTTTGGAAAATGTTGACACTTATTTTATGCCTAGAACATGGTTAAATTTTCTAAAATGTACATCTTAAAAGGAAAAGATTATTTGTGGATGTAAAGTTCAGTGTATATCTTATGACACATTTTTATTAATTGTATTGTTCAAATGTAACATCTCTACTTCTGAAACCAACTTTGCAAAATTGTAACTGAGGAAATTATGACACTAAAATAAATCATAACTAACCAACTCCTTCTTGCTTCTGACCTTTAAGCTGTCCTTGTTCATTCTGGGACATAGGCTGAACTAACTTTAGGAAGGAATTTTGTTCATGGTTTGACTCTGAAACAAAATTGATAATAGCCCTTTCCCAAAAATACCCCATTCTTGTCTGGGGACCAGTCTGTTTTGTAGGAATAACAAAATAGGTAAAAAATTAGAAACAACACTGTAGGAGTCATGTAGTCTCTGGAAGAGTCTGAACCTACCCCAAATTGTTCTTGGGGATAATATCACTGCAGTAAAACCTAAGATCAGTGCTTGAGTTGTTTTCAGACCCTGAACGGGATGGATTAACTGACATCACTCAGACTGGTAATATGGCTCACCCAATTCTGCCATCCCACCCAGGGAGAGAAAACAGCAAGAAAACCTCACTTCAAACCTCTTTTATTCTATCTCCAACCTGACCAATCAGGTCACTCCCCACTTTCCAAGCCCCTACTCACCAAATTATCTTTAAAACTCTGATCCCTGAATGCTCCAGGAGAATGACTTGAGTAATAATAAAACACCAGTCTCCCATGAAGGCTGTTGTAAATAAAATACCATTTCTCCATTGCAATTCCCCTGTCTTGAAACATCAGCTCTGTCTAGGCAGCAGGCAAGGTGAACACATTTATTATTTGACAGTTTGATCTCTTCAATTTCTAAACTTTTTCCTTATAGACAAAATTGTTACTGAAGCTTTGTCTGTCATACTTGGTATGGTTTGATGCTATATTGTTGGGTTCCACATGTCTTCATAATGGGCAAACTTTCTTATTCTATAATTTTCTTATTTAGAATATACCATCATCCTTGAAAGGTTATTTACAGATTGTTTATTCAAATTCTATGTAGTCAGACAATAAAATTGCTACCCCAAAGCAGGCACCTCTTAGAAAGGATAGAGCAATAATTAAACATAGAAGAAAAAAAGACATATTAGACTTTGTCAATGGTAAATTATTTACTTATGAAAGCACACTGTTAATAAACCATAAAAATAAGCCAAAGACTGAGAGGTAAACATTGGCAATACATGTTTATGATCAAGGACTTCAATCAAGAATACATAAAAACTAAAACATCAATAAAAAAGAAAAGATATCCATTGAAAAATGAGCAAATATTTTAGACATGACTAAAGAAAATATAGAATTGGCCAATAAATGCCATAAAAAGCTGCTCAACATGATTAGTCATCAGAATATACAAAATAAAACCATGAAAACATAACTTTCCACCAACTGTAAGGACTGAAATTTAAAAAAAAATACTAGTTGAATAGATTTGTACTTCCCCACATTGCCAATGAACACCAGCATTTTCTTATAAAACCACACATACTGACCCTATAATTTATACTTCTATGCTTAATATTGACCTAAGAGAAATAATATGTTTATGTCCACAAAAAGACTTCAGCAAGAATATTCATAAAATCTTTATTTCTAATAAGCAAAGACTGTAAATAATGCAAATGCCATCAACAGAAGAATGGGGGTATACTCATACAATAAAATATTACTCAGCACTGAAAAGGAGCAAATCACTGATGTATTGAACAATATAGAGAGGGAGATATGGCCATATTAGATGCATTTGAACTTCAATGCAAAAAATCTAATCATGTTGATGGAAATGAGAAAACTTGCTGCCTATATTTGATGGTGGAGATAGACTGGGAGTAGTCATTAACAGAGCAGGAGCATCACCGTATTGGCCAATCACCACCATTCTAAAGTTTACCTTGATCAAAACCAGCCTAAATCCAAAGGGCATCGGCATAATGACTAAGCTCAGCATGGCCATAAACCACAAATGACATCTCTGACCAGAAACATTCCTACCATAAGATAAACACTTTCCTAACTAGAGACAGACCAACCCTAAGATAACCTCCTCTCTAACCAGAGACATGCCAACCCTGCCATAAACTTCTCCCCCACCCAGAAACACTTAAAGATCTTGATAAGCCTGCTCACCCTAAAACATACCTATACTCACTCTGTGGGGGAGAGCACCTCTGAACAAAATCTACCAGAAACCCCTCTCAGGTTAATTTCTCCAGAATAAACTTGTCTTTGATTGTGGATCCACTTTTTGTGTTTCTTTCCTCTTCCTTTAACTGATACATTTGGTGCCAAAGCCAAGGATGGGTGTTGGGGGCAGAGGCTCTCTTGGAACCCAGGAAGCAGAGGACAGCAGCTACTCATCTTGCTGGATCCTGAAAGTCTCTGGCCACTGATCCAATCTTGTCTCTCACTTCACTTTTCTGCAATTTGAATGAGGAGGACAAGTAACCTGAAGGGGACTGTGAGGCTCAGGCTGGGGCTGCTCCCCAGTGGGTTCTCACAAACCTCAAGCCTCAGGAACCCACCTGTGACCACCTGCAATGGCTTTCACTCTCTTCCCTCCTTCTCCCTAATCCTTGCTTCTCTCTCTTTTTTATCTCTCTCTCTCTTTCTCATAAATCTCCAGACCAAGAGGCTTTTTGGCAATTCCAGCTGGAACATCCAACATCAGACACTAATTGAGCCAACTGGTAAGATCTGCCCTATCCTCATTATCTCGCAGTACCCTGGAAAGTCAGGTCTGCCAACCAGGTCCTCAGAGTGAGAGGTGAAGCCAGCTGGGCTTCTGGGTTGGGTAGGGACTTGGAGAACTTTTCTGTCTAGCTAAAGGATTGTAAATGTACCAATCAGTGCTTTGTGTCTAGCTAAAAGTTTGTAAGTGCATCAATCAGCACTCGGTAAAAATGGACCAATCAGCACTCTGTAAAATGGATGAAAAGCTCTCGTTAAATGGACCGATCAGCAGGATGTGGATTGGGCAAATTAAGGGAATAAAAGCAGGCCACCCAAGTCAGCAGCGGCAATTGGCTCGGGTCCCCTTCCATGCTTTGGAAGCTTTGTTCTTTCACTCTTCACAATAAATCTTGCTGCTGCTGACTCTTGGGGTCTGTGCTGACTTTATGAGCTGCAACACTCACTGTGAAGGTCTTCAGCTTCACTCTTATGGTCAGTGAGATGACAGACCCACCAGAAGGAATGAACAACTCTGGACGCCCTGCCTTTATGAACTGTAACACTCACTGGAAAGGTCTGTGGCTTCACTCCTGAAGTCAGTGAGACTACAAAGCCACCAGAAGGAAGAAACTCCAGCCACATCTGGACATCAGAAGGAACAAACTCTGGACACACCATCTTTAAGAACAGTAACACTCACCGCAAGTGTCCACCGCTTCATTCTTGAAGTCAGCGAGACCAAGAACCCACCAATTCCAAACACATTTTGGCAACCAAGAAGGAACCATCACCCATTGCTAAGTGGTGAGACTATTGTCTATTGCCAATTGGTGAGTACCATCGGACCCCTTTTGCTTGCTATTCTGTCCTATATTTCCTTAGAATTCAGGGGCTAAATACTGGCACCTGTCAGCCAGTTAAAAGTGACTAGCATGGCCACCACACTAAAAACATGGGTGTCAGGTTTTCTGGGAAAGGTATCTTTAACAACCCCCGACTCTTTGGAGTTGGGAGTGTTGGTTTACCTGGAACCAGCTTCTTCTTGTGCTGTACTTCCGGGCTGAGCTGAGGGTCAACAGAGAGGAAAGCCATTCAGCTCCAGGGTCCCAACAACAAGTTGGTTGACCCTGTGACCATGAGTGGAACTCTCAAAGTCATGTTGCCCAAGCGAGTCTCACCCATCTATCTTATCTATCCTGACCCTTGACTCCTGTGTCCTAATGCCTGCCAGGCAAATGTCCTCTTGCCTCTCTTCTCTGAATCTAGTCCTGCTTCTAAAAAAACACTCCTTGTCTCTGGTTTTTTCTACGTTCTCCTATAAGAATGATTTCTAGTATAAACTCCAGGACTCTGTTACCTTCTTTATGCACCTGGGCTCACCAATCAGAAAGATATAATTTTTCTCAAAGCTCCATCACAGGAGGGACTATCTGGAATTTTAGAATTCCTCCTCTGACAAGCAGGCCTAACAAAAGCTATTCTTGAAACTAGGATATGGGTAGCCTCAGAAATTGTATCCTTCCTATTCATGTAAATGAGGACAAAATGTGTCACTCTTCCAACTCTGGAGATCCTTTCCCTCCCTCAGGGTATGGCCCTCCACTTCATTTTGGGGGCATAATATCTTTACAGGACATGGGTAAGATCCCAATACTAACAGGAGAGTGCCTAGGAGTCTAGCAGCTTTTTGAGGACGTGTCACTAAGGGCCACTAAATCCGATTTGTATTGGTCCTCTTTGTGGTCTAGGAGGACAGACAAGGTGCAGGTTTTGGAGAATGGATCAGTAAGAGCCACTAAATATGACCTTCCTGGGTCCTCCTTGTGGTCTAGGAGCAAAACTAGTGTTTCTGCCGCTGCATCAGTGAGTGCAACTATTCCTATCAGCAGGGTCCAGGGACTGTTGCAGGTTCTTGGGGAAAAGGTGTTACTGCTGCTGTGTCAGTGAGCACAACTATTCCAATCAGCAGGTCCATGGACTGTCACAGGTTCTTGGGCAGGGGGAGAAACAAACAAACCAAAGCCACAGTTGTTTTTATCTTTCAGATAGGAAACACTCAAGCATCCACAGGCTCACCCTTGAAATGCATCCTAAGCCACTGGCACCAATTTGATCCACAAACCCTGAAAAAGAGGTGGCTCATTTTTTTTCTGTGCTATGGTCTGGCCCCAATATTCTCTCTCTGATGGGTAAAAATGGCCACCTGAGGGAAGTATAAATTATAATATTATCCTGCAACTTGACCTTTTCTATAAGAGGGAAGGCAAATGGAGTGAAATACCTTATGTCCAAGCTTTCTTTTCATTGAAAGAAAATACACAACTATGCAATGTTTACAATTTACATCCCACAGGAGGACCTTTCAGCTTACGCTCATATCCTAGCCTCCCTATAGCTCCCCTTCCTATTAATGACAATCCTCCTCTAATCTCCCCTGCCCAGAAGGAAATAAGCAAAGAAATCTCCAAAGGACCACAAAACCTCCCGGGCTATCAGTTATGTCCCCTTCAAGCTGTAGGGGGAGGCAAATTTGGCCCAACTCAAGTACATGTCCCCTTCCCCTTCTCTGACTTAAAGCAGATTAAGGCAGACCTGGTGAAATTTTCAGATGATTCTGAAAGTTACACAGATGTCCTATAGGGTCTAGGGCAAACCGTCAATCTCACTTGGAGAGATGTCATGTTATTGTTAGATAAAACCCTGGACTTTAATGAAAAGAATGTGGCTTTAGCTGCAGCCCAATAGTTCAGAGATACCTGGTACCTTAGTCAAGTAAATGATACAATGATGGCCAAAAAAAGGGATGAATTCCCTACCAGTCAGCAAGCCATCCCCAGTATGAATCCCCACAGAGACCTTGACTTAGATCATGGGGACTGGAGTCACAAACATCTGTTGACCTGTGTTCTAGGAGGACTAAGGAGTATTAGGAAATAGCCCATGAATTAATCAATGATGTTCACCATAACTCAGGGAAAGGAAGAAAATCCTTCTGCCTTCCATGAGTGGCTACGGGAGGCCTTAAGAAAATATACTCCCTTGTCACCTGAATCACTCGAGGGTCAATTGATTCTAAAAGATAAGTTTATTACCCAATCAGCTGCAGATATCAGGAGAAAGCTCCAAAAGCAAGCCCTGGGCCCTGAATGAAATCTGGAGGCATTATTAAACCTGGCAACCTCAGTATTCTGTAATAGGGACCAAGAGGAAAAGGCCCAAAAGGAAAAGTGAGATCAGAGAAAGTCTGCAGCTTTAGTCATGGCCTTAACACAAACAAACCTTGGTGGTTCAGAGAGGACAGAAAATGGAGCAGGCAAATTACCCAGTAGAGCTTTTTACCAATGTGGTTTACAAGGACATTTTGAAAAAGATTGTCCAATGAGAAAAAAGCTGCCCCTTGTCCATGCCCACTATACCAAGGCAATCACTGGAAGGTGCACTGCCCCAGAGGACAAAGGATGTCTGGGTCAGAAGCCCCCAACCAGATGATCCAACAACAGGATTTAGGGTGCCCAGAGCAAGCACCAGCTCATGACATCACTGTCACTGAGCTCCAGGTACATTTATCCATTGAGGGCCAGGAAATTGACTTCCTCCTAGACACTGGCATGGCCTTCTAGGTATTAATCTCCTGTCCTAGATGACTGTCTTCAAGGTCGGTTACCATCTGAGGAATCCTGGGACAGCCTGTAACCAGGTATTTCTCCCACCTCTTCAGTTGTAATTGGGAGACTTTGCTATTTTCACAGGCCTTTCTTGTTATGCCTGAAAGTCCCACACCCTTTTTAGGGAGAGATATATTGGCCAAAGCTAGACTTATTATCTACATGAATATGGGGAACAAGTTACCCATTTGTTGTCCCCTACTTAGGGAGGGAATCAACCCTGAAGTCTGAGCATTGGAAGGACAATTTGGAAGGGCAAAAATGCCCACCCAGTCCAAATCAGGCTAAAAGATCACACCACTTTTCCTTATCAAAGGCAATATCCCTTAAAGCCTGAAGCTCATAAAGGATTCCAGGATATTGTTAAACATTTAAAATCTCAAGGCTTAGTAAGGAAGTTCAGCAGTCCCTGCAACACCCAATTCTTGGAGTACAAAACCAAAATGGTCAGCGGAGACTAGTGCAAGATCTTAGACTCATGAATGAGGCAGTAATTCCTCTATATCCAGTTGTACAAAACCCCTATATCCTGCTCTCTCAAATACCAGAGGAAGCAGAATGGTTCACTGTTCTGGACCTCAAGGATGCCTTCTTCTGTATTCCCCTGTACTCTTACTCCCAGTTTCTCTTTGCCTTTGAGGATCCCAGAGACCACATGTCCCAACTTATGTGGACGGTCTTGCACCAAGGGTTTAGTGATAGTCCTCACCTGTTTGGTCAGGCACTGGCCCAAGATCTATGCCACTTCTCAAGTTCAGGCACTCTGGTCTTTCAGTATGTGGATGTTTTACTTTTGGCTACCAGTTCAGAAGCCTCATGCCAGCAGGCTACTCTAGATCTCTTGAACTTTCTAGCTAATCAAGGGTACAAGCTGTCTAGGTCGAAGGCCCAGCTTTGCCTACAGCAGGTTAAATATCTAGGCCTAATCTTAGCCAGAGGAACCAGAGCCCTCAGAAAAGAATGAATACAACCTATATTGGCTTATCTTTGCCCTAAGACATTAAAACAGTTGCAGGGGTTCCTTGGAATCAATGGCTTTTGCCAAATATGGATCCCCAGATACAGCAAGATAGCCAAGCCCCTCTATACACTAATCAAGGAGAGCCAGAGGGCAAATACTCATCTAGTAGAATGGGAACCAGAGGTAGAAACAGCCTTTAAAACCTTAAAGCAGGCCCTACTACAAGCTCCAGCTTTAAGCCTTCCCACAGGACAAAAATTCTCTTTGTACATCACAGAGAGAGCAGGGATAGCTTTGGAGTCATTACTCATACTCATGGGTCAATTGCACAACCAGTGGCATGCCTAAGTAAGGAAACTGGTGTAGTAGCAAAAAGCTGACCTCACTGCTTACAGGTAGTTGCTGCAATGGCGGCCTTAGTGTCAGAGGCTATGAAAATAATATAGGAAAGGATCTCACTGTCTGGACTACTCATGATGTAAATGGCATACTAAGTGCCAAAGGAAGTTTATGGCTATCAGACAACTGCCTACTTAGATACCAGGCACTGCTCTTTGAGGGACTGGTGCTTCAAATATGAAAGTTCTTGGCCCTAAACCCTGACTGTTTTCTCCCTGAGTATAGGGACCCAATTGGGCATGACTGCCAAAAAATTATAGTTCAGAATTATGGCACAAGAGGTGATCTCTCAGAAGTCCCCTTAGCTAATCCTGACCTTAACATATATGCCAATGGAAGTTCATTTGTGGAGAATGGGATGTGAAGGGCAGGTTATGCCATAATTAGTGATATCCCCCAGGGCCAGCATCCAGTTAGCAGAACTAGTGGTATTTACCCAAGCCCCAGAACTGGGAAAGGGAAAAAGAATAAGTGTGTAAACAGATAGCAAGTATGCTTATCTAATCCTACAGGCCCATGCTTCAATATAGAAAGAAATGGAGTTCCTAACCTCTGGGGGAACCAGCACTAAATACCACAAGGAAATTATGGAGTTATTGCATGCACTGCAAAACCCCAAGGAGGTGGCAGTCTTACACTGTCAAAGCCATCAGAAAGGTGAAGGAGAAAAGGCAGAAGAAAACTGTCAGGCAGATGCTGAAGCCAAAATTTCTGCCAGGTGGAACATCCCATTAGAAAAACCTATGGAAGGACCCTTGGTATGGAACAACCTGTCGAAGAGATTAAGCCTCTGTATTCCCCTACTGAAACAGAATGGGGACTTTCATGGGGGCATAGTTTTCTCCCCCCAGGGTGGTTAATGACAGAAGAAGGAAAGGTACTTATAGCCAAAACCAGCCAGTGGAAAATACTTAAAACCCTCCACCAAACTTTTCATGTGGGTATTGAAAACACTCATCAAATAGGCAAATCTCTATTTACAAGCCAAATATCCTTGGGACCACAAGACAGGTAGTCAAAGCCTGTGAAGTGTGCCAAAGGAATAATCTCTTGGTTCATCATAAGGCCCCTTGGGGGAACAAAGAATAGGTCACTAACCTGGAGAGGACTGGCAGTTAGACTTCACCCATTTGCCTATTAAAGGGATTTCAATACTTGTTGATCTGTGTTTATACTTTTACAAATTGGATAGAAGCTTTCCCCTGAAAGAGAGAGAAGGCTCAGGAAGTGACTAATGTCCTAATTCATGAAACAATTCCTAGATTTGGGCTTCCCCAAAGCTTACATAGCAACAATTGTCTGGCTTTTAAAGCCAAGATAACTCAGGGAATTTCTATGGCGCTACAGATACAATAATAGCACCTTCACTGCACCTGGAGGCCACAATCCTCAGGGAAGGTCAAGAAGGCAAATGAAACACTCAAGAGGCACTTAAGGAAACTCACACTAGAAACTCATCTCCCATGGCCTATTCTTTTGCCCATGGCCTTGCTAAGAATCTGAAATTGTCCTCACAAAATGGGGCTCAGTCCATATGAAATGCTGTATGGATGACATTTTCTCACAAATGACCTCCTACTTGATCAGTAAAGGGCCAACTTGGTCAAAGATATAACTTATTTGGCAAAATATCAACAAAACCTAAAAAAACTACCTGAGGGATGTCACAGGAAAAAGGGAACAGAGTTGTTTCAGCCAGGAGATCTAGTGTTGGTCAAATCTCTCCCCTATACCTCCCCATCTGTGGACTCTTTGTGGGAAGGACCATACTCGGTAATCTTCTCTACCCCAACTGCAGTTAAGGTGACAGGAGTGGAACCTTGGATTCACCACACCCGAGTTAAACTTTGGACATGCCCTGAGGAACCTGCAGGACCGTCAGATCAGGAGTCCCAAGATCAGCCAGACCAGCCTCGATACACCTGAGAACCATTGCAGAACTTGCATCTCCTATTTCAGAAGGAAATATCCCAGACTAAAAAGGCTTCTACCACTGATCCTGAAGAAAAACCCCTCCATCCTTAAAAAAGGTAAGTGAAAACCTACATAATCTTTAACACTTCTCCTCAACCCTTTAAAAGAATCCTTTTAGTATTTCATTATATTATATTATTAAGCAGCATACTAACTATACTCTTTGTGATAGGACTAAATACTGTAGCTCCTGCTGGGATGAAAATCATAGTCACATCAACCTTCTTTCTATCTTCCTTCTGACAGCAATTTACACCTACCTTTAACTCAGCCTAGATAAAATGATCTCATCTTCTGGAGCACCTTCTTTACCTTCCTATTTACTGTTAGCCTATCTAACCCTCCTGCTTCCTTGGATACCTCATACAATCACCCTTCCCCTTCCACTAGCTCCAAATTACCTCTACAAGACTCTCAACTTCACCCATTGTCTCTTAAAGCAGTCCAATCCTTCCCTGGCAAATGACTGTTGGTTTTGTATCTTTCTATCAACCTCTGCTTATGTTGCCACTCCCATTCCTGCAAAAAACTGGGTTTTTATTAACTTAACCTACCACCCTTATTATGAAGGAAAAGACGATTTCCAACTTCTAAATATGCAATCAGTAGCTGACTTCCCCATCTCTGATAGGACCAAGAATGTCCTAACAGGATGTGCAATCCAATGTTTACATTCTTACATTTCCAACTTCACCTATTACACAAGCAATGAAAAGCCCATACATGGCCCTGTAACTGTGAATACCATCTTAACTTTCCAAGCCCATTTATGCATCCAATGCAACTTGTTATCAGGCCTGCCCCTGGGGCACCTACTACCCCATCAGTGTCATTACACCCTACAACTTCAAGCCCCAACTGATCGTAGTAACTTCCGAGTCACCCAAACAGCTCCATTCAGTTGGCTTCTCTGCTTCTCAGGGTCCCCCAAAATCAGCACCTCCTCCCTGCTTAACAAACAGTCCAGGTTTTGTAGGGCAAACATACTCACTGCATGACCATTCACCCCTGGGCCCCCTGCAGAAGTGCCCCCACCACTAGTGAATGCCTTCTCATCCCCCTTTTCAATCACTCTCTTGAATGGTTCCTGGAAGATACAGAATGGATTTTTCTCCAATGGGAAAACAGAACTCAGGGAACTCAGTTTTCTCCCCACGCCCTTTCCAGCCACTCACCAGAGCTACTTTGGCAAGTAATCAAGGAGTATGGGAAAATGAAAACAACAAACTCACACACCTTTTTAACATACACAACCAGTTCCATCTACTGAGCCAAGGTATATTATGTGGAATGTCGACCTATATCGGTCTTCCCACTAACTGAACTGGGATCTGCAACTTAGTCTTTCTAAGTCCCAACATTAACATTGCTCCAGGAAATCAGACCTTCTCTGTACCCCTCAAAACTCAAGTCTGTCAATGCAGAACCATATGTCTAATACCCCTACTTGGTGTTAGGAATGGCTACTGCTACAGAAACCAGAATAGCCAATCTATCTACTTCATTAACCTATTACCACACACTCTCAAAGGATTTCTCAGACAGTTTGCAAGAAATAACAAAATCTATCCTTACTGAACAATCCCAAATAGACTCTTTGTCAGCAGTGACTCTCCAAAACCGCCAAGGCCCAGACCTCCTCATTGCTGAGCAAGGAGGACTCTGCACCTTCTTAGGGGAAGAGTGTTGTTTTTACACTAACCAGTAAGGGATAGTACGAGATGTCATCTGGCATTTACAGGAAAAGGCTTCTGAAATCAGACAAAGCCTTTCAAACTGTTATACCAACCTCTGGAATTGGGCAACATGGCTTCTCCCCTTTCTAGGTTCTGTGGCACCCATGTTGCTGTTACTTGCCTCTGGGCCCTGTATGTTTAACCTTCTTGTCAAATTTGTTTCCTATAGAATCAAGGCCATCAAGCTTCAGATGATCTTACAAATGGAACCCCAAATGAGTTCAACTAACAACTTCTACTGAGGACGCCTGGACTGACCCACTAGCCCTTCCACTGGCCTAAAGAGTTCCCCTCTGGAGGACACTACAACTGCAGGGCCCCTTCTTCAAAACTATCCAGCAGGAATGAGCTAAAGCAGTCATCAGCCAAATTCCAAATAGCAGTTGGGGTGTCCTGTTTAGAGGGGGGATTGAGAGGTGAAGCTGCTTGGGTTTCTGGTTTGGGTAGGGACTTGGAGAACTTTTATGTGTGGCTAAAGGATTATAAATGCACCAATTAACACTCTGTGTCTAGCTAAAGTTTTGTAAATACACCAATCAGTGTTCTGTGTCTAGCTAATTGGGTAGGGGACTTGGAGAAATTTTCGGTCTAGCTAAAGGATTGTAAATGCATGAATCAGCGCTCTGTGTCCAGCTAAAGGTTTGTAAATGCACCAATCAGCACTTGGTAAAAATGGACCAATCAGCACCCTTTAAAATGGACCAATCAGCACTCTGTAAAATGGACCAATCAGCAGGATGTGGGTGGGGCCAAATAAGGGAATAAAAGCAGGCCACCAGAGCCAGCAGCAGCAACCTGCTCAGTTCCCCTTCCATGTTGTGGAAGCTTTGTTCTTTCACCCTTCGCAATAAATCTTGCTGCTGCTCTCTCTTTGGGTCAACGCCACCTTTGTGGGCTGTAACAGTGAGAAGGTCTGCAGCTTCACTCCTGAAGTCAGTGAGACCACAAACCCACCAGGAGGAACAAACAACTCCGGACATGCCACCATTATGAACTGCAGCACTCACTGTAAAGGTATGCAGCTTCACTCCTGAAGTAAGCAAGACTATGAACCCAACAGAAGGAAAAAACTCTGGATACATCTGAACATCAGAAGGAACAAGCTCTGGACACACCATCTATAAGAACTGTAACACTCACTGCAAGGGTCTGCAGCTTCATTCTTGAAGTCAGCAAGACCAAGACCCCACCAAATCCAGACCCAAGAGGACCAGTGCAACTAAGGTAGAAGAAATACTCGGGACATTCAGCTTTTTCTCTACTTGCCATTCTCTTTAGAAAGAGTGTTTTGGGTCTCTGTCTTTTGTCTGGGGATGCCTAGAACAAAAACAGACACCCTCAGTTTCTTCTAACCAGCTCACACAGGTGGCAAACCATCCCATATCCCTATATCCTCTCCACTGGGCTGTCTCCTTCACCCCCTCACCAAACTTGGCTTACATGTTTAGATTTTTATTGCAACACAGCCTGGCCCCAATACAGCTTAGATAATGACAGCCAATAGCCTGAAAATTGCACCTTTAACTTTCAAATTCTCAGGAATCTTGACAACTTCATAACCAGAAATGATAAGCAGCAAGACACTCTCTATATTCAGGCTTTCTTCTACTTTTGCCTTAAATCCCAACCCTCCTTCTGTTATCTTGTACCCCTTGTGAAATCCTTCTTCTTAATAAAAACCCTCCTTGAATCTCTCCTTTCTCCAAAACTCTTATCCTCATCCCCCTGCGTCCACTTCTGGCACATCTGAACCCTCAGCCTCTGTGGCCCCTACTGTCCCCAAGCTTTCAGCCCAAACCCCACTCCTCCTTCTCCATCTGTTACCCATTCAAAAACCACCTCTGCCATTCTCCCTCTCCAGGAATTGGCTAGGGTTGAAGACATTGCTTATGTTCACTTCCTTACTCTATGATTTGTCACAAATCAAACAGCATCTGGGATGTTTCTCTGAAAATTCCTCTCATTATCACAGGGAATTCCTACACATAACCCAATCTTTAACTTAACTTATCATGACATTTATATAATTCTAACATTCATCCTCACCCCTGATGAAGAGCACTCAGCTAAATTGAAATGGATATCCAAGCTATGAATATATTCAACAGGCTTTTATGTATTTCTCATCATAAATCTTGTTTTCCTGGAAAAGTTTTTTCCCAAGTGAACTGAATTACTTGTCTCCACTCTTGCCATGCTTCACGCAGGTATGAGAGACTCTAAAATGACTTATAGTGGCCTGGGACTCCTTGAGAAAACAGAAAAGTGCCACAAATCCCATTTGGGGAAAAATCTCTTTTTTCCTTATGGAACCCCTGTAATTAGAAGTGAATAAGTACCTCTCAAAATCTGTCTTTGTCTTTCACTTATACTTGCTTATTAGATCATAGAGACTGTTTTCCTAGCCCTATTCTTTAATAAGTCCAATAACCTAATTGGTAAATTAGAAGGAAAAAAAAATCTTATAACTACTGGGTCTTCTTCTGTTTTTCCTTGTGTGTGTGTGTGTTAGTGTGTGTGTGTGACTATATATGTGTTATATGTGCAATGTCTATTAAAAGAACTCTAATTAAGTGGCCTAAAAAATAAGTACTTAATTTTTTTAAGGGAAAAAGTAAAAACTGTGGAACATTCTGTTTGTGTGACTTTAATTTTTAAAACTTACTGGTACAGTAAGATTAGAAATGTCTTAAGAGTTGCCAGCATACATTTTTGCTTGCATTTATTAATCAAGCAATTTCATACTTATCACTGCAAAATACTATAAGGTTTCAAAATTTGGTATAGAGGCTGCAAAACTATAACTCAGCACAAACAGAATAATCTTTGCTTGTGTAATTTTTTAATAAATGAAACATTAATATTGGTTTAATAAATATAGCTACATCTTGAACTATTTAGTGAAATACCTAACTTCTAATCTTGTTAAAAGTTTTTATAAAACTTTTTATAACATTTTATAAAAGGGACTTTATGCAAGAAATGTTGAATAATTTAAAAGTGACTAGGCCTCCTGAATGCTTTTAGCTGTATATCTTCCTTGCTTTGCAGCTAGGTAAGACCTAGGACACATGGAGTTAAATGGTGGAATAAGCCACACCTTATCTGCACTTCCTTCTACATCCTAGGCTCTACACCTAGTACATAATTAAAATCCCAAACTTACTAACAAAAGTAAAGTCTGCTAAAAATGAACATTGTAACATGTGTTTAAGACTATTGAAAATACAGTTTATATATACTTTTGGTAGAAAGATTATAAGGAGGCATAAGAATGTGGATTTTTACCTACATTAAAAGGTTAAAGAATTGTTTTGAAGGTTTAAACAAGTTTTGGAAGCTTAATTGTAAAGGAACTTCTGTGTGTAAACACATAAGCTCTCTCACCAATAAATACTCTTAGTTTGTAAGAGTGAGTGATCCTGACTAAAATCAGCAAGAAGCCCCTATCTGGCTTATTCTTCAAAATAAACCTGCCTAGAGTGCAGTGGCATGATCTCGGCTTACTAAAACCTCTGCATCCCAGGTTCAAGGGATTCTCCTGCCTCAGCCTCCTGACTAGCTGGGATTATGGCCTCCCATCACCACTCTCAGCCAATTTTTTTTTTTTTTTTTTTTTTTTTTTTTGAGACGTAGTCTTGCTCTGTCACCCAGGCTGGAGTGCAGTGGTGCAATCTCGGCTCACTGAAACCTCCACTTCCCAGATTCACACCATTCTCTTGCCTCAGCCTCCCAAGTAGCTGGGACTACAGGCAACCGCCACCATGCCCAGCAATTTTTTTTGTATTTTTAGTAGAGATAGGGTTTCACCATATTAGCCTGGATGGTTTCAAATTCCTGACCTCAGGATCTGCCTCCGTTGGCCTCCCAAAGTGCTGAGATTACAGGAGTAATCCCAGGTAGCTCACTCCTGTAATCCTCTTTCTTTAACTCTTTCTTTAACTCTTTCAACCTTAAGGTAACTTTCTGAAGTCATGGAAATGTTCTACATTTTAAATAAAATGTTGGTTATTTGAGAGTAAGCATTTATCAAAACTCATCAAATTGTACACTTAACATTGTGCATTTCATAGCACATAAATTTTACTATATTTGTAGACAAAAAATTGAGATGTGAGGAAAACAAAATAAACTAGTTTGTCGTATAAAATAATTTTCTCAAATTCATAAAAGCTAATTATCTCATTGAAGTTATTCACTATATATTTTAAGAATAAAGAACAAAATCTACTGACATTTTGTTTGAAAATCTCTTTTTTTATACTTGGATAGTTATTTTATTCAAAAATATAAGGCTTCGCATGTTTACAGAGTAACAAGCACAGCTGGATGTTACTACGTTGCAGTTTTTTTCCTCCTAGATGGCTAGCCAAACTCTCCAAAAGAGACTCTGTACATTTATTTAAATAAATATGCATCTTTATGGAACTATATATGTGTGTGTATATATATATATATTTAATTATACTTTAAGTTCTGGGTTACACGTGCAGAACGTGCAGGTTTGTTACATAGGTAAACACGTGCCATGGTGGTTTGCTGCACCTGTCAACCCCTCACCTACATTAGGTATTTCTCCTAATATTATCCCTCCAAGCCCCACACGCCCCAACGGGCCCTGGTGTGTGATGCTCCCCTCCCTGTGTCCATGTGTTCTCATTGTTCAACTCCCACTTATGAGCGAGAACATGTAGGCCAAGATGCATGGATCACAAGGTCAGGAGATTGAGACCATCATGGCTAACACGGTGAAACCCCGTCTCTACTAAATAAAATACAAAAAAATTAGCCAGAAGTGGTGGTGGGTGCCTGTAGACCCAGCTACTTGGGAGGCTGAGGAAGGAGAATGGCATGAACCCAGGAGGCAGAGCTTGCAGTGAGCCGACATAGTGTCACTGCACTCCAGCCTGTTGGACAGAGCCAGACTCCATCTCAAAAAAAAAAAAAAAAAAAAAAAAAATCTTGTAGCCTCCAGCTGCATAACTCTTAAGTTATAAGTTCTATTATTTTGGCTACTTTGTTACTCCTGCAAAGGCAGTCTAGTCCCCAGGCAGCAAAGAGGTTTGTTTGGGAAAAGAGCTTTTATTGTCTTTGTTTCACAGTTAAACTGTAAACTAAATGTCTCCCACGGTGAGTTCAGCCTATGCCTGGGAATGAACAAGGACAGCTTGGAGTTTAGAGGCAAGATGGATTTGGTTAGGTCAGATCTCTCACTGTCATAATTGTCTGTTATCATTTTTGCAAAGGCAGTTTTAGGTCCTCAGCCATAAACCTGTGATGGGTAGAAAAAAAAGATACATTTTTCTTCCTGAAAGAAGATCCTCAAAAAGTTAACAATAGAATAACCATGGAACCCTGCAATTCGTCTTACATGTATTTAAGGGGAGTAAAAGCAAGATCTGCTTTTTACGCATCAGAAGTTTCATGGTTGAAACTCCTGTGACAAATGACAGATTAAGAAGAGAAAAGCATATACATTTACTTAACATAAGCTTATAGACATGAGAACCTTCAGAAATAAGATCTGAAGACCCAGGATAAACTGTATGTTTATAAAGAGTAATCATGAAGTATAATTGGAGGACAAGAGAGTATGATCTAATGGTAAGGAAGGTTAAGGTTAGTGTTAGGGTAACTTTAACAAGACCTTCATATTCAGATTCCTCTTGGCCTCTAGCAAGGGGACAGCACCCTGTGAAATAAAAGTCTTGTGCCTTATTTTCAGGGAGAGAAAGAGGGAGACATTCACAGAGTAACCTTCTTGCTTTTTGTGTTTTTTTCAATTTCTTTCACCTCAAAACACTCAGTATGCCAAGGTGTCATATTTGGGGCTTTCAGTTTCTGAACCCTGACAGTATATACCCAAAAATTGAAAGTGGAGTCCCAAAATATATATCGACACCAATGTCCACAGCAGCATTACTCACAATTGCCAGGAGATGGAATTAACCCATGGGCATTAGCCGATAAATGGACAAACAAATGTAGTATGTATATGTATTATTTTGTTCTCATGCTGCTAATGAACACATACCAAGACTGGTTAATTTATAAAGGAAAGAGGCTTGATGAACTCAGTTTCATCTAGCTGGTGAGGCTTTAAAATCATGGTGGAAGGCAAGTAGGAGCAAAGTCAAGACTTACATGGCAGCAGGCAAGAGAGAGCTTGTGGAGGGGAACTCCCGTTTATAAACCATCAGATCTCATGAGACTTATTCACTACGACGAGAACAGTATGGGAGAAACTTCCCCCATGATTCTATTATCTCTACCTGGCCCCACCCTTGATATGTAGAGATTATTATAATTCTAGGTGAGATGGGGGTTGGGGGAACAGCCAAACCATATCAGTACATAAAATACAGTCCTATTCAGCTTTTAAAATGAAAGAAATTGTGACACATAATACTACATGGATGAACCTTGAAAACATGCTTAGTGAAATGAGCCTTTCACAAAAGAACTAATTTTATATAATTCCACTTCTGTGAGGTACTTGGAGTATCTGACCTTACATAGAGAGAAAGTAGAATTGTGGTTGCCACGGGCTGGGCAAGAGGTTAATGCAGAATTGCTGTTTCTGGGTACAGAGCTTGGTATGATTTAAAAGTTTTGGAGATGGAGGATGGCAATGGCTGTACAAAACAGGAATGCATTTATTGCCATTGAATTGGATATGTAAAAGTGGTTAAAGTTATCTATTTCATGTTTATATATTTTATCACAATAAAAAAAGAAACAGGAAATTTCACATTATAGTAAGTGGTCTGATTGACTTCAGCCTCTTATGTGAAAACCAAAATAAAGTATCATAGTACCACACCAAAACTCAAGTCACTCTCTCTCTCTCTCTCTCTCTGTTTCTATTTCTGTATTTGCATTTATCCAGGCCCTTGTTGATATTTGAACTTAATAATTCAATCACAGACTGAATTATTTTCCTCTTCATTTTTTATCTTTCCTGTTTTTCATGTTGGAAATGTTTTAAAGCAATCTTAACAACAACAACAAAAAAGTTGGGTAATAAAGTGGCCGGAAATGAAAAGAAGAGAACCTGAATATTCAGGCATACAATATAATGTTCTAACACCTGAAGAAAACATCATTTCTATAATTGTGTTGAACAAAATTTCTAGAGAATGAAAAATAAAATTTTAGAAGAGTAGGAATTAAACATCTTATAGTGCCCTTGTCTCTCACATGGAGAAAATGATAGATTCTGTTTCATAGGTATGATAGTAAAAGAACACAGGATAAATGCATAACATGTATCATAAGTGTTTAATATATAATACAAACATCATATAAATTAATGATAAGAGACTCTCTTTGTGAGGGTGCATAAGAGACTCAGTCCAAATAAAAAAAACAAATTATAAAATAAAATAACAAAACAGTACAAACTTCCAGATGCACTTCAGTGGGTAAAGGGATCCATAAACTGGTACATTTATGCCATTGAATACTGCTCATTAATTAAAGGAATGAACTTTTTTTGTCTGTGTGAGATCCTGGTCCTGGTCTGAAACTCCTGGACTCAAGTGATCCTCTCTCCTTGGCCTACCAAAGTGCCAGATTACAGATGTGAGCCAACATGCCTAGCCAAGAATGAAGTATTGATCTACACAAAACCTGGATGAGTTGAAAAGAATTTTCTAGGTGGAAAATGTCAGTAACCAAAGGTGACAGACTGTAAGAATTCATTTATATAAAATTATTAAAATGACAAATTATAGACATGGATGACAGTTGAAAGATTATCAGTAGTTAAGTAGTGATGGGTGTAGAAGGGTGACAGACTGTCTACAAATGGGGACATAGTGGGTTCTTGCGGTCATGGAAAGGTTCTATATCTTGATGGTATCAGCATCAATATTCTAATCCTAATTGTCTTAGTCAATTCAGGCTGCTGTAACTAATGATCACAGACGTGGTATGGCTGTGTCCACACCCAAATCTCAGCTTGAATAGTAATAATCCCCATGTATCAAGGGTGAGCCCAGGTGGAAATAATTGAATGATGCAGGTGGTTTTCCCCATACTGTTCTTGTGGTAGTGAATATATCTCATGAGATCTGATGATTTTATAAATGGGAGTTCTCCTGACCAGATCCTCTTGCCTGCCACCATGTAAGACATGACTTTGCTCCTCATTTGCCTTTCACGATGATTGTGACACCTACCCAGCCATGTGGAACTGTGAGTCCATTAAAACTCTTTCCTTTATAAATTACCCAGTCTCTGGTAATTTATAACATCATGAGAGCAGACTAATACAATCAACAGCCAGGTAGCTTACACACAAAATAAATTTATTTCTCACAGTTTTGGAAGCTGGAAGGCCAAGGTCAAGGCACCAGCACAGTTAATTAGGTTATGGAGAGGGCCCCCTTCTGGGTCATGGACAGTTGCCTTTTCAGTCCTATCATAGCAGAAGGGAGAAAGCAAGCCCCCCAAGGACACTTGTGAGGGCACAAATCCCATTCAGGAGGGCTCCAGCCTTACCATATTCCAGCCTCACCACCTTAACTAATATGTATGACCTCCCAAAGACCCCAATACCTAATACCATCACATTATTAGGTAAATCTTCAACATCTAAATCTTGGGAAGACAAAAGCATGCAGTCTACCAATGAGATTATAGTTTATCTTTGTAAGAAGTTACCATTGCAGTGAAGTGAAGAAAAATGTACGTACAATCTCCCTGTATGTTTCTTACAACTGCATGAGAATCCACCATTATTTCAAAATAAAGTGATTAACTTTAACTAATTACAAGTCAGACAACTAACTAGACAGATGCTGTGCTATCATAGAAAGGGAGATGAGGCATTTGGGAGAGCATCAGCCCATACAACACAATTTGTCAAACAAAAAAGCAAAGCCCATTGAACAGAACAAAAACAAAATAAAACATGGCAGAATCAAGACCAAAATGGACCTTAACAAGGAAATGTAAATGCAGTCATCTCACTAATTGCAAAGCAAGACTATCAGATGTGAATTTAAAATGTATGTGTATAAAAATAAACATAACATTTTTAAATTACTCAAATTTGAAAATAAAAATAGATGTCCATATATATCTGTATATAATATATACCTCCTCATATATAAACTATACCTACATTATAAAACTAAAAATTTACATTATTTTTCAATGCCAATGAAATACTTATAGTAAAGGCTGTGGGGTAGAATTTGTATAGATTATATTTTCTGACCATAATATGATAGAGCTCAAAAGGAATTAAAAGGGAATTTTTTTAAACTCACATAGGAACTACAGAGAAAAACCTACTGGAGCAAAAAAATAAGTGCAGCCTGCTATTTTGAGAAAGAAAACAATATAATATTAGAATAGGATAAGACAAATTTCAGATATATCATTGCAAATGTACTTGGAGGAAAATTATAGGTTCAAAAATGTTGCTTGATCAAAAAGAGTAAAATAAAATATTTTCTGAGGATTTTAGAAACAAAAATATAAAAATGGCTTCAAAGAAAATTAATAAAATAAGGTCAAAAATATATGTTATATAGGAAAACAGGCTTTTATATTAATTCAGTTTTCTTTCTGAAAATAAACCAATAAACATTAAAACATGCATATGAATAAATTATCATAGGAAACAAAACACACTCATAACTGAGCTCACTCCTCTAGAAGCTAGATTTTTCATCAAAAATAATGATAATAATAATTGTGCAGACACAGTTTAGGAGTCAGGAAAATTAAATATTTGTTGAGAGAAAATGTTACAAGTGTATTTTCTGAAAATCTTAAAAATAGATAGGATACATGTTTATTCCTGTCATGATTCATAGTAAATGTTCTTATTGCTCAGTAAGTACCATCAGTTACAAGTTGCATTAATTGTAGGAAAGATGTGGTGGCTCACAACTGTAATCCCAATACTTTTTGGAACCCAAGGCCAGTGAATCACTTGAACCTAGATGTTTGAGACCAGCCTGGACAACATAGTGAGACTCTGTCTCTACCAAAAAAAAAAAAAATTAGCTGGACCTGGTGGCAGGCATCTGTGGTCCCAGGCTACTAGAGATGCTGAGGTGAGAGGATCTCTTGAGCCCAGGAAGCAGAGGTTGCAGTGAGTGGAGATGGCACCACTGCACTCCAGCCTGGGTAACAGAGCCAGACCCTGTCTCAAAAAAATACCAAATAAAAGTAGAAGTTGCATTAATTCTGTACAATTCCAAGCATTATAAAAGTCAATTACTACATGTCATATTTAGATTTTAGTATGGCACATCAATACAATAAAATAATACAATCGGAGAACAATATGAAATATAATTCTGTAACTACATGCAAATTTCAATAATCATTAAAAAGAAAAAAGTAAATTTCAGGGTTTCCATATAATATTCCATTTATTTATTTATTTTTATATTTTATTTTAATTAATTAATTAATTTTTTGAGACGAAGTTTTGATCTTGTTGCCTAGGTTGGAATGGAATGGTGCGATCTCAGCTCACTGCAACCTCTACCTCCTGGATTCAAGTGATTCTCTTGCCTCAGCCTCCTGTGTAGCAGTCTTTACAGGCATGCACCACCATGCCCAGCTAATTTTGTATTTTTAGTACAGCCAGTATTTCCCCATATTGGTCAGGCTGCTCTCGACCTCCTGACCTCAGTTGATCTGCCCACCTCGGCCTCCCAAAGTGCTGGGATTACAGGTGTGAGCCACCACACTCAGCACATAATATTCCATTTATTAACTTGGTTTCCTAACACTTTTAGAAGTATTCTACACTACTTCTGCACCAACATAATGTGATATGTTTATGTTTTTACTACTAATAACTATGTTTGTTTTCATTATATTTAAAAAACTAATACATATTGCTCAGCTATGTGTTTTTATAGGAATGCACAAATTTGGAAATGGAAGTCTTAAGCCTATAGAGTTTTTTCTGAAGGCAGAAACTATTGGATGATATGTTTTGCATATGGCTTTTACTTTAAGAGTATTAATATTCTTGGAATATTTAATGATAAATCTTTGAATCTTGAGTTTCTGCTTTTTAGGAACAAGGTCACCCTGGAGAAACTATGCAAAAGCTCAAACCTGACTTTTTGAATACTCACCCAAGTGGCTAATGAACACAGGGATAAAAATCAATGAGTTTTATTTCTCTCCAGCTCAAATCTCTGTGGTTCTCAGAACACTGCTTTCACTTTCTGAGTTTACTTTCTAAATATTTCAAGTAAGAACAAAGATATTACCACCATCTACTCTATGCAGCTATTGTGACAAGAAACACAGTAATGGTTATAATGATGGACACAGTGTGCATAAATCACTTTCCAGAGTCCCTGGCACTTAAGCACCACTCAGTGAATTTAAACATGTCTTCTAACAGTTGTCCTTGGTATTACTATAATTAATGACAACAATATTATTGTTATTAGTGGTGCCATTATTATTACTATTGCTATCACTAATAGTATTAGCAGCAACATCCTAATCTATTAGTGCTGTGGTTGGCATTGTTTCTCTTGTAGAAATCTGGAGAGAAGGCTGGCAAGTCTAATTTCTCTGCAGCATCCTATCTGTGTGTGGGGAGGGAGGTGGGTGGATAAGGGAAGGGGTTATGTGGTGCTGTTTTTTAGCATCAATACTCTCTTTGAAGGGCAGATGAAAGTTTTCCAAAAAGCCATGAGTCGTCTGTGATTTGACACTGTGTAAAAAAGCCCAAAGTGCCTAAAAATCCTCATGTATGTGGATGCACCTTTTTGACTCAGAATTCTCTAAGCCTATGACATCTCTGATTCAAATATTATTCAAAATGCTTTTTTCCAGAACCTAGGACAGTAGTTACATTTTGTTTTCTCATATATCTGAGAAAAGGCAGCTCTCTACTACTTCTGATATTACCGCAAATCCTGCTTACTATTCTGTGCACCCACAATACCGCCTCTGCTTGCTTCCAGAATATGGCTGATGGAACCAGGAAGCAGTTCAGAACTAGCATGAATGCATCTGAAATGAGCTGCCTTTTGACAAAGAAAGAGGTTTCAATTTTCTTAAGGCCATTTTTACAGCCCTTAAGGAATAATTTTCAGAATACCATTCATCTTACTTTTTAGAATTTTCAACGTATTGAGTTGGTGATACATTTCATGGAAATAGACATTCTTCTCTAATTGGATGTTTAGAAATCATCACCACTCCCAATGATTTCTTAGTCCAGAAATCTTGGCTTTTTCCATGATCTGATATTCGTTGTAATATTCACCCAATGTTAGATTTTTTTCAAATTTCTGCAATAATTATATCATTTCTTCTCCCAAGGGGGAAGAAACTGCCTGTCTAAAGTCTTTTGGAAGGGAAGGGCTAAAACTTGGATATAATTGTACATATTATACAACAATGCAGGCCATGTGCCACCATGGAGATGGGTGTAAAAGTAGCATTTTGGTTTCCCACAGGAATACAATTCCATTATTAAGGTGTGAGAAACCATGCAGAACAAATGATAAGACCCTCCCCACCTTTTCTTCAACAAACAAATGGAAAGAAAAATGAAGGAAGGCCAGTACAGTGGCTCATACTTGCAATCCCCGCACTTCCTTGGGAGGCTGACGAAGGAAGATCACTTGGGCCCAGCACACAGGCCGGAGCCACAGAGTGAGACCCTCATCTCTACAAAAAATTTAAAACTTAGACAGATGTGGTGGTGCACACCTGTGGTCCCAGCTACTCAGGAGACTGAGGCAAGAGGATTACTGGAGGCCAAATCAGGGTTGCAGTGAGCCATGGTTGTGCCTCTGCACTCCAGCCTGGGCAAGACAGGGAGACCCTGCCTAAAAAAATATAAAAGAGGGAACTATCCCTCAATACCCCATGTGGAACTTGTCTGTAGAGAAGTCTCCCTTTATCCACAGTTTCTCTTTCTCTGGTTTTCAGTTACCACATCAACCAGGGTCCAAAAATATTAAATGGAAATAAATAGTTCATCAGTTTTAAATAGTGCACTATTCTTAGAGGTGTGAAGAAATCTCTAGCTTTCACTCTGTCTTTCCCATGTTGGGAATCCTGCCATGTCCAGCAACTCCATGGCGTCTATGCATTCCCTCTATTACTCACTTGATAGCCACCTCAGTGATTACATTAACTATCACAGAATTGCAGCGCTTGTGTTCAAGTCACCTATGAGTCACTGAATAGTGGCCCCAAAGTACAAGAGTAGTGATGCTGACATATTGTTGTAATTGACTACCAAGTAAATTATTATTAGTTTTTGTTGTTAAGTACCTTATTTATGAATTAAAATTTATCATTGCCCAGTGCCATGGCTCATGGCTGTAATCTCAGCACTTTGGGATGCTGAAGCAGGAGGATTGTTTGAGCACAGGGGTTAAAGACCACTCTGGGCAACATAGCATAACCTTCTCTCTACAAAAAAAAAAAAAAAAAAAAAAAGTCAAAAAAATTAGCTGGATATGGTGGTGCACAACTGTAGTCCCAGCTAATTGAGAGGCTGAAGTTGGAGTATCCCTTGAGCCCAGGAATTCAAGGACAGCCTAGGCAATATAGCAAGACCCCTGTCTCTAGAATAAATTTAAAAAAATTAGCCAAGCATGGTGCTGTGTGCTGCAGTTTCAGCTACTCAGGAAACCAAGGCAGGAGATCACTTGAGCCCAAGAATACGAGGCTGCAGTGAGCCATGATCACACCACTGCACTCCAGCCTAGACAACAGAGTGAGATCCCATCTCAAAATCAAACAAAACTTATCAAAGAAAAGTAATACCATATATAGGGTTTGGTTCTCTATAGAGCTACTTTGAGATAGGTAATTTCATCCTAGAAAAAGATTCCATCTTACATTTCATAGGGTACCTTGCCAACGGGGACAAGATGTCTTATCAGATCAATAAAGACTGCACCCAAGAAGATAAGGACATAAGCAAGCACACTCTTCCATTGTCATTCATCACCTGAGGACTCTGTGGCAGGATTTCAGTAGCATAAAATAGCCATCCTCACTTGTAATAAGCATCCACCGTCTGCCACTAAAGCATCTACCCATGTTAAAGATGCATCCTTGCAAGATCAATGAACCTCCTGGTCTCTTTTTGTTCTTGTTACTCTCCCTGGACTAACCCTTTATTGTGTCCCTTTTCTGCTGAAGTTAAATGTTGCTTTGTTTGTTGTGGAATGCTTAATCTATAACATTTATATATTGGTTAAGTATACTATTATGTATGGTTTGCAATATTGACTGACTTGTGGAGTGGCTTGAGCCTGTGTGCCCAAGACTCTGACTACCAAGTCAATGGGAAGAACTAGAATTGTCCCCTTGGGAACTTCATGTAGCTCATGGCTTTCATTATTGAAATAGCATCAGTAAAATTCTGAACTTGTAGAAAGACACAAATATGCATGAACCTGGCTATCTCTGACCTTGCACCACTCACACTAGGTGCTATATGAACTTCCAGGCATCCACTCAAGGTCTTTTACATAACTCTCATGGACAAGGGAGTACTCCTATTTTGAGATTCAAACAATTAATTAAAATGGATTTGAAGCAATTGAGCATATATGAACCCAGCCTTAATTGATGATATTAATATTTGATAATATTAAGGAAACACTGTTAAATTTTAAAGCACGATTATGCTGTTATTGTTGTGTTAAAAAGAAGTCCTTGCATTTAGACAAGTAACACATTATTTTGAATGAGGTTATATACTATGTCTTTTATAAATAACATATAAAGTGGTGATTGTTTACCCAGACCGAAACAAGGGTTGGGCTGCTTATTCTCATGGCCCAATAACAAGATGCAGATGAACTTGAAAAGAAGAAAGTTTATTTCTGTAACTGAGTACTGGGAGAAGACTGGGAAAATATTGCCAGACCAACTAAAAATTACAGTTTTCCAGAGCTATACCTTCCAAGCTATATGTCTATGTCTAAGTGTACATTCATCTAAAGACATAAGTGATTAATTCTTTTAATCTCTAACTAAGGGCTGAGTCCTGAAGACCCTCTAGAGCTTCAGTAAATTTACTTAATCTAAATGGGTCTAGGTGCTGGAGTGATTACCCTTTTCTTTTCTCCAGCTAAATCATGGAGGTTTGGGGCATTCCTCTAGACCCCCAGTAAAACTTGTTTAAGGAGGTCTGGAGAGTTTCTTCAGACCTCCAGTAAAACTTGTTTAATCATAAATGGGTCCTGTTAAGAATTCCTTCATTATCTTGTAATGCTTCAAGGCCCAGGAGAGGCCTGGGCAAAACTCTTGGTGAGCTTTTGTTACATTCCAGCCTTTGTATGAGGACATCGGTTCTATCATCTTTTAATATTGAACTTCACCACTCAGTCAGTGCTGAGACAGTTGTAATGGAACCCTGCATGTTCAGCTGTTAGTGAGTCCTGGCCTGCCATAGTTGTGCGACTCATGATTGCCCATCTATGGATAACTGCTGAAGCTAGTTACTATGTTTGTGGGACTTCATTATAATACACTATTATATATACAATATGTGTGTGTGTGTGTATGTATATATGTGTGTACATATATGTGAACATTTTTAAAATACATATGTATTTGAGCTTTTTTATTTACAAAGCAAAGCAAGTCATTTTCACCAGATGGAATAACTTCTGACATCCAGTAAAAATACATCTTGATGACATATATGATAAAAAACAATCTTTCGTAAATTATTAGCAAATTTAAATGATTAAAAAAACTGTGGGAAGTGAAGAAGTAGAAAGCTTCTATTTTGTGCAGTAATTCTAAGCTGGGACCCAGGCATCATCCGTCATCTGGTCTACCATTTTTATATGGTTTTTCTCCTCATGTTCACATAAGACCCACTCCACCACCAGCCATCCCAACTGCATTCAGAGCAGGAAACAGGAAAATCTGAATGGGAATTTTCACTGCAAGAGGTTATTGCTTATGTTCATTGACCAGATATGAGGCACAGACATGACTTTGCACCTCACTACAAAGTTAGCTGGGAAATCAAGCACCTTGGTGGTGTTGCCCTGTAGTGTGAGAAGACAAAGGGAAGTAAATTTGCTCGGGCATTGCAGGAGATAATGTACAATATCTGCTACAATAATTCTATTTCTCCACCCAGTAAATAGTTGAGGAAGATAAGAGCCATGCATTTCAGGTCAATGAAATACTAGCACAAAATGTGTAATATGGGACATTTTGGTCTGTTCTTTTCCCTGACATAATGCAAGTATGATGGAAATATTAATGAAGCCAGGTAAATTAAAGAAAATGACAAAGCAAGGAAATGGAAAAACCTTGAAAGCTCAAGGCCATCGCACACCTATTGTTTTGCTAGACATCTGTGAATATGGATCCATGAGCTTATTGTATGAAGATGATCTTTACGTATGCTGAGAATGCTATTATTTTTATTAAGGTTATCATTATTATTAAAAGTAGTTGGTGCAATTGGAATGAATGCCTGTGCCCACTCAAAAATTCCTATTTTGAAATCTTCACCTCCAAAGTGATGGTGTTAAGAGGTGGGGCCTTTGGGAGGTGAGGAGGTCATGAGGGTGGAGTCCTCATGGATGGGATTAGTGTCCTAATGAAAGGGAGCCCAGTGAGCTCCCTCACCCCTTCCACTATGTGAGGATACACAGAGAACTTCAGTGCTGTCTCTCAACCAGGAAGGAGAACTTCACCAGACACAAAAATATGCCACACTTTGATTTTGGACTGCCAACCTTTAGAATAATTAGCAATAAATGCCCATTGTTTGTAAACTGCTTAGTCTATAAAACTTAGATATAGCATCATGAATGTACTGCAACATTTCAGCTTTCTGTTGTCACTATTCAAGTCACTTTTAATTCGTGTTTCTGTTGCTTGAAACCAAAACAAACATCACTCAGGTATTGACATCACTCATCTTTTCTCAGGGTTCAAGCAGCCAAAAATGGAAGACAAGATAGCAGCTGAGGGTAGACATACATCTGGACTGGAGCATGGATACCTGCCAATCATCTAAATCATACTGTAGGGCCCATTTCACTTTTCCTAAGGTCCTAAAATTATGGAGCTACTAAAATATTAAGGAAAAGATACCTAAAACTATGAGACATTTAAATAAGGCATAAAATCATGATGCTCCTATAATCTTTAGGAAAGAGCAGTCAGAAATGAGTAGCATTTAAAATTGCTTCTTTATATCATTTCCATTTCTTTTTAAAAAAGATTATACTTTTGCTCAATACTAAAAAATGTGTAATGCAGCTTGGTATAGTGGCTCCACTTTGGGAGGCTGAGGTGGGCTGATTGCTTGAACCCAGGAGTTTGAAACCAGCTTGGGCAACATGGCAGAGCTCATCTCCAAAAAAAGTAAAAATTTAGCCAGCCATGGTGGTGGTACATGCTTGTGGTCCCAGCTACTCAAGATGCTGAGGTGGGAGGATCCCTTGAGCCCAGGAGGTTGAGGCTGCAGTGAACCATGGTCAAGTCACTGTACTCCAGCCTAAGCAACAGAGCAAGAACTTACCTCAGGTAGGTAGGTAGGTAGGTAGGTAGATAGATAGATAGATAGATAGATAGATAGATAGATAGATAGATAGATATGCTGCAGGTATGTTTTTATACCTTCATTTGAGAGAAATAGGACTTTAAAAACAATACAAATTATAAGTCAAATGCAGATTCACATATCATTCATCAATACATATGGCTTTCCTAGAATTTTCCTGTATTTTAGATACTCTACCTGGTTAAATGTTGCTCCCCTACAAGTAGAAAAATAATGTCTAGTTGTTACTTTAAAAGTCCTGGCAGCCAGATCAGGTGGCACAGGGCTAGAACGCCATCTACTTGGAAGCTGAGACTGAAGGATCACTTGAGGTCAGGTATTTGGAACCAGCCTGGGCAACAGAGCAAGACTGTCTCTAAAAAAATAAAAAGTTAGGCAGGCCTGGTGGCATGATTTTCTAGTCTTAGCTACTCAGGAGGCTAAGGCAGGATGATAGGTTGAGCCCAGCAGATGGAGGCTGCAGTGAGCTGTCATTGCACCACTGCACTCCTGCCTGGGCAGCACAGCAAGACCATGTCCCTGAAAACAATAAATAAATAACCAAGAACAAGTAACTTACACAGATTAAATTCTAATAGCTTTAAGGAGTTAATTTTGTTTATAATAGTTAATTAATTAGTTGCATATCTAAATTTAAATTATATTTATATAGCCTATACTAAGTAAGATATAGTAACACTGTTAATCACAGGCACATTTTATAAGACAATTATAGATAATCTGTTCATAATATCTGCAATATCCCTGTCTTCTCTAGAAAGCTTCTTTCAAATATCTCATGGTGTTTTCTTGGGTGAATTATCTTCATGTCCTTCTAACTTGTTTGACTTTAGTCACTTTATTAATTGGTGCCTAATATTGTCACCCGAAATGACAAATGACTATTCACATAGGATTAGCGTGATAATCTTCTCCATTCATCCTGCAGGTATGTAGTGATGAGTTTTTTCACCATCAGCTTGATCTCTAAAGACTTGCCAACAAAGACTTCTCACTTAGATTTAAGTCTTACTCCCAGCAATTAATGCTGAATCTACATTCAATGTTTTGCTTCCTTTTCTTTGAACATTCCTCTTTCCTAATAATTTTTACTAACAGAGAGCATTGGAATCCATAATCCACTAAGGTTATTTCAGACAGACATATTATTTTTTTTTTTTTTTTTTGAGATGGGGTTTTTCTCTGTCACCCAAGCTGGGGTGCAGTGGCATGATCTCAGCTCACTGCAACCTCCACCTCCCAAGTTCAAGTGATCCCCCTGTCTCAGCCTCCCAAGTAGCTGGGATTACAGGCATGCATCACCATGCCCAGTTAATTTTTGTATTTTAGTAGAGAGGAAAGTGAACTGTATCTCATTTGACAAATCCCCACACACAAAGGCAAGCAGTTCACTGATATACATACTACCTGGAAATTAAAAGTTTTGCATTCATTTCCATGCCTTTGACCAGTAATGGATGTCTTGGGTTTACCTAGATGCAATAGAGGAAAATGCAGTCTTAAGATTTGGGGCCATGTGCCCAGAAAAAAAGAAAAAAGAGAGAGAAAGAGAAAAATAGTGGATGCTATAGAACAATTAACGTTATTTGACATCATGACATGAGTATAATTAGAGATAAAAATACTTTGAACAGATTTCTACTGCATATGTATTTAGGATAGTTAGCTCTTCTTTTTGCATGGATCTCTTTACCATTATGAAATCCCTTTCTTTGTCTCTTGATCCTTGTTGGTTTAAAATTTATCAGGGACTAGTACTGCAAACCTTGCTCAGCAAAGCCACTGTAGCCAGACTGCCTCTTTAGATTCCTCCTCTCTTGGAAGGGGATCTCTGAAAAAAGGCAGCAGCCCCAGTCAGAAGCTTATACTTAAAACCTCCATCTCCCTGGAACAGAGCACTTGGGGGAAGGGGCAGATGTGGGTACAGCTTCAGCAGACTGAAATACCACTGCCTGTTGGCTCTGAAGAGAGCAGTAGATCTCCCAGCACAGTGCTCACACTCCACTAAGGGACAGACTCCCCCTCTCAAGTGGACCACTGACCCCTGTGCCTCCTGACTAGGAGACACCTCCCAGCAGGGGTCAACAGACACCTCATATAGGAGAGCTCCAGTTGGCATCTGGCAGGTACCCCTCAGGGATGAATCTTCCAAGGAAGAAACAGACAGCAATCTTTTCTGTTCTGTAGCCTCCACTGGTGATACCCAGGGAAACAGGGTCTGGAATGGACCTCCAGCAAACTCAAGCACACTTGTAGCAGAGGGGCCTGACCTTCAGAAGGAAAACTAATAAACAGAAAGGAATAGCATCAACATCAACAAAATGATGTCCACACAGAAACCACATTCGAAGGTCACCAACACCAAAGATCAAAGTTAGATAACTCCAGGAAGATGAGGAAAAACCAGCACAAAAATTTGATGATTCCAAAAACCCAACTGTCTTTTCTCCTTCAAAGGATCACAACTCCTCATTCACAAGGGAACAAAACTGGATACAGAAGGGATTTGACAAATTGACAGAAGTAGGCTTCAGAAGGCGTGTAATAACAAACTCTTCTGAGCTAAAGGAGCACATTCTAACCCAATAGAAGGAGTCTAAGAACCTTGAAAAAAGGTTAGAGGAATTGCTAATAGAATAACCAGTTTAGAGAAGAACATAAATGACCTGATGGAGCTGAAAAATACAGCACAAAAACTTTCTGAAGCATACACAAGTATCAATAGCTACATCAATCAATGGGAAGAATGCATATCAGAGATTGAAGATCAAGTTAATAAAAAAAAGCATGAAGACAAGATTAGAGAAAAAAGAATGAAAAAGAATGAATGAAGCCTCCAAGAAATATGGAACTATGTGAAATAACCAAACACATGTTTGATTGCTGTACGGGAAAGTGACAGAGAGAATGGAACCAAGTTTGAAAACACTCTTCAGGATATTATCCAAGAGCACTACCCCACCCTAGCAAGACAGGCCAAGATTCAAATTCAGGAAATACAGAGAACACCACAAAGATACTCCTGGAGAATAGCAATCCCAAGAAACAAAATTGTCAAACTCACCAAGATTGAAATGAAAGAAAAAATGTTAAGGGCAGCCAGAGAGAAAGGTCATGTTACCCTCAAAGGGAAGCCCATCAGACTAACAGCGGATCTTTCTGCAGAAACCCTGCAAGCCAGAAGAGAATGTGGGCCAATATTCAACATTCTTAAAGAAAAGAATTTTCAACCCAGAATTTTATGTCCCGCCAAACTAAGCTTCATAAGCTAAGGAGAAATAAAATCCTTGACAGACAAGCAAACGCTGAGAGATTTTGTCACCACCAGGCATGCCTTACAAGAGATCCTCAAATAAGCACTAAATACGGAAAGGAACAACTGGTACCAGCCACTGCAAAACATACCAAATTGTAAAGACCATTGAAACTATGAAGGAACTGCATGAACTAACAGGAAAAATAAGCAGCTAGCATCATAATGACAGGATCAAATTCACACATAACAATATTAACCTTAAGTGTAAATGGGCTAAGTGCCCCAATTAAAAGACACAGAATGGCAAATTGGATAGAGTCAAGACTCATCAGTGTGCTGTATTCAGGAGACCCATCTCACATAAAAAGACACACATGGGCTCAAAATAAAGGGATGGAGGAATATTTACCAAGGCCAAACTTTGAAATCTCCAAGAAGAAAGAAGTTGAAGGAGGACTATTTGAAGTTGAGAAGAACCTTAGAGTTGGTTTAAAGGGTTTGGAGCCGCAGGCACTGAGCTCAGAAAACAAAATAGAATCATTACCTCTTAACACAATATATTTGACTCAAGTGTACATAACCCTTTTTTGCATTCCTTCTTTTCATACATTTTAAAGACCTTGAGCACAAAACAGTTGCAACCTGCTGAGAATCTTTAAACAGCCTCATTCTCAGAGATGAGAACCTCTGTAGGTAAGGAAGAAGAGCTATCAAATATGTCCTCAACGTTTTCTGAAGATGTCAGGAACATAAGCACAAAGGCTTTGGTGGAAGTAATACTCCTGCTTTCAAGTTCACCCACAGATGAGCCAAATATTTCTGTCTTGGTGATCAAACTTATTTAAGTGTGTGTACAGTCATCAGCCTCCCTCCTGCCCCATTCCACTGAAAAATTCTTTAATAAGACTCCCTGTTTTGTCCATAAAAAAAGACAAAATTTCTGCATATGTACTACCTAAATGAACCAGACTTTGTAGCTTGAAAATATTTTGATTTTTTAACTATCTTCAAAATTATTTTATCTGCTCCCAATCCAAAAAATCTGCAACTAATTAAAACACATAATAACACTTCCAAGGTCTTTGAGTAATAATAACTATTCTTGAATCAAGTTGGAATTCAACTTTCTTTCTACTACATTTTCAACAAAATCTGAATATGTTAGTTTAAGAATGGAACAAATGATAAGTCTGTTATTACCATTTACTTCACCCAGTACTTTCATTTCACTGTAAGCAGCTGTTCATTTTTCTGTATCTTCATAAATATTAGCCCTGAGACTTTGCATTTTGAGGGACTGGGGATTCCTCATAACATTTTTAGCATGTGAAACATTAATGAAAGCAAAGCCACATTTAGGATTGTAGTGAGAGAAAAGAGAGAAAGGAACCAGTTAGGCAGATAGCTAGGACAAGTCCTTGATAGAATTTCTTTCTTCCTGACAAAGTGACAGCCTAAAAGATCAGATTGCAGCCTAGTTAAGGAGGCAAAGTCCACTACAAAGAGGCCTTCCTGTGTAACTAGCAAGGGTCATGTATACACAGTAGGCATCAGTGAGCACATTGCTTTTCTTTTTTGGACATACTTAGTTAAGGAAATATGCACAGGAAAGGACAGAGTTGGGGACTGCTTGAAACTTGCCTAAGAAAAGTAAAGCAAAACTCAGCATATCTGCAATGGAAAATTTCACCGACTTACACATGTGCAGTAAAGGAAGTTAAACAGCATGGGGTAACTTAGGCTAAGGGTCCACATGAGCATTAAAAGGACAATGAGGAGCTGTTAGGAATTTGCACCTTATTCAAATGAAACATCTAGTCCTAATTGGTTATTTGAACCTCATGTAAATGAAATACCTTGCCCTGTGAGCCTATTTATAAAAGTCCTTGTATTTGACTGTAGAACAGCAACCCTCCTTTGCAATTCTTCTCTGTTACAGAAAGTTTTCTCTTTTTGCTCATTAAACTTTCACTCTAACCTCACCATTTTGTCCATGCTCCTTATATATCTTGGTGTTGAGGCAAGGAACTCTGGGTTCTACTTCAAAGAAGAAAATCAAAAAAATGGTGCATTGGCAAACCTGCTACAATAGTTTTAACAAAAAGAAATAAGAGGAGTTAGTGAATTTCAAGGTGCTTACAGAAAATTGAAGAGTGATTTCTACCACAATTGTCCACATATAAGTGCAATATTATGCTGGCATATGGTGAAACTTGTGAAAAATCATTATTTGATACTAAAAGAAGATAAGATGGAGAGTTATCCAAACCAATGACCCATTCTTCAGAACTATATGTATTAGGGCAATATTTGAATTTTGTATTTATTTACAGTGCTCTGGAATGATTTTCTTGCTAGTTATCTTAGTTCTATACTTAATTTTTTAAAAAGCTTTTCACTAGCATTATTTATAATATAAATATGCTGACATAGCATCCCAACTCTGCATTTCTCAGTGCATACAGAAAATTATTTTATTTGAAAAGCTACAATTTATGCTTTGTCTTTTCTTTTCTCACATTGTATTACTTTGTCAAATTTCAAAGGTGGGGTCTTGTCTCACCTTTGAATATACCAACGTATATCATGATATATTATTGTCCAGAAATTAGTAGATGCTCAAGAGATCATTGCAAAATAGTTCCATACTGGAACAGACTTGGAAAAACTTGTTTCATTTGACTTCCCAGGCATTTAACAAATAATTATGCAGCACTTTCTAAGAGCATTCCATTAATGCAGGATACTACAGTGAGCATTTAAAAAGAATCTTTTCTTTTTCTGAGTTTACATTTCAAGTCAGCATAGGCAGAGGACATTATTCCTAGTTGAGGATGTGCCTTCTGATGATCTTTTATTTTATTTTTTCATACTGAGGCATCATCATCTTATTGTCGTATAATTCTATTCATTTTTCTTACTCTGTGGCATCTTTCTTTGCTCTTTGCTTTTGACCCACACCTACACTACTGGCCATCTTGTAACCACCCAATGGATTCACCTTGCCTGCTTCCTAGGCAGAGCCAATTTATCAAACCAGGGGAATTGCAATTGAGAAAGAGTAATTCACACAGACCTGGCTGTGTGGGAGACAGAAGTTTTATAATCACTCATATGAGTCTCACATAGCATTCAGGTATCAGAGTTTTTAAGGATAACTTAGTGGTTATGGTATTGGGATGTGGGGAGAATGCTGATTAGTCAGGTTGGAGATAGAATTAAAGGGGGTCAAAGTGAAATTTTCTTGCTGTCTTCTGTTTCTGGGTGGGATCACAGAACTGGTTAAGTGACATTACTTATATGGGTGTTGTCAGCCGATCCTTTGAGTGCAGGGTCTGCAAAATATCCCAAGCATTGGTTTTAGGTTTTACAACAGTGCTGTTATCCCCAGGAGTGATTTGGGGAGATTCAGACTCTTGCATCCAGAGGCCACGTGGCCCCTAACTGTAATTTCTAATCTTGTAGCTAATTTGTTAATTATGCTAAGGCAGACTTGTCCCCAGGCAAGAAAGGGGTCTTTTCAGGAAATGGCTATTATCAATTTTGTTTCAGAGTCAAAAAATAAACTAAATTCCTCCCCAAGGTTAGTTTGGCCTATGCCAAGGAATGAATGAGGACAGGTTAAATGTTAGAAGTAAGAAGGAGTCAGTTAGGTCTTATCTCTTTCACTGTTGTAATTTCCTAAGCTATAATTTTTGCAAAGTTGTTTTCAATGTCTTCTACACTCTCTCTGCTTCTCCTCTGTATTCCCCTGGTGCTGACCTCAAAGGCCCTGGATTCCCAAACTATCTTATACCAGTGGTGTCTCAACCCTTAGGAGCTGCATGAATTTCAGCTCCCTTTATTCCTAACCACATTACCCCTATGCCTACTGGACTGCATCTCAAAATCACCATACATAGATTTTCAGAAATCTGCAGCCCTTCAAACAAGCTCCTTTGTCTTATTTCTTCTCCTGCCAATGAAAAACCACTAGACTTATTGTTGCTCCTGCTATCTGCCTAATTTTGTGCACCCAATGATTTGGTAAATCTGCCAAGCCTCTGTCATTAACTTGTGTCCCATTTTCCCATTTTCTCCTTATCATCAACCATACATGTTGTTAAAAGCTTCATCATGACTTGACTATAGTAAAAATTGTAGTCAACTAATATATCTCTTTATGTCAGTGGCACAGCTTGTTAATCTAAACCTGATAGTGCCTGCCAAGTACACAAGCTCATACCTTAGCTAAATATGGCCAACTTTCAATAAGTGGCAATGATATGGACAGGAGGCAGGGAAATACTGTGTAGAAGTAGGCAGTTCCCCGCCAAAGGCCCACCCACGAATGGGCCCACAGCCCTAAATGAGACCTTTAGATCCTGTTTTCCTGCCTGAATGTTCCTTTTTCCAAAACCACACTGGCCCACCATGCCTCCCATTCTGTACCCATAAAAACCTCAAGCTGCACTGGCAGAGCAGCAGAGTGATGTGGCAGAGAAGGAGGAAAGAGAAGAAACAGCTGAATGTTAAGAGGTGTTCAGCTCGGGATGGTCAGAAAGGAGTTCTGCCTGAGATGGCTGAACTCCAGGTGAAGATTCTTTTCCCACTCCATCCCCTTTCCAGCTCCCCATCCCACTGACAGCCACCTCCATCACTCAATAAAACTTCTGAATTCATCATGTTTCAAGGCCATGTGACGTGATTCTTCCTGGATTCTGGAAAAGGACCCAGGTACCAAGAGGGTAAGATTTAAAAGGCTGTCATCCTGACTCTCCACTGCACTGGTTTAACATTTAACCATCTGTGGGCAGCAACTGCTAAAAGAGCATTAATTGTAACATACCCATGGACACTGCTGTGGGGCCACAGCTCAAAAACACTGCCCCAGCCCAGACACTGGCTTTCCTGCATGCTCTGTTACAAGGGGTTTGAGCACTGCAGCAAAGTAAGCGATTCACACTCTTGTCACAAGTCCCGTGAAGGAGTCCATGGAACTCTCCCATTTCAGCAATATTTGTTAGCAAGACATCATGTATTTGCTCATGTACTTCTTTATAAACTAAGCTTTGTGTATGACAGCTGGTCCAACATACGGAACAATGACAGTTGGACAGAATTAGTGAGCACCAGATACAGTTTGGTGTTTTCGTCTGTGATGACCATTATCTTAGTAATAGTTGGGGACAAAATCAAATATTTTGAAACATATTCTATGTAGGGGTTTTTAAAATAATTTTAAATAATACTAATGTGTAAGAACAGTGACCAAACATATTTATTTAGAAGCACCAAACTACTTTGTGTCTCTTGTTCATTATCTAATTCTGTGGAAGGAATCTGTTATCAGTCATGGTTAAACACCTCCCTGAGTAGGGTACTTCAATGTATTTATATTAATAAAACAACCTGCAGCTACTACCTCTCATTGGGTGTCATAGACATTTATGTAAAAAAGGTGATTTAAGGTAGTTTGCAAATACATTGTTTGCTGACTGAATGTATTCTTCATTTACCTCTATAAGCAAAACATGTAAAATCCATGTGGTTAACATCCTAAGAAATAGAGCTCTTACCCAAACTTCATGGATACTGTGAAGGTTAAAGATAACTTCTCTAATGTTTAGCACAGTGACTTGTACACAGTACGTTCTTAATAAGTTACAATACCTTTATACAAATTTTATTCAGAGTTAGATCCTGGCTGTATTTTTCTTCATGGATTCTATTCTCCAAGAAGGAGTATTTCATCTCAGGTGTAACTCAGAATGATGTGCTTTGAGTATTATATGTGAATACTTTAAGAAATTCATATGATATTATTTAATTATTCATCTAAAATCTATCCTCATAATCTTGAAGGTAAAGACTTAATTGTTAAAAAGAAAAATATCAGAAGAATAATTTCAGTTGCATGCCACAGACATGAAATTTCAAGAATCTTCAGGTTACATTTTGAGTTGAGTTGAATATTTTATGCTGTGGTTATTCTTAAGGTCATTTTAATCACAGTAAAGTTTGACTTGGTAATGTTTCACAGTAAAACCATTGATATTACAAATGGGAAAATGTTTCTATGAAGGCCAATAACAAAACACAATGTCTGCTTAAAGCAAGGGTGGCCAGTGGGAGAGTTACTAAATGTGGTAGTAAAATGATTGAAGTATAGAATAATTCATTTAACCTTGATAGTTCAAAAGATAAGAGGTAGGGAACATTTTAATTTTATGCTATTATGTGTGTGGTAACAGATGAGCTTCAAAATTTAACTTGAAATGTACTTTCTTATTCATACTTACCTGAGCTAAGGAAATGGGAAGTGAAGATGACTCACATTCCAAAAACGCTGTAAATTTCCCTTTAAGGCTGGAACATCTAAGTATTTGAAAGTCTACACAGGAAGGGGAACATCACACTCTGGGGACTGTGGTGGGGTGGGGGGAGGGGGGAGGGATAGCTTTAAGAGTTATACCTAATGCTAAATGACGAGTTAATGGGTGCAGCACACCAGCATGGCATACGTATACATATGTAACTAACCTGCACATTGTGCACATGTACCCTAAAACTTAAAGTATAATAATAATAATAATAATAATAATGAAGTCTAAAGCCTATAAAGAAAGCTAGAGGAGCAAACTCATATTTACTTTGCTATCCTTTCTGAAATCCATAACAATAAAAATCATAAAAGAAAAAATATAACTCCATCTAAAATGGAATTCAGAATTGGCCAAGAGCCCAAAGCCCAGGTTGTGAAGTAAATCTGTATGGTAGCAAGATTTGGACAAAATCAGAGTACGAAGAACGCAATTCTCTCATTATTTTCTGGGGCTGAAAATATATTCCTAATTAAATAAGTCAAAAAAAACCTCCCCATAGGATTTTACCTCAAAAGATGAGGATTCTGGGTAAAAAAGCCTATGGGAGAAGAGAAAACTGCATAAATAACCTAATTTAGCCATTACATTCTCATTCTTTTCCTTCCTTACTTTCCCCTACATCTTTCAATTCCTTTTATTTTTTAAGCAATTATTTACTATGTGTAAGGCTCTGAGTTAACCAACTCTAGGATATCAGATAGATTGATCTTCAACAGAATATGTCAAAGTTTATGCTAGATGTTCCTAAGCTTCAGTATCACATGAAGGGGTCCAGTTTTTCACCCAGTTACCACAAATCAAAGCAAACTCGTCATACTCCATGGTCAGTTTTTCAGCCATTCCTGTTAGGTCTACCACCAAAATACTTCCTCTCTCACTTCTCTATGGCTACCTCTGTTCTCGACACAGCCAAAGCACTACTGTGTTTCATTTGAATATGAAAAAGAACTCCTAAGCAGTTTGCTTGCACTCAGGAAAGCACCCCCACATCTTTTATTTTCACCCCTCCAATGACTATAGTCACACCCAGATGAAACTCTGATTCCTTAGCCAGACCTGCAAAAACCCAGCTTACTCAGGACCTCCATATCTCTCTGTCCTCTTCTTGTATGCCAATCTTCAAATGCTTCAATCTACATTTGTAGTATTCCATTTTCACACTGCTAATAAAGACATAACCAAGACTAGGTAATGTATAGAGACAAAGAGGTTTAGCGGACTCACAGTTCTGCATGGCTGAGGAGGGCTCACAATCATGGTGGAAGGCAAAGGAGGAGCAAACAGATGTCTTACATAGCACCAGGTAAGAGACAGTGTGCAGGTGAGCTGCCCTTTATAAAACTATCAGATCTAATGAGATTTATTCACTATCACAGAAAGAGCATGGGAAAGAGCCACCCCCATGATTCAATTACTTCCCACAACATGTGAGGGTTATGGGAACTACAATTCAAGATAAAATTTGGATGGGGACACAGCAAAACTGTATCAGCCCTGTCAACCAATTCTGCTTACCAGCTGTGGGCAGCTGTGTCTCTAGTTTCTCATCTAGTTGCTAAGTTGCCCCATAGATATTTGACCCTGGGACTCAGGTGAGAGGTCAATGTTGAAGTCATCAAAAGGAGAGTCACTGGTGTATTATAAATTTGAATGCGACACTGACAGATCACCAGAGGTAAGGAAGAAAGGCAAAGAAAAAGAAGTCCTTCAAGAAGGAGGAAATAATCTATATCTGATGATGCTAATCAAAATGATAATAGTAAATTATGATAGTATTCAGTAGAACACTATGCACATGATTCATCTGTACAACAAAATTGAATGAATGCATTATCTTTATTTCACCCATGAGAAATTATTAATAACTACAGATACAGAGTAGTTAAGGCAAAATGACACAGATGGTAAATGGCTGAGTTGTACTTTAATCCAAAACAGTTTCAATGGTATAGCCCTTTCCTGCTCTGCCATAATGTCTCTCAAATGTTGCTCCTGCAGGCTGAATTGCTTCTTCGTGGGGCCATAGGAGAGCAGGGTCGGCAGGTCCAGGTGGAGCCATTTGCATCACAAATGAAAAACCTGGAGAGATATCTCTCAAAAGACCAATCTACACTAGTGTTATTTGAAGCAGTAATTGAGGAAGTTGCATATCTTACAACCTCCAGAACAATGGTCTGCACCTCAGCAGGATTCAAGCTCCTGTCATCTTCCCAGCCTGATGGCTTCCCAATAGCTTTACAAAAGTGACTGAGTCTTAGTCAAGGCCTACTGTCATTTAAACAAAAGCCTAAATGTCTTCCAAAGTCAGCTGCACTCACAAATGCAGGAATATTTAAGGGAAAAGCAAGATAGTGGGGTGAGTTAGCTTGGATCTCTTTCATTGTCATAATTTTCTCACTGATTAAATTTTTGTAAAAGTGGTTTCACGAACTGGCATGGGCTTTGGGCAGAGGGACATAACTGAAGAATAGAACAAGGGGGTGGAATGGATTTTAAAAATTAATTACGAAGCTGAACCAGGAAAGAAAAATTGAGTAAACAGGAAAATGAGGTAATTCAGGGATAAGTCATAATGAAAAGTTGAGATTATTGAATTGGAAGCCCTGATAGCATCAGCAGTGTTAGCTGGATGGGTTCTTATCCATCCAGTGATATTCAGAAATGCAGATGCATGAACTGGTAATTAAAAACAACAACAACAATATTTTGTCTGTATTATTAATTCCTAATGCCCATGTTAAAGTAATAAGAGTAAGAAGTTCTCGTGTGTAAGAAAAAACATCTTAGAAGTTTGGAAGTTCAAAGAATTGAGAAGTCAGATTAGTAGGTGATTACGTATGTGGAGATTACAATCATTACAAAAGACTGCAAGGAAAAAAGGCCAAAAGAAACAGAGTAAGCTTGTTTAGGATACTGTAACAAAAGACCATGGACTAGGTAACTTACAAATGACAGATATTTATTTCTCTCAGTCTGGAAACTAGAAGTCCAAGATCAGACTTGGTAGATTCAATGTCTGTGAGATCCCAATTCCTTGTTCACAAACAGCACCTTCTCACTGTGTCTTCATATTGTGGAAGTGGGCAATGGAGTTCTCTGGGGTTTCTTTTATAAGGGCACTAATCTGATTCATGAGACTTTACCTTCATGACCTCCCAAAGGCCCCACCACTACTATATTCTTACAGGTGAGTATTTAAAATTATAAGTTTTGTGGTGACAGCAACATGCTAAAAATCTTCAGTGAATGAGAAAAGGCCAAATGATTGCAATTTTTTTTTTTTAAGATGGAGTCTTGCTCTGTTGCCCAGTCTGGGGCATAGTGGCTCAAACTTGGCTCAGTGAAACCTCTGCCTCCCAGGTTCAAGTGATTCTTCTACCTCAGCCTCCCTGATAGCTGGGACTACCGGTGCCTGCCACAATGCATGGCTAATTTTTGTATTTTGAGAAGAGGTGGGGTTTCACCATCTTGACCAGGCAGGTATGAAACTAACTGCAAATTTTATAGTAACTTTCATAAAGAGGTAGTGTGTCTATAGACTGACAGTATATGCTTTAAATTAGCTAATTGTTATAACACACAAGGAAAGAAAGAATGTGTAGAATTGGCATTGAAAAAAAAAATCCAGCACTGTGGGACATAAGTGGTAAAAGAAAAAAAAAAGAGCTACCAATTAATATGATTTCATTCCAATATTCTCAAGGGATATCCATGTGCTGGTTATGATAAATTCTGTATAGGCCAGTATTAAGTATTAGTAAAATGCAGGTGTTAACTGTGGACTCTGGAAAGCTTCAAATAGAGACTAATGACATGAGTGCCACAGGATTATCTCTTAGGAAGTTATATACATATTTAATTAAAATGAGTTTTTTTAGCGACTCACCACATTCCTTAAAGTTGAAATTTTGGCCGGGCATGGTGGCTCACACCTATAATCCCAGCACTTTGGGAAGCTGAAGTAGATGGATCACAAGGTCAGGAGACCAAGACCATCCTGGCTAACATGGTGAAACCCCATCTCTACTAAAAAAGTACAAAAAATTAGCCAGGTGTGGTGACAGGCACCTGTAGTCCCAGCTACTGAGGAGGCTGAGGTAAGAGAATGACGTGAATCCAGGAAGCAGAGCTTGTAGTAAGCCGAGATCACACCACTGCATTCCAGCCTGGGCAACAGAGTGAGACTCCATCTCAAAAAAAAAAAGTAAATTTTCAAGACTGACCATTTTTCAGTCTGCTAGCTAATGAGTATTCCTACAAATCTACAGCATGACCAAGTGTTCCTGACTCTGTATTTGCCTTCCCTTTCCCTTATAAACCTGATTTTGCTTTTGACCACTGACAACTCATCTAACATCTCTTTCATTTATAAGTGACCCAATTATTACTAGCCAGATAGCTAAACATCTCTGAGTTATTCTTTGACAGCCTATATTTTGAGATTTTAAAATATCAATTACCGCACAAAAGTTTCTATCATGGTTATCAACAGAACATGTAACCTTCTTTCGTTCCTCACCCAAACCTCCACCCCTTGAGTTTCCTTGTCACCTTCTTACCATCATCTGTAAATTTCAATTAAGGTGAGCAAGTGTGTTGGCTTCTAAGTCATGAAGCTTATTGTTGTCCAAGTGTATTCTTAGATGTGATTCTGGTTTGCACATAGCTGATTATCTGTCTACACTGGTGGCAGTAGTAGAGAAAGACTTTTAAATTAGTTTGTTTTGTGTATTTCATCAGTAGTTTTATGTGGATATTTAAGGTAGTAAAGAATACAGAATTCAGTTTGCATTTGCATTTCTGTGTGTTTACCTTGAGAATTCTGATATCTCTTGGCATTAGAGAATATGTGGCTGACAAGTTGTTACTGTTTTGTGTTTCAGGCCAAATAATCCTTTGTTTGTGAGTTCATGTATGTGAGTGTACTCAGGCTGTTAGAGTAGGCAGTTAGGAAGACATGAGCAGCCTGGAGAGGCCCCGCTCCCCTGCTGGGAATGTCAGGTGACCATTAGGTGATGGTAAGGTGGTTGTTAAACTATCTCTGTAAAATAATAATTGGTCACAGCCAGCACCAAGGAAAGGCAGTCTCCCAATAGAGAGAAAACACCTGAAGCTGGTTATCAGCAGCTTCCCAATAAGGTCTTGTGAACTAGGCAAGAGGGCTCAAGCATGTGCACTAAAAAGCAAAATGGTGGAGGAGTTTAACGTGTATATGATCTTCCTGAAGGAACATTTGACTGGTTAGGGAAAAATGCCTCAACTGAGCATGCACACAACTTCAGTAGACACACTGTGCACGCGGACCCTCCCAAGTGCTGGCAGGGCACTGCACATGGTGACAGCCTACCCCAAGGGAAAAATCAAGGGAGGAAAAACACAAACCGTGAAGCCATGCCAAGGTATACAACCCCAAGTCCAGGGCTGAACCAGGCATTTAGATTTCTCAAGTCACCCACTTAGACTTCTTCCAAGTGTACTTTGCTTTCTTTGCCTCCTGCTCTAAATATTTTCAATAAACGCTCAGTCCTACTGTTAAATTTACCTTGGACTCTCCCTCTGCCTTATGCACCTAAGGCAAATTCTTTTCTCTGAGGAGGCAAGGAGTGAGTTTGCTGCAGACCATTATGGATTTGCCACTGGTAAAAATGCAGCCACTTCATCTAACCCTACACATTTCAGAGCCTGTTGCTTCTCCCAAGCTTTAGGGTCTATGTTTACTCACTGTCGGCTTCATAATTATCAGGATCTATAAAAAGCAATTTTTATATCAAGGATGGTCTTCATGTAGCGTCAACCCAGGGGAAGCTATTCATTTTAAGAAAACATTATTCCTATAAATGGCCTCATAACAGAAAGGAAGCCAATCTAACATTCTATGAATACGCTTAGACAAGCACATAGACAGTCTTCAACTTAAGATGGCTAGGCTGAAGACTTTTTTTGCCTTTACAATTGTGCAAAATGGATATGCACTCAGTAGAAACTGTAAGAGTTAAAGAAAGAGGAAAGAAATACAAAATATGGCTCAACAGTTAAAAATAGATTTATTTTAGAGAAAATAAACCTGAGAGGGGCTTCTGGCCAATTTTGGTCAGGAGCACTTTCTCTTGTAGACTAAGAGTATGTATTGGTTTTAGGGTAAGGGGGATTATTCCAAGCACAGAATGTTTCTGTGTTAGGGAGGAGCTTTATGGCAGGAATGGAATGTCTTTGGGCAGAGGTGAGGTTATCTTGGGACTGGTATCTTCCCAGCCAGTATGGGTTTATCTTGGGGCTAGCATGTTTCTGGCCGGGGGGAGGGAGTTTGGAATGTTTTTATGGCTAGAGATGTTATTAGTGATTTATGGACATGCTAACCTTAGCCATTAGGCTGATGCCCTTTGGATTCAGGCAGTTTTTGTTTAAGGTGAATTTTAGAATGAGGGGCTATAGAAAGAATGAGGAACTTTAGAAAGATGGTGATGCTCCTGCTCTGTCAGAAACTATACTTCAAGTACCTATACAACCATTCTGTTTTATACTTTCAGTACAGTATTCAATAAAAATACATGAATTTGACAACATTGTGTCATAAAATAGGCTTTGAGTTGGGATGATGTTACCCAACTGTAGGCTGATATAAGTGTTCTGAGAATGTTTAAGGTAGGTTGGGCTAAGCTATCATGTTTGGGAGGTTAAGTGTATTAAAGCATTTTCAACTTATACACATTTTTATTACAATGGATGTATCATGACATAAGCCCATTGTAAGGTGAGGAACATCTTCCTAGGGAATAATAGAATCAATTAAGTTATTAATAATGAAGATCATGGCAGGCCTCTTGAAATAAGGTCAATGAAATGAATGAAGAGAAACTTACCTTTAGAAATTACATGCATAATTCTTTTAAATAGAGGTTCTGGTAGTCAATAAAACAAGTACTTAATAATTCCTCAAATCTCAAGCCAATTCAACCCCTTACAAAAACTAATGAAAACAAATGCAATTATTATAATAGTCCTGGATGTAGAATGGCATGCCATCTTCATAACATAATCATAAAGCACTTTTATTCTTAGTGCACCTATTCCTTCCAGCATATAATGGGCCTCAAGTATATGGATTTGTTCCTTAATCAATTACCATTTAAAGTAGGCAGCAATGCATCTAAATCCCACATCTCCTGCTGCTTCATCAAAACGCATTCCCCTAGTTTCCTTTGGAATTAGGCAAAACGTTTCTATGTTATTACTTTGAAATATTTTTCAGAATAAGAATGCTATTCTTTGAATAATCTTAATGATAATGAATTAGACTATAGGTTTTCTTAAAATTTAACTGAGCAAATATTATGGTTGGCTTATAGAAACCAATAATGACTCATAAACATTTCAACCAAAAAAACTCAAATTTCTGAAAAAGAAATTGTATTCCATATGCTGTAATTGTTTTGCTTCCTTATGATATATAAATGTAGTTATATCTCTATATATAAATAGTCACATATATAGTAACTATATTATTTTTATAAACAAAATTATGGCGTTTTACATATATATGTGGAGTTATAGTCAAATACATGTAGTTATATATCATTTTTTGTTTGCTTTCTGATCTAACCCACATGTTAAGAGGAAAAAATGGTTCAAATTTTACTTTAATTAATGGTCTTCATTAGTAGTTTGCAAGAAAGGTATGCAAATTGTACTTCAATATTTTACCCTTTTAATTTGTTTAAATATTTGGTTAGTATCCCTAAGGAAAAAAATAAAGTTTAAATAATATTGGCAACTAAGTTACTCTTTGGACAAAGTAGATACATGAAATAATTTTGTTTTATAAATTGTTTTTATTATTATTATCATTATACTTTAAGTTTTAGGGTACATGTGTACAATGTGCAGGTTAGTTACATATGTATACATGTGTCATGCTGGTGTGCTTCACCCACTAACTCGTCATCTAGCATTAGGTCTATCTCCCAGTGCTATCCCTCCCCCCTCCCCCAACCCCATAACAGTCCCCAGAGTGTGATGTTCCCGTTCCTGTGTCCATGTGTTCTCACTGTTCAATTCCCACCTATGAGAAACAATATGAGGTGTTTGGTTTTTTTGTTCTGGTGATAGTTTACTGAGAATGATGATTTCCAATTTCATCCATGTCCCTACAGAGGACATGAACTCATCATTTTTTATGGCTGCGTAGTATTCCATGGTGTATATATGCCACATATTCTTAATCCAGTCCATCATTGTTGTACATTTGGGTTGGTTCCAAGTCTTTGCTATTGTGAATAATGCCACAATAAACATATGTGTGCATATGTCTTTATAGCAGCATGATTTATAGTCCTTTGGGTATATACCCAGTAATGGGATGGCTGGGTCAAATGGTATTTCTAGTTTTAGATTCCCTTAGGAATCGCCACACTGACTTCCACAATGTTTGAACTAGTTTACAGTCCCACCAACAATGTAAAAGTGTTCCTATTTCTCCACGTCCTCTCCAACACCTGTTGTTTCCTGACTTTTTAATGATTGCCATTCTAATTGGTGTGAGATGATATCTCATTGTGGTTTTGATTTGCATTTCTCTGATGGCCAGTGATGGTGACCATTTTTTCATGTGTTTTTTTGGCTGCATAAATGTCTTCTTTTGAGAAGTGTCTGTTCATGTCCTTTGCCCACTTTTTGATGGGGTTGTTTGTTTTTTTCTTGTAAATTTGTTTGAGTTCATTGTAGATTCTGGATATTAGCCCTTTGTCAGATGAGTAGGTTGTGAAAATTTTCTCCCATTTTGCAGGTTGCCTGTTCAGTCTGTTAGTAGTTTTTTTTTTTTTTGCTGTGCAGAAGCTCTTTAGTTTAATTTGATCCCATTTGTCAATTTTGGCTTTTGTTGTCATTGCTTTTGGTGTTATAGACATGAAGTCCTTGCCCATGCCTATGTCCTGAATGGTAATGCCTAGATTTTCTTCTAGGGTTTTTATAGTTTTAGGTCTAATGCTTAAGTCTTTAATCCACCTTGAATTGATTTTTGTATAAGGTGTAAGGAAGGGATCCAGTTTCAGCTTTCTACGTATGGCTAGCCAGTTTTCCCAGAACCATTTATTAAATAGGGAATCCTTTCCCCATTGCTTGTTTTTCTCAGGTTTGTCAAAGATCAGATAGTTGTAGATATGCGGTATTATTTCTGAGGGCTCTGTTCTGTTCCATTGATCTATATCTCTGTTTTGGTCCCAGTACCATGCTGTTTTGGTTACTGTAGCCTTGTAGTATAGTTTGAAGTCAGGTAATGTGATGCCTCCAGCTTTGTTCTTTTGGCTTAGGATTGACTTGGTGATGTGGGCTCTTTTTTGGTTCCATATGAACTTTAAAGTAGTTTTTTCCAATTCTGTGAAGAAAGTCATTGGTAGCTTGATGGGAATGGCATTGAATCTGTAAAATACCTTGGGCAGTGTGGCCATTTTCACGATATTGATTCCTTCTACACATAGGCATGGAATGTTCTTCCCTTTGTTTGTATCCTCTTTTATTTCATTGAGCAGTGGCTTGTAGTTCTCTTTGAAGAGATCCTTCACATCCCTTGTAAGTTGGATACCTAGGTATTTTATTTTCTTTGAAGCAATTGTGAATGGGAGTTCACTCATGATTTGGCTCTCTGTTTGTCTGTTGTTGGTGTATAAGAATGCTTGTGATTTTTGCACATTGATTTTGTATCCTGAGACTTTGCTGAAGTTGCTTATCAGCTTAAGGAGATTTTGGGTTGAGACAATGGGGTTTTCTAGATATACAATCATGTCATCTGAAAACAGGGACAATTTGACTTCCTCTTTTCCTAATTGAATACCCTTTATTTACTTCTCCTGCCTAATTGCCCTGGCCAGAACTTCCAACACTATGTTGAATAGGAGTGGTAAGAGAGGGAATCCCTGTCTTGTGCCAGTGTTCAAAGGGAATGCTTCCAGTTTTTGCCCATTCAGTATGTTATTTGCTGTGGTTTTGTCATAGATAGCTCTTATTATTTTGAGATAGGTTCCAACAATATCAAATTTATTGAGAGTTTTTTAGCATGAAGGGTTGTTGAAATTTGTCAAAGGCCTTTTCTGCATCTATTGACATAATCATGTGGTTTTTGTCTTTGGTTGTGTTTATATGCTGGATTACATTTATTGATTTGTGTACATTGAACCAGTCTTGCATCCCAGGGATGAAGCCCACTTGATCATGGTAGATAAGCTTTTTGATGTGCTGCTGGATTCAGTTTGCCAGTATTTTATTGAGGATTTTTACATCAATGTTCATCAAGGATATTGGTCTAAAATTCTCTTTTTTGGTTGTCTCTCTGCCAGGCTTTGGTATCAGGATGATACTGGCCTCATAAAATGAGTTAGGGAGGATTCCCTCTTTTTCTATTGATTGGAATAGTTTCAGAAGGAATGGTACCAGTTCCTCCTTGTACCTCTGGTAGAATTCGGCTGTGAATCCATCTGGTCCTGGACTCTTTTTGGTTGGTAAGCTATTGATTACTGCCACAATTTCAGCTCCTGTTATTGCTCTATTCAGAGATTCAACTTCTTCCTGGTTTAGTCTTGGGAGAGTGTATGTGTCAAGGAATTTATCCATTTCTTCTAGATTTTCTAGTTTATTTGCATAGAGGTGTTTGTAGAATTCTCTGATGGTAGTTTGTATTTCTTTTGGATCGGTGGTGATATCCCCTTTATCATTTTTTATTGTGTCTATTTGATTCTTCTCTCTTTTTTTCTTTATTAGTCTTGCTAGCGGTCTATCAATTTTGTCGATCTTTTCAAAAAACCAGCTCCTGGATTCATTAATTTTTTGAAGGGTTTTTTGTGTCTCCATTTCCTTCAGTTCTGCTCTGATCTTAGTTATTTCTTGCCTTCTGCTAGCTCTGAATGTGTTTGCTCTTGCTTTTCTAGTTCTTTTAATTGTGATGTTAGGGTGTCAATTTTAGATCTTTCCTGCTTTCTCTTGTGGGCATTTAGTGCTATAAATTTCCCTCTACAGACTGCTTTGAATGTGTCCCAGAGATCCTGGTATGCTGTGTCTTTGTTCTCGTTGGTTTCAAAGAACATCTTTATTTCTGCCTTCATTTCATTATGTACCCAGTAGTCATTCAGGAGCAGGTTGTCCAGTTTCCATGTAGTTGAGAGTTTTTGAGTGAGATTCTTAACCCTGAGTTCTAGTTTGATTGCACTGTGGTCTGAGAGATAGTTTGTTATAATTTCTGTTCTTTTACATTTGCTGAGGAGAGCTTTTCTTCCAAATATGTGGTCAATTTTGGAATAGGTGTGGTGTGGTGCTGAAAAAAATGTATATTCTGTTGATTTGGGGTGGAGAGTTCTGTAGATGTCTATTAGGTCCTCTTGGTGCAGAGCTGAGTTCAATTCCTGGGTATCCTTGTTGACTTTCTGTCTCGTTGATCTGTCTAATGTTGACAGTGGGGTGTTAAAGTCTCCCATTATTAATGTGTGGGAGTCTAAGTCTCTTTGTAGGTCACTCAGGACTTGCTTTATGAATCTGGGTGCTCCTGTATTGGGTGCATATATATTTAGGATAGTTAGGTCTTCTTGTTGAATTGATCCCTTTACCATTATGTAATGGCCTTCTTTGTCTCTTTTGATCTCCGCTGGTTTAAAGTCTGTTTTATCAGAGACTAGGATTGCAACCCCTGCCTTTTTTTGTTTTCCATTTGCTTGGTAGATCTTCCTCCATCCTTTTGTTTTGAGCCTGTGTGTGTCTCTGCACATGAGATGGGTTTCCTGAATACAGCTCACTGATGGGTCTTGACTTTTTATACAATTTGCCAGTCTGTGTCTTTTAATTGGAGCATTTAGTCCATTTACATGTAAAGTTAATATTGTTATATGGGAATTTGATCCTGTCGTTATGATGTTAGCTGGTTATTTTTCTCATTAGTTGATGCAGTTTCTTCCTAGTCTCGATGGTCTTTACACTTTGGCATGATTTTGCAGCTGCTGGTACCGGTTGTTCCTTTCCATGTTTAGCGCTTCCTTCAGGAGCTCTTTTAGGGCAGGCCTGGTGGTGACAAAATCTCTCAGCATTTGCTTGTCTGTAAAGGATTTTATTTCTCCTTCACTTATGAGCTTAGTTTGGCTGGATATGAAATTCTGGGTTGAAAATTCTTTTCTTCAAGAATGTTGAATATTGGCCCCCATTCTCTTCTGGCTTGTAGAGTTTCTGCTGAGACATCTGCTGTTAGTCTGATGGGCTTCCCTTTGAGGGTAACACAACCTTTCTCTCTGGCTGCCCTTAACATTTTTTCCTTCATTTCAACTTTGGGGAATCTGACAATTATGTGTCTTGGAGTTGCTGTTCTTGAGGAGTATCTTTGTGGCATTCTCTGTATTTCCTGAATCTGAATGTTGGCCTGCCTTGCTAGATTGGGGAATTTCTCCTGGATAATATCCTGCAGAGTGTTTTCCAACTTGGTTCCATTCTCCTTGTCACTTTCAGGTACATCAATCAGATGTAGATTTGGGCTTTTCACATAGTCCCATATTTCTTGGAGGCTTTGTTCGTTTCTTTGTATTCTTTTTTCTCTAAACTTCCCTTCTCACTTCATTTCATTCATTTCATCTTCCAATGCTGATACCCTTTCTTCCAGTTGATTGCATTGGTTCCTGAGGCTTCTGCATTCTTCACGTAGTTCTTGAGCCTGGTTTTCAGCTCCATCAGCTCCTTTAAGCACTTCTCTGTATTGGTTATTCTAGCTATACATTCTTCTAAATTTTTTTCAAAGTTTTCAACTTCTTTGACTTTGGTTTGAATATCGTCCTGTAGCTCAGAGTAATTTGATCGTCTGAACCATTCTTCTCTCAGTTTGTCAAAGTCATTGTCCGTCCAGCTTTGTTCCGTTGCTGGTGAGGAACTGCGTTCCTTTGGAGGAGGAGAGGTGCTCTGCTTTTTAGAGTTTCCAGTTTTTCTGCTCTGTTTTTTCCCCATCTTTGTGGTTTTATCTACTTTTGGTCTTTGATGATGATGATGTACAGATGGGTTTTTGGTGTGGATGTCCTTTCTGTTTGTTAGTTTTCCTTCTAACAGAGAGGACCCTCAGCTGCAGGTCTGTTGGAGTACCTGGCCGTGTGAGGTGTCAGTCTGTCCCTGCTGGGGGATGCCTCCCAGTTAGGCTGCTCAGGGGTCAGGGGTCAGGGATCCATTTGAGGAGGCAGTCTGCCCATTCTCAGATCTCCAGCTGCGTGCTGGGAGAACCACTGCTCTCTTCAAAGCTGTGAGACAGGGACATTTAAGTCTGCAGAGGTTACTGCTGTCTTTTTTTTTTTGTCTGTGCCCTGCCCCGAGAGGTGGAGCCTACAGAGGCAGGCAGGCCTCCTTGAGCTGTGGTGGGCTCCACCCAGTTCAAGCCTCCTGGCTGTTTTGTTTAGCTAAGCAAGCCTGGGCAATGGCAGGCGCCCCTCCCCCAGCCTCATTGCTGACTTGCAGTTTGATCTCAGATTGCTGTGCTAGCAATCAGCGAGACTCCCTGGGTGTAGGACCCTCCGAGCCAGGTGCGAGATATAATCTCATGGTGCGCCATTTTTTAAGCTTGCCAGAAAAGCGCAGTCTTCGAGTGGGAGTGACCCAATTTTCCAGGTGCCATCTGTCACCCCTTTCTTTGACTAGTAAAGGGAACTCCTTGACCCCTTGCACTTCCCGAGTGAGGCAATGCCTCGCCCTGCTTTGTCTGGCACATGGTGCGCTGCACCCACTGACCTGCGCCCTCTGTCTGGCACTCCCTAGTGAGATGAACCTGGTACCTCAGATGGAAATGCAGAAATCACCCATCTTCTGTGTCACTCACTCTGGGAGCTGTAGACCAGAGCTGTTCCTATTCAGCCATCTTGTATCTTGGCTCCTCCCCGCCCTTGTTTTATAAATTGTTATTGGACTTGCCTCAATGTCATTAGAATGCCAAATAATGTTACCTTAATATTCTTATTCTCAATTTAGGTTTTCTTAAAAACCTGATTTGAGTTATCTATGTTGCTTACATTGATTTATGTTAATTATGCACCAGTATCACAGTCAGTAACCATTAAGGTTATAAAAATAATACAACTAGGTTTCTTATAAAACTGAATTATGATATACCATGTCAACATAAGGAATTGAGTTCACTGTTATACCCAAAGAAAAATAAAAATGTAAACATAGGCAAAACTATATTAAAACCCTTTAAAATTAGTTTCAAATATTGAATTAATGTCAGCTTCTTCACTCTTCATAAAAAGAGTAGGTGGATGCTATTTTATTTTTCATTTCAATAAATTAAGAAGCACAATTTTAAAGCCTATGACTTAAATAGACTATACTAAGTGAGCCAAAGAGACTCAACTGTTTATTTACCCAAGCAAATTAAATTAACAGAAAAATAGAAAAGACAAAAAACTAAGAGAAGAATAAAGAGAATGAAGGGGCCCAACGGAAGATTTTGTAAGAGGGCCAGGCACAGTTGCTACATGCCTACAATTCTAGCATTTTCGGGAGGCAAGGTGGACTGGACTCTTCAGGAGTTAAGACCAGCCTGGGCCACAAGGCAAGAACCTATCTCTACAAAAATTACAAAATTACAAAAATTAGCCAGGAGTATTTTTGGCAATGTGCATCAGCGTTCCCAGCTATTTGGTAGGCTGAGGTGAGAGGATCACTTGAGCCTGGGGAGGCTGAAGCTGCAGTGACTTATGACTACACCACTGCACTCCAGCCTGAGTGACAGAGCAAGACCTTGTCTCAAAACAAACAGAAAATTGTTTTTAAGAGAAGTGGAACAAGAAGAGAAAAAAGATGTCTAAAGATACATCTCAAAAGAAAAAAAATACATAATTAAAACAGAAAGAAAACATCTTCAAAGAAAAAAATGGCAAAAATCATTGGGAGCATATTATTTCTAAAAATATAAAACATGATACAGAAACAAGTATTAATAGATGAGTTGTCAGAAATCATTGCCTGCACAAGATAATAACTTATGAAATCTTCAAGGTGTAGGTTTAAGGAGAGATATCAGTGTTGGTGTGTACGTGTAGCTTGTAAGATTTCTAGACAAGCAAGCAATCAGGTTTTAAATTGTATTTGAAAGGATTAGATTCAACTGCCTGTTAAGACTGTTTAGGAAAAAATAAGAAAATGAACACTCAGGCATCTATAGAGAACGTGAAAGTTTCAGAAAGGGTAAAATAAAGTATCTACAATCGTGCTCTAAAAGAAATATGGAGAAATGTCAAATAAAAAACAAAATTGTGTTGTCTAACAAAAGCCTGTGTTTCAAAACCTGGAAGTGGTATCAGGTATCATAGGACTACATGGTATCACATATCTTAGGGATATAAGGTCATGTTAATAAGTAACTTTTGGGGTAGCAAACACAAGCTAACTAAATCCAAGGAACAACCTCCTTGTAATCTGTTAAATTCTGGTGAACATGGCAGAGAGTTTCTGCCTGATACACATAATATATTCCCAAGATTTTTATAATGTAACTTTCATTTTTACCTTAAGTTTTTGAGAAGGGGCCAGAGTAAGAAAATAATTTCACCCGTAGCCACTAAACCCAATACAATTTACCTTTTTTTCTGATGTAATTTGATCTTCAGAACCAGCTCCTAATGTTCTTCCAAGAAAATGTGTAATTCCAGAAAATTTCTTACGTAGCCACATATACTGGATACAATGGACTTCCAGACTTGCCCAGACTTTTCTGAAACTTTAGCTGAAACAAGGGTAGAGTGTCAAGTTTCCCTGCTCAACAAAAACAATTTTACCTACTCTCCAATTAAAGGATTTCCAGTAGGAAAAAAAAAATGACTACTCTTAAACAGGTTTCAAGCTCATGAGAGGCATAAAAGAAATAGACAAATCTATTATGAAAGACTTGAATGCCATTCATGTTTAAACCCTAAGGCATGTGAAAGATATGTGTAAATTAAAAACCATCACATACATTTATGTTGTAATTTGTTTTCCTCTATAGTGTTAAATTTCACTATGCAACTCTGGAATTGCAATTAATTAGGCAACATTTAAAGTATATACAATTTATGGAAGGGAGTTGTTTTGGACTTATGTCCTATACCAGGTCCCAACAGACCAAATTATAATAGAGTCACTCATACTAAGTGCTACATAACAAAAGTGAAATTTTAAGGAAGGTGGAAGATTTTAAACCAATTAGTTTCACTTAAGAACAGGTAAGTTACAGCAACTAATCAGAAAGGGCCCAGGTAACCTAAGCCAGCATATGTCCTCTCTGCTTTAAACCTTACAAGAAAAATGACCTGAAGTAACCTGACATTTACTAATCTACTTCTTTAGATTGTTCTATTCATTTGTTCCCATCTTATACAACCCATTGTTGTGTCATGCACAGTGGGAGCTCTTTTGTTTTGAGGCAGAGTCTCACTATGTCACCCAGCCATGAGTGCTGTGGCATGATCTCAGCTCAGTGCAATGTCCACCTCCTGAGTTCAAGTGATTCTTGTGCCTCAGCCTCCCAAGCAGCCGGGATTACAGACTTGCACCACGACACCTAGCTAATTTTTGTAATTTTAGTAGAGACAGGGTTTCACTATGTTGGCCAGGCTGTTATCAAACTCCTGACCTCATGGAATCTGCTGGCCTTGGCCTCCCAAAGTGCTGGGATTACAGGTGTGAGCCACCACACCTGGCCTGGAGCTTTTATTGTATTTTAGAGAATGGGTTGCTACCACTTCATAAATTGCAAATAAATGCCAATTAAGTCTTAAAATAAATTTGGCCTTTTTTTTGTTTATATGTGTTTTACAAAGTGTGCACGTTTTGTGCATGCATTTTTACTGTATATAAGTTGTATTATATTATCATTATTTATGTTAAAGTAATGCTAGCTGCCATCATAGATAATGTCCAAACTTTGGTAATGGAGCACAATAAAATTTCTTGTTGACAAAAAAAAAAAACTATGTGTTATAATTTTAATTTTTGATGGAAGAATCCCAATGAGAAAGCTTTCTGCAAAGGCATTGAAAAGGCTGGAAAAAGCAACTGCTATGTGACAAAGAAGTAAAAATTATTCTAATGTGAAAAACGCTGTATTCTGAAATTCTATTCTGTTTTATATATTGGGATAACTTCGTAACTTGAATATATTGAACAATTGAGTTATATTATCTAATCAAACTTTGAGCCTATCACAAAATTAGCCCCCTACTTCCACCCCAGGGAGACAATGCCACTTCTCTTAGTATAGCCCAACAGTCTAGGTGCTGGACTTACCTGGCAGGACTTGCAATCATGGAAATCAAGGCCATTGATGGTCGAGCTTCTGGAAGAAATGTGTCAACTGCAGAATCATGAGGTTCATAAATTGTGAAAGGGGAACTGTATTTCTCATAATGGGTTGCAGCCTGCAAATTGGTCATCTCAAAGGCTGGGAAGTATAGCTTCTGGAAAAACCTGAGCGAGAGAACATTGAGGGAGAGAATAATAAAATAATAATTTATGCTGAATGGATTGGCTAAGTGTATATATATTCAATGAGCTACAAGAAGAGTCATAAATATTTATGAAAGGAGAAACATGCACACGCACAGCTGAGCTTCATTCCTCTTCATTAAGAAAGTTTATTAAGAAAGTGAAGGAATAAAAGAATGGCTACTCCATAGACAAAGCAAACCTGAAGGTTACTGGTTGCCCATGTTTCTGGTTATTTCTTGATTATATTCTAAACTAGGGGTGGATTATTGATGGCTTCCTTTGTAGATCATATAGGGGAACTTCCTGATGTTTCCACGGCATCTAAACTGTGATGGCACTGGCGGGACTGTAGCAGTGAGGACACACACACAAAAAAAATGGTGGGCTGAGTGCCATGGCTCATTCCTGTAGTCCCAGCTACTCAGGAGGCTGAAATGAGAGCATAGCTTGAGCCCAGGAGTCAGAGGCTGCAGTGAGCTGTGATTGCACCACTACATTCAAGTCTAGGTGGCAGGTGAAAACCCTGTGTCACACACACACACACACACATCAGGATGGGAACAGCATGACATGGGGGTGAAGTTGTCAGCCCTCTGATGTTAAAAGGTGAAAGAGAACACACAAAAACACTCAGTGTGCATCCTCCATGACAGGATGGTCAGGTTTTAAAAAAGGATGCCTTGTGAAATTAGTAAGCTGTCATTACAAAATTGTAAAGAGGGAGAGAGGACTAGTGGTGACCTCCGATGACTGACTAAGGGCCAAAAAAGAAGTCCTGTCCTCTGTTTCTTGTTTCCAAAGCTGGTTCCAGTTTACTACTTAGGAAATAATTCTGGTTAAAGGTTAACAAGAAAAGGGCATACAGAGGCAAATCCAACCTCCTATCCAGCCAGGGGTGAGAACTGAGTTTTGAAGCCTGGAGTCCCCATGTCCAACAGGGGGTCCATTCAGTTAATTAGGGGGATTAGGATTTTACTTTTATTTCTCAGAAGAGATATTGAATTACTTGGATTTTAACCTCCTTTCTCCTTTCAGGTTCTACCATAGCCTCTCATTGTTACACAAAGAGGGTCCCCATCCAGACCCCAAGAGAGGGTTCTTGTATCTTGTGCAAGAAATAATTCAGTGTGATTCCAGAGTAAAGTGAAAGCAAGTTTATTAAGAAAGTGAAGAAATAAAAGAATGGCCACTCCATAGACAAAGCAGACCTGAAGGTTACTGGTTGCCCATTTTTATGGTTATTTCTTGATTACATTCTAAACAAGGGGTGGGTTACTGAGGGCTCCCCTTTTAGATCCTATAGGGGAACATACTGATGCTTCCATGGCATCTAAACTGTGATGGCACTGGTGGGAGTGTAGCAATGAGGGCAAGCACATGTCACTCTCATTGTCATCTTGGTTTTGGTGGGTTTTGGCCAGCTTCTTTACTGGAACCTGTTTTATCAGCAAGGTCCTTATGGCCTATATCTTGTGCCTATCTCCTATCTCATACAGTGACTTAGAATGTCTTAACCATATGGGAATGCAGCCTAGTAGGTCTCAGCCTCATTTTACCCAGCCTCTCTTCAAGATGGAGTTGTTCTGGTTCAAATGCCTCTGACACCATTGACTGAAATCAATTAAAGATACCTCTTGGCGATGGACCATGGAATTGCATGTGAAGAGAAATAAATGTGAGAATGGCTGTTAGATCAAAGAAAGAAAGGACCAACATGCAAAGACTCACAAGGATTCTCTACCAGACCAAACTTTGGTGCGGCCTCTTTGAACCCTCTTTTTCACCTGGCCTTGTTGTTGCTCCATGCCTGCTCTGTAGCCTGTTAGCTTAGTTTTAGCAATGAATACTGCAAAAACAGTTCATCAAGAATCTTCACTCCCCTACTCTTGATCTCCAATTAAGCTCCTCTTCCTGTACCCCTGATGCCTTGCCAAGTTCCTCTGAGTAAGTTTCCATCCAACCTCTCACTCTACCTGTTGGCTATTTTGATGTAATACCCCAAAATATGGCATTCTGATGTGCTGAAGTGATGAAGCTTCGAGGTCTTTCTGACCTTCCACACACACTGTGTCTCCCAAAGAAGCAGAAGTTCCTTTAGCTGCTAAGATCCAGTCCCACAAAGGAGAACAAATGTTTTTACTTCCACTCCAAATTATCTCATTGTCTATTGCAGAAAGGAAAACCAAGATGTGACCACACCCAAGCAGACCTTACTTGACAAGTATAATGACTGTCTCCAAGGATCATTCAAATTTCAAAAAGAAGTACCCTATCAATCATTTATTTCTCCACAATAGATTTCCTCTTCTCCTCTACCCATTATCTGTTTTAGTAGGATCCAAGTCCCCATTCTTTCTATAACCTCAAGATGGTGTAATAAGCTTCTAAACGTCATTGTGTGTTTTGGTCTTCATTCAAAAGGAATGAAGGAATATACACATTAAATAAATCTGGATGCCTTTCAGAAAATCTGCCTCATGTCAGTGATTTTTCAACAAACCTTTAAGGGACCAGGAGTCTTGCCCCCCACACTATCTGTCCCTTAATGCTAGTACATTCAGAATTGAGTTCTATTTCTATCCGCTACTGAAATAGTCTTGATCCCTCTTGCAACAACTTTGAGTAAAGGCTTCCTTGCCATTTTTAATAAGTGTGAAATATATATATATATTTGTGAGACAGAGTCTCACTCTGTCACCCAGGCTGGAGTGCAATGGCATGAGCTTGGCTCATTTCAACCTCTGCCTCCTGGGTTGAAGTGATTTTCCTGCTTCAGCCTACTGAGTAGCTGGGATTACAAGCATACCACCAAACCTGGCTAATTTTTGTATTTTTAGTACAGATGGGGTTTCACCACATTGGCCAGGCTGGTCTTGAACTTCTGACCCCAGGTGACTTACCCACCTCAGCCTCCAAAAGTGCTGGGATTATAGGTATGAGCCACCACACACAGCCAAATTAAAGTGATCTCATACTCAGTGTCCCCCAAGCCCTGTCAGATACAAACTCATATGCTCCCACAGGCTTTGGCACAATCTCACTGAAACAATTAATCAAATCATAGACTGTTGTACCCCAAAATTGTGAAATGCACACAAAACAAAAGCAACATGAGGGAGAGACTGCAGGGATAACAAGCAAATACACAGTCTTCAAATACCTGCATGAATACACACAGATTTTTTTAAATGCATATGTGATACCAAAAAAAATCCACTGATCATGACCATAATTTAAAGTTATTATAATTTTTAAAATCTTGATACTGACAGAGCAGGAGCATCACCATCCTATAGAAGCCCTTCATTCTAAAGTTCACCTTAATAAAAAATCTCTTAAATCTAAAGGATATCAGGCTAATGGCTAAGGTCAGCACAACCATAAACTACAAACAACATCTCCAACCAGAAACGTTCCAAATTCTTCCCCGACCAGAAACATGCTAGCCCTGAGATAAACCCCATTCTGGCTGGGAAGATGTCTGCCCCAAGAGAACCCCACTCTGGACCGGATAGATGTCTGTCCTTCCTCCAAGAGAAACTCCAACCCTGCCATAAACTCCTCCCCATACATTCCAAGCTTATGATAAGCCCCCTTGCCCCAAAACCAATATATGCTCTTAGTCTGTAAGAAAGTGCTACTGATGGAGATCAGCCAGGAGCCCCTCTCAGGTTTTATCTGAAGAAAACCTGCCTTTAACTGCCAAACCATGTTTCATATTTTTTTCCTCTTTCTTTAACTTTTACATTTGGTGCTGAAATCCAGCTGTGTATTAGGGGCAGAAGCTCTCCTGCAACCCAGGAAGCAGTCGGCAAAAGCAGCTCCTCCTGAGTTAATTGCTACCCTGTCTTTTCTCTCACTTCACTTTCTCTCTCTCTCTCTCTCCTCTCTCCTCACTCTCTTTCCTCTCTCCTCTCTCTCTTTTCTCTCTCCCTCTCCCTCTCCCTCCCTCTCTCCCCCTCCCCTCATGCAGCTTCAGCTGAAGAGGAGCTTTGCTGATTCCCTCCAGAACATCCAACAACATACACTAATCCAGATCCAGCTGGTAAGATCTGCCCTCCCCTGACTTTCCTGTGATATCCAGGAAAAGTAAGTTCTGCCATCTGGTCCTCAGTGAACAAGGCGGACTAAACCAGAGGAAATCTTGGGGACGTCCAGTTTCTTCTCAGCTGGACTGTCCTCTTAGAAAGAGGATTCTGGGTCTCTGTCTTTTCTCTGTAACTGCATAGAAAAAAAGCAAGACACTTTTGGCTTTTTCTCACCAGTCCATATGGGTGCCAAACAATCCCACATTCCTACATCCTCTCCACTTTGCTGTCTCCTTCACAACCTTGCCAAACTTGGCTTAAGCATTTAGTCTTATACTATAATATGGCTTGACCCCAATACACAGTGGATAATGGCAGCTGATAAACCAAAATTGGTGCCTTTAACTTGCAAATTCTCAGGGACCTTTACCAGGGATGACAAATGACAAGAGTTTCTCTACATTCAGGTTTTCTTCTACTTCTACCTTAAATCCTACCCCTCCCTGTGTCAAGCTTGCAACTCTCATAAAGTCTTTCTGCTTAATAAAAATGTGCCCTGGGCCTCTCCTTCCTCCAAAATTCCTTTTGACCCTGCAGATGAACCCACTCTGTATTATTATCCCCCTGCATCTGCTCCTCATCTGTCTGAACCCTCTGCCATGGTGGCCCTTCCTGCCTCCAAGCCTTCAGCCCCAAACTCCACTCCTCCTCCTTCTCCACCTGTTACCCATTCAAAAACCACCTCTGCCATTCTCTCTCTGGGAGTTAAAGGCAATACTTGCATTCGTGTCCATTTCTCCACATCTGAGTTGCTGCAGATCAAAGCTGTAAGTATATTCAAATGGCCTTTATATTTTCTCTTCATCAATCTTGTTTTTCTGGAAAAGGTTTTTTCCCAATTAACTAAATTACTTCTCCCCACTCTATCTTGTCACTCTTGGAGCATGTATAAAAAACCCTAAAATGACTTCTGGTGGCCTGGGGTCCTTGGAAAAACAGAAAAGGCGCCACAAATCCTATTTTAAGAAAAAAAAATCTGTTTTTCTTATGGAACTCCATGAATTCAACGTAAATAAGTACCCCTCAAAATCTGTCTTTGTCTTTTAGCTATACTTGTTTATTAGGTCCTGGAAGCCATTTTCATAGCCCTGTTCTTAAAGGGCCTCACCAGAATTCCACTATTCTAATTGGGAAATTAGCAGAAAAAAAAATCTTATATCCACTGAATCTTCTTTTGGTTGTCCATGTGGCTATGTATGTGTTATCTGTGCAATATCTATTAAAAGAGCTCTAATTAATTGGCCTAAGAAAAATAAGCACTTAAATATTTTTAAGGAAAAGGTAAAAGCTGTGGGACCTTTCAGTTCCCATGACTTTAATCTTTAAAACGTACTGTTACAGTAAAGTTAGAAGTGTCTTAAAAGTTGCCAGCATCTATTCTTTTTTGCATTTGTTAATCAGGCAAATTCATAATTATGGCTGCCAAATACAATAACATGTCAAAATTTGACAGAGAGGCTACAAAACTATAACTCAGCCCAACCAAATAATCTTTGCTTGTATAATTTTTAACAAGTAAAACATTAATATTGTTTTAATGAAGATAGCTACATCTTAAACTATATAGTAAAATACCTTAACTTCTAATCTTGTGGCCTTAGTCAGTCTAGTCCACAAATGTGAAGGAAGTTTGTTTTGGAAAAGAGCTTTTATCATCTTGAGCATTAAAGAAAACAGAATTTGTATAAAAAAGAATCTTATATGGTAAATTCTTGTCCTAAAGCAAGTTAACTTGTTGTTTAAAGAAAAGTGTGTTTACAACAAGTCAGAAAGTTGAGGCATGTCAGAGATTGTCTGTGAAACTTGTAAATAAGTTTATAAAACAGAATTTATGCCAAAAATGTTGTACAATTTAAAAATTAATAGGTCTCCTGAATGCTTTATAAAATGTCATTATATCACTTAGCTGTACAACTTGTCTGCATTGAAGCAAGGTAAAACTTAGGACACATTAAATGCTGGGATAAGCCAGACTTTATCTGCACTTCTGTCTAGGTCCTAGGCTCTACAGCTAGAACATAATTAGATCCCAAACTTATCAATGTTATTAACAAAGGTAAATGTTGCTAAAAGTTAACAGCATAACATGCATTTAAAACTATTGAACAGACAATTTATAAGCAAGGTGTGTAAGGAAAGTAAAACACACTTTTGGTAAAAAAATTGTAGGGAAGCATAAGAATGTGGATTGTTACTTACTTTAAAAGGTTAAAGAATTGTTTTGAAGGTTTAAGCAATTTTGGAACATTAATTGTAAAGAAAATTCTGTGTGTAAACATATTGGCTAAAGTTAAAGGGGTATCATCCAGTTTTTCTGTAAATTGAGCATTAAAAGCACAACAGGTTTTTCTAACCTGTTCTTTAACAAAATTATAAAGGGTTAAAAATAGTCTATAAAAATCTTACTTCATGGTCAGACATTAATATTGGGTAAATGCATATAAAGGTTTTATTAGAAATTGAGTTTAACATTAATAGCACACTAATATAAAGGTAAAATCTGGCTTATTTGGTATAAAATCACACAGGAAACATTGTAGAATATAAAATGATGTTTGGCTTTCTTTGGGCTATTTTTGTATAAATACGTTTTGGTATGTGTCCCAAACTTATGGAGACTCCTATAATTCTGATACATCTTACTGGGAATTATCAGTATTAATTATAATTGTTATGTTAAAATTATTGTGTGCCACAGAGGTAGCAGATATCCTTGTCACTTGTGTCTTTAACTATGGCTATCCTACAACTTTTTGTTATCCATAAACAATTGTTGTCTTGTTTTGGTACTCTTTAAAAGGTGGTTTAATAGTTAGCTGTGAAGTTCTAACAGGTGCTCTTCAATGCAGGTTTCTGATAATTTTGGAGAATGTAACATCAGAATAGAAGAAAAACTTTCAGGACTTTGAAGAGCTAAAATGTTAATTAATATCAAGCAGGACAGGAATTAACTGCATGAATTTTACTAATGGGAGACTGAAGTAATCTTTTTAATGCTTTGCTAATCCTTTATTTTGCTTTCCAAAGTCAAAAAAAATTTTTTGGGCTATTAATAGCTTTTAACAATTTAGTATATTCCCATAAACAAAATTTGGAGCAACTTTTTCTCTCTACCTGATTTTCTCTTGAATTTGGAGACTATCTGTGAGTATTTTTAAGTTATGGTAATACAGTTATTTGCATACATGCAATATGGATCTGTTTTCATTTGCAACGGGACACAATTGGAGAAACTGGTTATTGTACCAAGACTTTGACTGAAATTGTGTGCTTTCCTTAAAGGCATCAAACTTGGCTTTATGAAGCTAATAAAGCCTTTGGAAAACTTGCCTAATATTTCGTGTACACAGTCCCTGTACAGGGTTTCTGATTTGTGGGAAATAAAGAATGTCACTTTCTAGCAGGCCGGGAACCTCAAGTTATCTTGGGACCTCAAGAGGAGAGGAATTCACCCAACTCATAGGTATTTGATGGTACAAATCCATGTCTGGGCTTGGCTTTAAAAAGTTCTTATCTCAGATCCCTTCTACGGAACAAAGTTCCATCAAAGCCAATATGAAGGGCCTATATAACAAATAATTATTCTTGCTGCACTATATGCAAATAAGCCAAGTATAATAAACCAAATCAGTCTGACAATGATTTGTCTTTTAATAAAAATGGGAAACTGGAGAGAGAAAATTATGTTTCAGAAACTATAGCCACACCTGTTGTTAAACCCTAGTATTGCCTAATATTTCTCAGTTTCTATTATATTCTATCATTTAAATTAAATTCTATTTTTTTTTCTGGCTACAAGTTTCCAAAATAAACTGTGCTTTTTTTTAAAGCCCTATGAACTGAAAATTAGATGTTTCAGCAGGTGCTGCCTCTAAGCCCTTCGAGTATCACAAGAGGAAATGTATTCACTACTGGTGCTGATAACTAATAACTGAGGATGCCCAGAATCCTTCGCCCCCTCATCTAGTGAGTCAATGGAACCCAGTGTAATTAAGACAATATCTGTTACAGGAGTAAACTCCTGAATACATCACGCTTGAGTCAAAGCCTGGAAAGCTGTTGAAGCAACCTCTGGCAGCCCAAAGGAATGTCCTAAATATCAATGTAAATAAGCAGAAAATCATAAAAAAAAAAAGTAACTGAGAACTACTCATCTTACTCAGTCCTACCCCTTCCTCACCAACACTTTTTGTCATTTCTACTTCTATTTTTAAGCCAGATATTAAAACTTTTTCATGAAAATTATTTACTACACCACCGTTGTGGGAAGTGCTTTACTCACTCTACTGTTTGCAGTAGGACTATATATATATATATTGTAGCACCCTCAGGATGGAATATCATACAGAAAATCTCAATTACTGTAGCATTTTGTTTAATTATTTTTTTCACAGCAAGAATAATGGTTACTAACAGAAAATAACACATGAGCCTTTCTAAACATGCACCTCTGCCTTTCATTTTGTAAGGAATGTTGTTTCTGTATCAACATATTGGGCCTAGTAGAAAACTTAAAGAAAAGGCTTAAAAGCTAAGGGAGTGCCAAAACAACCAAATGAATTCTTGGTTTGGGAACAAAATCATAGCATGCATCATCTCTTTCCTGGGTCTTCTCCTAATAATATGCCTAGGCCTAACATTCTTACCCTGCCTATTTAACCTTTTTCAAATATTTTTAACTAACAGGATCATGGCCCTTTCATAGACAACCATCCAAAAATATCTGCAGATGGCATTGCTCCTACAGTCAACCAGAGACTGGGGGACTCTCTGCTCCTCATCAGCAGGAAGTTGCCAGTAAGAACACATCATCCTTTTTATAACCATAGGGTCTGGGTTGACAGAGCAGGAGCATCACCATCTTAGACAAGCCCCTCATTCTGAAGTTCACTTTAATAAAAAAACACCTATATTCAAAAGGCATCAGCCTAATGGCTATGGTCAGCATGACCAGGAACCACAAATAAGATCAAACCAGAAACATTCCGAACTCCTCCTTGTCCAGAGACATGCTAGACCCAAGAGAAACCTGGTTCTGGGCTGGAAAGATGTCTGCCCCAGGATAACCTCCCTGCCTCTCAGAGAGATTCCAACCTTGCCATAATCTTCTCCCCACACGTAAACATTCCAAACTTGTGACAAGCCCTGTCACCTTAAAACCAATATATACTCTTAGTCTGTAAGAGAAAGCACTCCTGGCTAAAATCAGCCATTTCTCCTGGCTAAAATCAGCCAGGAGCCCTTCTCAGCTTTTATCTAAAGAAAACTTGACTTTAACTGCCAATCGGTATTTCATGTTTCTTCCCTCTTTAACTCTTAACAGATACATCATGGTGCATATCCATTTAGAGTGTTAAACTGGATGTAACAAAAGTTGTATTCAAGAAACCCAGTTTGTCATGGGAAGCTTCAAATAGATTTTAATTTGGACATACAGGAATCCAGCGTTTAACTTTTTTCTTACTCTTGTACATTTATTTTATTATTGGTGTTTTCTGTTATAAAAGTAACTATTGTTGGTAAATTTATATCGATATCCCTACCATTTTCCTTTAATGTGCTATACAATATTATTTTTTATACAGGTGAGCATGGGTAATTGTGTTAAGTTGTTTTATTGCTGCTGTAAGATGTTATCACAAGCCTGATGACTTAAAAAAACACAAATCTGTTTCTCTGTGGACATACAAGCCAGAAGTCAGAAATAAGCCTTACTGGGCTAACATCACAGTGTCCACATAGCTTCAAGAGGCTCTAGGGTATAACTCCTTTTCTTCTGTTGTTGAGTGTGCGTGTGTGTGTGTGTGCATGTGGGTGTGTGTTTTAACCATGTGGAAATACAATCTCAACAAGGGTACTGTAGAATAGGTTGTACTGAGTAATAGAAAAATTAATAATCTTACTAATTGAGCTGAGGAATTGTCCCAAAACATACAAACATACACGTTGTGTGTATATGTGTGTATTTTTTAAGGGCAAGAAAGAAAGAAGAAAGAAAGAGAGAAAGAAAGAAAGAAAGAAAGAAAGAAAGAAAGAAAGAAAGAAAGAAAGAAAGAAAGAGAAAGGAGAGAGAGAAAGAAAGAGAGAGAGAAAGAAAGAAAGAGAGAGAGGAAGAAAGAAAGAGAGAGAAAGAAAGAAAGAGAGAGAAAGAAAGAAAGAAAAAGAAAGAAAGAAAGAAAAAGAAAAAGAAAGAAAAGAAAGAAGGAGAAAGATAGTATCAAAGGAAATAATAGTTTATCATTTATCATAACTAGGGAAAGACAGGTGTTCTACCAAGACTGCTCACTTGGAACTGTGCAAATTAAAAAAAAAAAATCAAAGAAAGAAGCAAATCAACCCAGTTGGGCATAATTTTGTGAACCTTATTAAACCAGTACTAAAGAATAAAATCCTTAAGCTTCCAGAGCAAATACCATACACAAACACACACACACACAAACACCGCTTATACTACATTCAGGTGAACAATAATCCCATTGAGATTAGTTATTTCTTATATATTTTACTGAAAATAACTTTCCTATTACTACTGTAAACAGTAATCTCTCTACCTTGCCATAAATAGACATCAACAAAATATATACTATATTCTTTATTTTAAAAAATATTTTATCAAGTATCTGTAAGATCAAGGAAATATATATTGGTATGACAAATCCTGTGATTAAGAGTATGTCTCATCACAGTCACTGTCTGATATGTTTTGGCTGTGTCCCCACCAAAATCTCATCTTGAATTGAAGCTCCCACAATTCCCACATGTCATGGGAGGGACCCAATGGGAGGTAACTGAATCATGGGATTGGGTCTTTCCCATGACATTCTCAAATAATGAATAAGTCTCATGAGATCTGATGGTTTTATAAAGGGGAGTTCCTGTACATAAATTATCTTCCCTGCTACCATATAAGACATGCCTTTCCTTCTCCTTTGCTGTCTGTCATGATTGTGAGGCCTCCCCAGCCATGCTGAACTGTGAGTCCATTAAATTTCTTTCCTTTACAAATTACCCAGTCTCAAGTGTGTCTTTATTAGCAGCATGAGAACAGACTAATACACTGTCATAGGCAGAAAAGTGGTCCCCAAAGATGTCGACATCATTTTCTCAGGAAACTGTGTATATGTTATGTTCCATGACTAAGGGAATTATGGTTGCAGATGGAAGTTGATAGGCTAAACTTAAAATAAAGAGGTTATCCTGCATTATCCAAGTGGGTTATACATGATCCTTAAAATTGAAAGAAGGCATAAGAGGAAGAAAACAGCCAGATGTTGCTGCCTTTGAAGACATTAGAAGGGACCATGAAAAGAGGAATAGCAGCAGCTTCTAGAAGCTGAAATATGCAAGGAGACAAAGTCTCCCGTATGGAGAGAACCTAGCTATTGAAACACCTTGGTTTCAGCCCAGCAACATTCATTGAGGACTCTGGACTTTCAAAACTGTAAGATAATAAATTTTTGTTGTTATAAGACTTCAAGTTTGTGGCAATTTGTTAGAGCAGCCAGAGCAAACTACTTCCAGCCCACACACATCATGCCACAGAATTATGTACCTATCATTCCCTCCATTTATACACAATTTTGCTCCATAGACTTATATTCATTGTATATTCTTTAGTGGTTTTAACTCCACATGCTTGGGATCACATTGGGTACCCTCCTGTGGAACATGATTTTCTCCATAAGCTTTATCTGTCTGTGAGACACACAGAGACTTAGATATAGTTACGTCATTTCTCTTTAAGTCATCACTATATCATAAGTTTGTTAGCTTGTTTTTAGGAGGACAGTATATCCTACAGATGGTACATCTTCCATAGATGCCGTATTTAGACACAGTTTAGTTACTGTTAATCTCTCACCTGCTAACAGCTGCATTGAAACTGCCTTTGCAAAAACTATTATCAGTGAGAAAATTTTAACATTAAGCTAAGCTAACTCAACCCCCATCTTGCCTTTCCCTTAATTATTCCTAGGCTATTGGGACATGATGACTTTGGAAGACATTTAGGCTACAATTTTGTTTTGTTTTGCTTGAGACAGAGTCTTGCTCTGTCACTTGGCTGGAGTGCAGTGGTGCAATATTGACTTACTGCAAACTCCACCGCCTGGGTTCAAGTGATTCTTGTGCCTCAGCCCCCTGAGCAGCTGGGACTACAGGCATGCACCGTCAAGCCCAGCTAATTTTTGTATTTTTAGTAGATATGAGATTTCACCATGTTGGGCATAATTGTCTCGATGTCTTGACCTCATGATCGGCCTGCCTCCGTCTCCCTGAGTGCTGGGATTACAGGAGTGAGCCACAGCACCCAGACTAGGCTACAATTTAAATGATAATAGGTCTTGCCCCAAACACACTTTTGTAATGCTGATGGGAGGCCATCAGCCTGGGAAGAGGGGAGAAGATTGACACCTGCAGACATAAAGGATTGTCAGCTGTTATTTCACAGGTCATAAGATATGCAACTTCTCCAATTACTCCTGCAAATAAAACAGTACTGCAGATTGGCCTTTTAAGATATCTTTCTCGGTTTTTTGCATGCTAGACACTCATAACTCCATATGGATCAACAACCCCACTTCTGAGGTCCCACCCAGAGGTAATTTGGTCCAGCAGGAGGACAGCCTCAATGCCCTATGATTTCATCTCCACCCCATCCAATCAGCAGCAGGCACATGTTACCTGGCCACCCCCACTTATTCCCCCAAACTGCCTTTGAAAAACACCTAACTTAGGTGCTTTGAATGTGATGATTTGCATAGAACTCCACATCTCACGTGGCATGGCCAGCCTCATGTTTATTAAACTCTTTCTCAACTACAAAGACATGACCTTTCTTTATGCAGTGGGCTGGAAGAACTTCTCAGATGGTTACGAGGTGAGTTCTACCCATTTTAATGCTCTCATCAACAATGTCGATAAAAATATAATCCTACATGTATCTTTAGGAAATATAGCCAGAAGGCAAAAGAATGAGTTTATGATGTATATTTTACTTTTCAGATAATTCCAAATTGTTCTACAAAGATAATACAATAAAACACACTCTGATTCATAGTATGTGAGTTGATGTTGTCCTCTAGGTAGACTTCATACCTGTTGTCAGATTGCTAAATACGTGCAATCTCACAGGTTTAAAATGGTAAGGTTTTAAACTTTAGTTTTATTTTTCAAGGTACAGATGAGATTGATTATATTTTGTTTGTTGGCCATAAATATTTTATTGTCTTCAATATAGTATTGAAACTCAAATAATATTTTATGGTTTTTTAAAATTGAGTTTTGAAGAATATAATGTATTTCACATATTTATCTTCTGATTTTTATGTTTAGGTTAATAAGCTATTTATACCCCAAATAGAAATACATTGGAAAGTGACAGGATACACTAGTATTTCTCAGCAATCTGGGACATATAGAAGCCTAAATTTTTATGCATATAACAACTGTTAAGAGCATTTAAAGTTTTAATGTGAAAACTTAATCATTGTCTTTACTTATTTTATATTTATTTTTATTCTTTATTTAATAAATATTTGGCTGGGTACAGTGGCTCATGTCTGTAGTCCCAGCTATGGGGAGGCTGAGATGGGAGGCTCACTTGAGCCCAAGAGGTGGAGGCTGCAGGGAGTCATGACTGTGCTACTGTACTCCACTCTGGGCAACACAGCCAGACCCTGTGTCTTAAAAAAAAAATTATATATATATATATGTAAATTCATTTAATTTGATGTCATCAATATATTCTACATTCTTTTTTTAATATTTTAAGGTTTTATTTTACACAAGATATATCTTTTTACTTGCTTTTCTTTTTCTCCCAAAAGCAACATCTAGTCCATTGCAGATGATATGAAAATACTTACTTCATGTCAATTTACAATGGCCCAATATTATTTTTTCCAAAGAGTATAACTGCTCATATCATTGTATCATTATACCAGCAAATAAATGGGAAGGCACAAGATCAATTATTAAGATCTCTCTGGAAGTGAATTTTTAAGGTGTGAATTTTTTTTTTCCCTAGTATCCTGGCACTATTTGATAAAAAAATCTTTCTTTTATCCACTGTTTTGTAATTGCATGTCTCTCACATGTTTCCTAGTTCTAGTAATAATCACTCTTATTTAACCCATCAATATTTAATCCCTCTGTATTCACCTTACCGTCTTCATTACTACAACTTCTGGAATCCTTGGCACACTTCTGGATAAGTTCTGATCTTTGCATTCATCTTCAGAAGACTGTTTTCTGTTCCTGTTTCAGCTAAACACAATAGATCCACTTTAATCCTAAAGTGATTGCAATGGTGTATAAATTCAGTGGACAAATGAAGGAGTAGGCTTTATGCTGACTTTCTAGGTGAGATTACCAGAAAAATTTCTATGATCACTAAAATGTATATATATTTTTTCCTTTGCTATGATTTTAAAAAGCTAAAATTCTGAGAGGCATTGTCCTCTAGTTGACATAGACAGACCCAGTATGTCTCAGTTCATTCAGGCTGCTATAACAAAAACACCATAAACTGCATGGTTTATAACCAACAGACATTTATTGCTTACAGTTCTGATGGGCAGCAGTTGAAGATTAAGGCATAGCAAATTCACTGTCTGGTGAGGACCCACTTTCTAGTTCGTACCTGATGCCTTCTTACTGTGTCCTCACATGATGGAAGGGACAAGGGAAACCTTGGGGATGTTTTTTAATAAGGCACTAATCCCATTCACAAGGGCTTCACTCTCATGATGTCATTACCTCCTAAATTTCCCACCTCCTGATACTTTGAAGATTAGGTTTCAACATACAAATCTAGGGGGAAACAAATGCTAAAATCCATATGCAGATTCAAATGCATGCCATACTCCACTTCCTGTTCTGCCACTCAGTAGCTACAAACAGAATTATTATAGTAATATGTACTATAATTGTTGCAGAAAAACTGAACTCACTCCTAACCATGCTAGCCTGCAGAGGCAAAAATTCCAAATGCAATTGTTTTCCTACAGCTTCATATGTTACAAGGATTTGTCTGCTTAGTGGAAACCAGATCATGTTTGGCCTCAAGTTGTAAATACAGCAACATGTAGATTTTAGAATTTTAAATAATGCAACAAAATCTATGCAGTGTTAGAAGGTGCTAGTCTTTATTAAGTGAGATAATTTGTTCTGTACTTTCCACAGGGAAATCTGTGGGGAATTTGATAGCACATATGTGTGATTTAAAATGACATTAAAGAGGTAGGATTTTCTTAAACATGACTAATTCATATGCTACACAATATAGAATCTTATTTTTCTCCTCAGGTTTTTGTATGGGCCCTCTGTGACCTAGGTTGGATTGTAGTGTTGCAATCACAGTTCACTGTAGCCTCCAAATCCTGGGCTCAAGTAATCTTCCCATCTCAGCCTCCCAAGTAGCTGGAACTATAGGCATGCATCACTATGTGCACCTAATTTCTTTTAAAAAAATATTTGTTTATTTGTTTGTTTGGTTGGTTTTTTTGTAGAGATGAAGTCTTGCAATTTTGCTTAGGTTGGCTCAAACTCTTGGCCTCAAGTGATCCTCCCACCTCACTTCCTGAAGTGCTAAGATTACAGGCATAAACCGCCATGCCCAGCCCTCAAATTGTTCTTTCATTTGTTAGCTGTACTTTATAGGCACACACATGCATATCTTCATATGCACACGTACATGCTTGATACCCAAGCACATATACATGTACATTATAAATACTATGTTTCTATTTTACCTATATACATATACAGCTTCATACAAATACTAATATAGTTAGCAATATATTTAGTTTTAGTATAAGTTATATCTTTTTACAGTGTTAATATAAATTGTATCTTTTGAAAATCACACGTTGTTGCTGTTATAGAATACTCTCTATTTTTAAGATTCAACTATTCCAAGTGTATAAAATCTGTGTTGATAAGCTGCAAGTGTATGTCTCCAACAGTAAAATGCCTGTAAAATCCAACCATAAAATTTTTACAGTAAAAAACAGTAAAAATTTGCAGAAGGTGAGAATAATATCTTAAAAATATATTTTTCCCTGACGTGGGCGGTGAATGTAGGATAGAATCTTTTGTCACAGCGTTGCCAGGAAATTGACAGTTGGACAGTGGTCACTCAGTGAAAAGTAAAGTGACTGGAGATAGAAGCTCAGCCTTCCTTTGGTTTTGTAAAGTACAACAAGTTGTATTAAAAAGCATGAAGACTAAACTTGGAAACCAGTCAGGGGTGTTTTGCTTCCCTCATAGTGCTCACATTCCAAGTTCATCTTCAGCTAGGCTACACACGATTAAATATAAGAGCACCAAGAAACTAAGACAATTTTGTATTCCCATGTAACTGAGTAATTTGGATTAGCAGCTCTTAAAATTATTTTGTTCTGAGGATTACTTTTATTAATGTTCTCAAGGCAAGTTTATTATGTTATTCCTTGTCTTTGGTACAAAACTGATAAAAAGTAAGCTTGACTTAAGTGGAGAAGAACAATAGTGATCCCTTGGTTAGGGAAGAAAATAAAAAAATCAAGCACTTCAATTATTTCATGGATATTAGTTATTTTAGGACGTATAGATGTTGAAAACTACTTATTTAGGCTTACATTTTATGTTTAGAAATGCAAGAACAGATTGTTTCATTTCATTCTGTTTGTATTGCATTTGATTGAGAATTGATGTGTTTTGCCGAAGAAGGTTTTTGTTTATTTCGTTACTTGCCTACTTAAAATTTTCAACTTTCCTAAATAATCCATAGGATTATTCCATAGGATTATTCTCCTTAGGTGCCTAATCTTTATCCAAAAGATATATATATATATATATTATATATATACACATTTACAACTGTAAATAAAGACACATGCACACATATGTTTATCAGGGCAGTGTTCATAAAAGCAAAGACTTGGAACCAACCTAAGTGCCCGTCAATGATACACTGGAAAAAGAAAATGTGGCAGAAATACACCATGGAAAACTATGCAGCCACAAAAAAGATGATTTCATGTCCTTTGCAGGGACATGGATGAAGCTGGAAACCATCATTCTCAGAAAACTAACACAAGGACAGAAAACCAAGCACTGTATGTTCTCACTAATAGGTGTTGAACAATGAGAACACATGGACATGGAGAGGAGAACACCACACACTGGGGACTGTGGGGGCGGGAGTAGGGGAGGGATAACTTAGGAGAAATACCTAATGTAGATGATGGGTTGATGCATGCAGCAAACCACCACGGCACATGTATACCTAGGTAACAAACCTGCAACTTCTGTTCACGTATCCCAGAACTTAAAGTATAATAATTATTTTTTTAATTTACAGTTGTATACCCAATATTAATCCACTGATGTTGATCTTTGTTTCTGCAGTTGATTTTGAAGCATGTGAACAGCCTTAGTATTTTTGATCATTTCTTCTGGAACTTTCTCTCATTAAGAAAATTAGACTGTTTTCTTCTTTCTGTTCGTTTACAATGGCCTAAAAAAGTATAACCAGAAAATAGTTTCTAATATAGATATAATTGTAACTTAATAATTTAAATTAGAACACTATTTTACATTCAGAGTATAGGATTTCTGTTGTAAACAAAAAATATATTTTGCAGAGTTAATTTCTTAGTAGTTATTATAAAAGACTTAACAATGTAACTTAACAATTTAATGTTTTTAAATTTTAAACATATATACTCCTATTTTAACTGACTTTGTTACCACTGTAGTCTCTGAGAAGCATTCTCTTCGAGAGACCAATAAGAGAGCCTTAGATTTTTCAAATGAAAAAAAAATAAATAAAACACCAACAATGAAAAAACAAAAACAAAAGACATAAAACTATCAATTCCAAAGCAAGAAAAGAGAAGAGGAAATATTACCATTGTTGAATAATGCCCATTATGTTCCATGCTGCATCTCCTCATATAAACCTTAGCTGGAAATTTCTTATCTAAATTTCTAGCTATGTTATTGAGAAACAGGCAGAAATGCACCATGTTGTAGTAATTTATTACTGTTTCTTCTACGTGTTTGTGAGTTCAACCTTTTGAAATGATGCATGGCCTTTCTACAAAGAGACTGTTCTTACTGATGTTGATTTAATTACATGGACAAACTTTAACTGCTGAAAGATAGTACTCCAGCCATTTGATGCAAACATAGATGCCTCTCTTATTGTTTATTATAAAATATCCCATTAAACTTCAAAGCTGACAGAATTAATTTTACCTCTTACTGTTTTCTTGATGTAATGCTAGAACTTTAAGCACTTCTTCACCTTCCTCCTCCTCCTCTTATTCCTCCTCTCCCTTCCCCTTCCTCCTTTATTTTCTTCCGCCTTTATGTTCTTCCTCCTCTTTCTCTGTAAAAAAGTACACTATCAACAGTAAGAAATTTATTTCTTTTTTTTTCTTTAGACGAATACTTTGCTTATTCCCTTGGAACAAATTAAGATAATTTCCCATACTTTAAATATTTTTTATCAAAGGGAAAATAAATGTATAAGAGGATGATAGAAAATACCTATCCAGAAAGTTAGAAAAAAAATAAGATATGTGTTGGCCGGGCTCAGTGGCTCACTCCTGTAATCCCAGCACTTTGGGAGGCCAAGGCAGGCAGATCACGAGGTCAGGAGATCAGGACCATCCTGGCTAATATGGTGAAACCCCATCTCCACTAAAAATACAAAAATTTAGCCAGTTGTGGTGGCAGATGCCTGTAGTCCCAGCTACCCACGAGGCTGAGGCAGGAGAATGGTGTGAACCCGGGAGGTGGAGCTTGCAGTGAGCTGAGAAGGCGCCGCTGCACTCCAGCCTGGGCGAAGGGTGAGACTCAGCCTCAAAAAAAAAAAATAAAATAAAAATAAAGAAAGAAATAAGATATGTGTTTAAGAGGGCCAGTTTTTATATTAATTGATTATTATATGACTATTCATCATTACTGTTTAAAAACTTGAAGATTATAAATTCAATGAGCCAGGATGACTCTTATGATGATTGTAGTTATTTTAAATGCCTCTGTATTTAGAGTTTGAACAGCATAAATCCAGGTTTTAAATACAAGCTTCCCAGCCATCAGTCACAGGTAATGATTTCAAAGGCCACAGAGTTTAAGCGACTACTGGAGTTCAGGTACTAAAAAATACCTTCACCCTGACATTTATCATTCTAAGGTTCTACAATTCACTCTTTAGAACATATAACTTCAACGAAATAACCATGGTTTCCAATGCAGAAGAAGAGGATAAGAAAATAGGGAATCTCATCTAACTTCTACTTAGTCTCTTTTGACTTCAGAAGTGTGTTTCATTCAATATCCACAGTGTAGTTGACCCTTGAGCAACTTGAAGATTATACTGATCCCCTCATTATAAAAATACAGCTGGGATGGTGAAACCGTGTCTCTACTAAAAATACAAAAGAAAAGTAGCCGAGCGTGGTGTCGGGCGCGTATAGTCCCAGCTACTAGGAAGGCTGAGATGGAAGAATGACGTGAACCCGGGAAGTGGAGCTTGCAGTGAGCTGAGATCCTGCCACTGCAGTCTGGCTTGGGCCACTCAGCGACACTCCGTGTAAAAAAAAAAAAAAAAAAAAAAGTAAGCTAGAGAAAAGAAATGCAATTAAGAAAATCCTGGCTGGGCACGGTGGCTTACGAAAACCTGTAATCGAGCACTTTGAGAGGCACATGCGGCCGAATCACGAGGTCAGGAGTTCGAGACCACCCTGGCTAACACGGTGAAGCCCCATCTCCACTAAAAATACAAAAAATTAGGCAGGTGGTGTGGCACACACCTGTAGTTCCAGCTACTTGGGAGGCTGAGGCAGGAGAATCCTTTGAACCCAGGAGGCAGAGGTTGCAGAGACCCAAGATAGCGCCATTGCACTCCAGCCTGGCGACAGAGAAAGACATCGTCTCAAAAAAAAAAAATAAAAACAAAACAAAACAAAACAAAAACCATAATCCTAAAGAAGACAAGATATATTTACTATTCATCAAGTGGAATAGATCATCATAAATGTCTTCATCCTTGTCATCTTCACATTAAGGAGGCAGACGAGATAGAGGAGGAGGAGGGGTTGGCCTTGTTGTCTCAGGGATGGCAGAGGTGGAAGAAAATCCTTATTTAAGTGAACCTAAACCTTTCAAACTTGTGTTATTCAAGGGTGAACTATATATAAGATGATTAGATAAGAGGATGATTATTTCTTTCTGGAAGTTTTCCTTGCAGATCTGCTCAGCAAAATCTCTACATTTCTTAAAAACTTTGGTTATTTTAGGAATAATTCTCTGTGTGTGTGTGTCGGGGGGGTGGTGGTGTTTGAAAGAGAGAGAGAGAAAAAAAGGTAGACCAAGATCTGTTGAGCTTATTGCCAAAATATGTATGTGTAATATATATATATAGCAAAGTTGAACAGCGTGGTCAACAGGACCTGGCAGTTCTTATGTCTTCCCTTCAGAGACATCATATGAGTTTGAAGAGTTCTGTTTTTATACACGGCGTACATAAAGGGAAGACAAGAAGTGAGAGATCCTTCGCCAAGGTATATTTTCCTCATATGCATAAATTGGTTACTTGCCTGCCTGTCAATGCTGCAGAGAAATTTTTTAATGATATTTCTAAAAACAGGGAGTAGTTGCTGAGGAGACAGGGTCATGATTGAAATGGAAAAACACCGAGTAATTCATATGCAGACTTTTTTCCAGATGGAAGCTACAGTTTAGACGTAATTTGCTCATTCCTGGGTGTTTAGGCTATTGGATATCCTTACAAAGTATAATGAGATAAACGTAAACAAGAGTAAAATGTTCATCTCCATTAGGGTATTGACATCAATACATAAAGGACATATGACAGAGAAATGAGACTCAGAAGGTGGAGTTGAAGGTAGAGAGAGAAAGAAGGATAACTTCTACAAAGCCTTATTGGATCCAAGATTCAGGATGAGACTCCACTGTTTGTGTTATTCCTCATGTGTTAAGAAGTTTCAAAAAAACAAAACAACCAGACACAATAGCATGTATATTTATGTGTTGAAATTAGATGAAGTTCTGCAGCCAACAACAAACCACACATGTTAAGACAAAATAGAATCCTGCTTTCCAATGCTGGAAGGAGCATAGGAGAAAGTTTTCCTGGGATGAAAATGTTCTTTATGCTGATTGGAGAGGTAGATGTATGGGATTATCAAAACACACATTAATAGTCCATACATTTTAGTCTAATTTTTATCACACTACCTTATGAATAAGCAGGCATACTTACACACAGTCACCCTGTCCCATCGTGTACCTATGAAAACCCCAGACCCAGCCATCAGAGAGAGCAGAAGCAGGTGGATATTGAAGACTACAGCTGGAGGTCGAAGAGAAGACAGAGAAACAGCCTGATGGCAAAACTTCAGAGAATAATCCAACTGGAGATGGCTGGACTTCAGGGTAACACTATCTTCCCGCCCCAACCCCTTTAATCTCCCCTTCCCACTGACACACTTTTATCAGCAATAAAATCCCCTGCATTTACAATCCTTCAATTCTTTCATGCAATCTCATTTCTCCTGGACACCAGACAAGAGCTCAGGTGCCACAAGTGCAGATACAAAAGGCTGTCACACCTGCATTTTGCCCCTGCTGGGAGAAGACAACCACTTCACACAAAAACGCAGAGGGCCCACTTAGCTGTTAACAAGTAAGCCATACAAAGATGGCAAAGCTGAAAGAGCACTATAACATTTCCTTTGGGGCTTCAGTGATTACTGGCACCACCTAAACACTGCCGTGGGGCCTACACAGAGTTAGCTCCTGCTGGTGCCCAAAAGCACTCACCCCAGCTCCTGCACCTGCTCACCTGTGTGCTCCTACAAGGGGGTGAAAGACACAGGCTGGGTAAACAAGACACCTATATCTTAAGTCCTGTGAAGAGGGTCAGGGAAATGTGCTGCTTCAATATGACTATTTAATGTAAAATGAAATTTGACATTATTTGCCTTGAAATAAAATTGTTTTTGAAGATGTGATACATATTTTTCTCTCATTTAAGAATTCTGCACATATTTCCTTAAAATTCAGATTCTGGAGTTATGAAATTGTGTGCATCAGGATTCATGGAGACAGAAGAGAGAAAAGGTTCAATGTCTTCAATTTGTAGATAATCGGATGATCTTTCCGGGGTCCCCATTACTTGATCCTGGAAAGATCAGTGAGACTCCCTGCTTTTTAATCAGCGGCAATTTCTGTTTCTGCCTGTAAACTTTAACAATTTCCCCAAGGGGAGCTTCATCAATGCAAGTGGAAAGGACTTAATTAGTTTGCACTGTCCGGTAGAGATGCATTAACAAATGGATTTCCTCTTGGACTGAAGGTTCTGTGAAATAAGTTTTGTTGTTACACAAACTTCTCATACATCATGAGAGACAATATTGGGAGGCAGAGGAGGAATGACAAGTGTGACTGGGCTTGTCCCAGCACATAAGAAATGTCATCTTTCTGGAATAAGGCTGTGACATTTGAATTATCCCGCCACATCCAGTCCTCTGCTGATCTTTCTTCCCCACCTTGACACATCTCTTTTCTTGCAATTAAGTACACAGTCTTTCCTTGTTATCCTGATAATTCCCATATGTCAGCCTACAAAGAAGATGTTCAAAGATGAGACACTTATTCTTATCATTGTTTGACTACACATCTCTGTTAATGCTTTGCCATACTATACCCATGACATAACATATGTGAAATCTCACAACCCCAAAATCACCAGGCCAAGGGAAAAGTCAGGCTAGGAATGAATGAAGCAAACCTGCCTCCCATTTATTCCTAAATAAAGCAGCTACAGGTATAAAAAAGCTACATACCTCTCTCACAATTTTCCAACAAGGAAATTCCTTGTGGACTCAGTATCTTCACTCTAAAACAGTTCTGTTGATTTTCACCCTGGCAATGTAAACTGGATAGCTTATATTCACAGGTGCAGGACAGAAAGTCATCCCTCTGAGGCTTACCTGAGAAAAATGAATATCTGATTGCTTTCTCTGCCCTACTGTTACTGTAAAAATGCAGATTCACTGAGTCAGACTACGTTGTACAATCAGTAAAAGGATGATCAAGAACTCAAAAGAATGCAACCTTTTGTCTCTTATCTACCTATAACCTGGAAGTCCTAATTTGAGTATTCCCACCTTCCTGAGCTAAACCAGTGTTCATTTTACACATAATGATTGATGTCTTACATCTCCCTAAAATGTATAAAACCAAGCTGTGCCATGACCATCTTGAGTACTTGTCGTCAGGACCTCCTGAGGTTGAGTGCATCCTTAATCTTGGCGAAATTAACTTTCTAAACTGATTGAGTCCTCTCTCAGATACCTTTGGGTTCGCAAAAATATGCTTAAAAATTTGTTTTCAGTGGTACCTGGATCAGTAGAAAACAAAGTAATTTATTTAGTCTGGAATTAACTTGTTCTTCCTCTTATGTCCTATATCCTGCTAGTTAGTAGAGAAAAACAAATCAACTGTCTTTGACATGGGTTTATACTCAGTCTCATTCAATAAATAGTTTTGAATAGTTTCGTTTGTTTGTTTGCTTGTTTGTTTTATACTGTTGGGCAACATTTCTTGAAAAGATGTCTCAGGACTCTTCGTTTTCTGTCTCCTATTTCTCTCTCCAAGATGTGGAGTTAGGCTCATGGATATAAGGGAGGATAATTCTTTATGTGCCATGATGAATTATCCTGGTCTCTGTCATTGTCCTTTTTCTACCTGGAAGCTGTGTGTTATGCTAGCCTACTGAATTAGTGCTTCTAACAGGTGCTTCTCACTGTCTGTCCCTGTGCTATATCATAGCTGATGCAACTTCATTGTGGGTACCATTATGGGGGAAGACCATGACACTCTTCCTTGATCCTTGATCTCCATTCATCTGAGACAGGAACTATCCACTTACTTCCAGGATCCTGTGATTCTTGTGGGCCGTGTAAACCAAAAATAAAATCTTAGCCCTCCAAACAACAGATCCTCTCAGGACCCAGGGGACCCCAGGCAAATCTGAAAAACTAAATACTTGGCCATGACTGGGATGGTGATTGTATACACTGCATTATACCCACTCCCTTTTGGAGTTTAGACACATGACTGACAAGGATTAATGGTAAAATAGGCACAATAAAACTGACAAAGCAAACTTTTTGTGAAAATAAGATATCAAATTATAAACAGGACCTAAGGCCACACCAGGGAACTGTTAATTCTTGCACCCCTGAAGGTCACTCTGACCCAGTGTATTCTGGTTAACAGACTTCCTTGTCTTAAGTATTCCTTTCTACTGACTGCAAATTTTAAACAAAGCTTTACTCCTTTAACCTACTGCAATTTAAAGAATCTCTTGGCCAGGCAGGATAGCTCATCGTTGAAATCCTATTACTTTGGGAGGCTGAGGAGGGAGAATTGCTTGAGCTAAGGAGTTCCAGGCTGCTGTGAGCTGTGATCATGCCACTGCACTCCAGCCTGGACAACAGAGCAAGCCTTCCTGTCATTAAAACAAACAAACAACAACAAAAACTCTGAACCCATCTATAACATGCAAGCACCTGCCTCATGATAACTTCCATATAAAACTAGGGCATACCTTCCATGTACTGATGTTTTTACCTGTAACTTCAAAGTCCCTAAAATATATAAAACCAAACTGTACTCTGACCACCTTAGGTGTACTTTCTCAGGACTTCTTGAGACTGGGTTTCCTGGGCAATTGTCACTCATATTGGCTTGGAATAAACCTCTTGAAAATACAAAGTCTGATTTTTCTGTTAATGGTCTTAGCACTTAGGCGAATTTCTATCAGTTTCATAATATACAGGTCATATGAGAGGAGGGCCACACATCCTTCTAGGAGGTTGTTATTTTCAAAGGAGTTTCTGGCCAGGTAGTCAGTGCAGGCTGAAACCTACCTTTACTCTGTTTATTAATCTTTGTTTCATAGACTAGAGTTATGTCTGCTCAGCATACTGGATGCCTTTTTCTAATTCAAATACAAGTTTATCAAGTTGTAGGGTTTCCTTGAAGCAGCATTGTATGATAAGTAAAGATAACACCAAGATTAAAGGAAAACTTGTACTTCACTTTCCCCCCAAGACTCATATGAATACATTAATGGGCTACTTCTCCTGGTATGTAGCTACCAAATTATTAATCTCTCTGACTTATTTAACATGGGAAGGGAAGGGTAAATGTTATATATAAAAATATACATATATGAATATATAATATAACATTCTATATTACAGATAACATATATTATGCATTATAAAATATTATGTTATAATGTGTTATATAATATATTCACATATATTAATATATTTTATATATGCATTATATATGAATACATATGTATATTATAATATATGTATTATTTAAATATAATGAAATTTAATGACATGTTAATATATTATACATATTAATATATGCTATGTGTTATCAATATGTAAATTACATATAATATATAATGAATAATATATCAAATAAATATCAATTATATAATTAACAGTTATATAATTCATATATAAAACATAATTATATTATATAATGTATAATATACAACGTTTGTATAACATGGCATAATATATAAAATAACATAATATATAATAATGTCTAATATTTCTATTATAATATAAATTATATATCATATAATTATGTATAGTAAATATATCATATATATATTTAATATTAAAAACTTACATGGTACACCCTACCACATATCTAATGCTCCTGGGCTATAAATCTGTACAACAGGTTACTGTACTGAGTACTGTAGGCAGCTGTAACAGAATTGTAAGTATTTGTATATCTAAACATATATAAACAGAAAAGGTACAGCAAAAATTCAACCTAAAAGATGAAACTTGGTGCACTTCTATAGGGCATTTACCATGAATGGAGCTTGCAGGACTAGAATTTGTTCTGGGTGAGTGAGTGAATGAGTGAAGAGTGAAAGTGAAGACCCAGATATTCCCATACACTAATGTAGATTTTACAAATAATGTACACCTAGGTTACAGTAATATTATACTTTTTTGCATTCTTCAATACTAATTTAACTGCCCAGTGGGTTCACATTGCCCATTGCCTAGACAGAGCCAACATATCAACACAGGGTAACTGTAACAGAGAAAGAATTATTCATGCAGAGCTGGCTGTTCAGGTGTATTAGTTTGTTTTCACGCTGCTATGAAGAAAGACCTGAGACTGGGTAATTCATAAAGGAAAGAGGTTTAAATGACTCACAGTTCCACTTGGCTGGGGACACTTCAGGAAACTTACAATCATGGTGGAAGTGGATGGAGAAGCAGGAACCTTCTTCATGTTGTGGCACGAGAGAGCAAGTGCAGAGTGAAGACAGGAAAAGCCCTTTATAAAACCATCAGATTTCAGGAAAACTCACTATCAGAACAATGTGGGAGAACCGCCTCTGTGATCTAACTGCCTGCGAAGAGCTCCTTCCCCAATTTGTGGGAGTTACAATTCAGATTACCATTCAAGATGAGATTTGCATGGGGACACAGAGACAGACCATATCAATGGGAGACTGGAGTTTTATTATTATTCAAATCAGTTTCCTGGAAAAGTCCAGGACTGGAGTTTTTAAGGATAATTTGGTGAGTGAGGGGCGGCCATTGTGTTGGGAGTGCAGGTTGTTTGGGTGGAGATGAAATCATAGGGAGTTGAAATTGTCCTCTTGCATTGAGTTAGTTCCCGGGCTGGGGCCACAAGATCAGAGGAACGAGTTTATTGACCTGAGTGGTACCAGCTGATTCACTGAGTACAGGGTCTGCAAAATATCTCAAGCACTGATCTTAGGTTTTACAATAGTGATGTGATCCCCAGGAACAATTACGGGAGTGTCAGAATCTTGAGCCTTCAGCTGCATTTCTAAACTTGTGGCTAATTTATAAATCCTACGAAGGCAGTCCTCAGGAAGGAAGGAGTTTGTTTTGGGAAAGAGCTGTAATTACGTTTGTTTGAAAGTTAAACTATAAACTAAGTTCAGCCTAGTCTCAGGAATGAACAAGGACAGCTTGAAGGTTAGAAGCAAGGTGGAGTTGGTTAAGTCAGATCTCTTTCACTGTCATAATTCTCAGTTATAATTTTGCATTGGCAGTTTCCTTAACTTAACCTTAGTGTACTATAACTTCTTTTACTCTATAAATATTTTATTTTTTAAAAAACCTTTTTGAGTCTTATCAAAACACTTAGTTTAAGACCCAAAAGGGCCAGGCGCGGTGGCTCACTCCTGTAATCCCAGCACTTTGGGAGGCGGAGGCGGGCAGATCACGAGGTCAGGAGATCCAGACCATCCTGGCTAACACAGTGAAACCCCGTCTCTACTAAAAATACAAAAAATTAGCCTGGCGTGGTGGAGGGCGCCTGTAGTCCCAGCTACTCAGGAGGCTGAGGCAGGAGAATGGCGTGAATCCGGGAGGCGGAGCTTGCAGTGAGTGGAGATTGCGCCACTGCACTCCAGCCTGGGCGACATGTCGAGCGAGACTCCGTCTCAAAAAAAAAAAAAAAAAAAAAAAAAAGACCCAAACACTGTGCAGCCGTACAAAAATACATTCTTTACATCCTTATCTTATAAGCCTTTTTCTGTTTTTAAAATTTATTATTATTGTTACTATATTTTTATTTTTAACATTTTTTAAAAACTAAGATATGAACACACATTTTAGCCTAGACATACAGAATCAGGAACATCTATACCATTGTCTTCCACCTCTACATCTTGTTCCACTGGAAGGTATTCAGGGGCAATAACATGCATGGAGCTGTCCTGTCCCATGATAATAATGCCTTCTTCTGGATACCTCCTGGAGCATCTGCCCGAGCCTCTTCTTGAGGAATAGGTTTGTCTGTTGGCACTACAAATATGAGACTAATGTGTTGAACTACAATGTTAAGATGACTACGATATCATTAGATAAAGGGAATTTTTCATCTCCATTATAATCTTATGGGACCACCATCCTATAGGCAGTTCACCGTTGATTGAAAACTCCTTGACTGAAACCTCATTATGTGGCCCATGAGTATATTTATATCTAATGTAATCTACATATAATCTCCAAAAATAGAAACATATGTTATTCAAAGTGCCCTGAGCAGTCTACTTTTTTCTCTATGTTGTCTAGTGAGTCCAAGTTATTTATGAAACATAGAGAAGAATTTAAGTTATTTACCTCTAAGAATTCACTAAGCTGTCTTGAATTGTGCTATAATTTTCACTTTCCATGAGTCTTGGCTTCACTGGCATGCAACCACCAACCACATGACAACTGCAATTGCAATATGCAATTGTCATATTTAAAGGATATCTGTTAGTTTATCTCTTAAACTCTGTTTGACCCAGGAGGGTTTTGAATTCATTCAACATTTTATCCTCATTTAAGGCTTTCAGGTAGAATAAAATAAGTAATATTTATGTCAAGCAATTTACTTCAGGAAAAATTAAATTTAGTTTAGCTCCCTTTTTTTCTTTGATTTTAGGCAAATATTTCTTTTAATGAGAGTTTAAACTAATTAATTTTAATTTCTGTTGATTTGTAAATACATATTCTTACTAAAACATGCACCTCAAAGGTTGTTATCTTCCTGTAAAATACACTGGCAGAACACACATATGCACAGTAACATATTTTGAAAAATATATTCTAATTTCTTCAGACATAACCTTGTTGACAGGTTTTACATTTTGGAAGCAGATCTTGAAGTTTTTGTTAACAGAATAAAGATGAAACATCAGAGATTTTCAAGGACATGGCTCACCTATACATTTTTCCTTACAGATAAAAAGGAAAAGACTTAGGAAGTTGACATTAATCAAACTAAACTTCCTGAGTTGTGAATAATTCTGACACACATTTAACACTTATTTTCCATTGTAAATGCATTTAAAGTACCATCTCTATATAAATGCCTAAATATTAATTTTGCCTCATTTTTAGAATAAATTTCACTTTATTTTCCTTGCTTGGGTATTTTTTATGGACTTTGGTAGAGTCTATCTTAAATGCTATTTGTAGATTTTAATAAGATAAGTAAGCAGCAAAGAGGAAGGGGCTTGAGGTAGGGGGAGAACTATTGTAGTGAGAGATGGCTAATCACAGACAACCCACTGGCACAACATTCTGCTTCCAAATGCCTCACTTTGAAGGTAGCTCTATTGGCGTGACCTTGTTCTGCACATAGCCCCCTCCAGAATGACCCTTTAACATTTCCTTCCAGTCTCTGCCTCTTTGTAGACACTTTTCTTGCAACATATCTTCAGGCTTTCTCTAATATACCTGCCTTCTTCTTTATCCACAACTGTCTTGGTAAATTCATTTATGGCCCATGATGCTGGCCCCAGCCAGTTGCACCCATGACCCTATTTTCAAAGAGAAAAACACAAAATAATGACAAAATACTTACTTTAGTATTTAATCACATAAGATGATGAGCTTATTTCAGTCAAAACTACTTGCTAAATACAGTAGCTCATGCCAGCACTTTGGGAGGCCAAGGTGGGAGAATCAGTTGAGCTCAGGAGTTTAAGAGCAGCCTGGCAACATGGTAAGACACCATTTCTATTTTTAAAAAAACAAAATAAAAGAACAAAAGTATTATTTAACAAAATATTGACCTACAATGTGATCTTTATTCAATTCAGAAAAAAAGTTGTATTAGAATACTTTTTTCTTTTTATTATTTTTTTCATTAAATACACATTTCTCCAATATGTTTTAAACTTTCCACAATAGACCAGGCATGGTGTCTCACGCCTGTAATCCCAGCACTTCAGGAGGCTGAGGCAGGTGGTCACCTCAAGTCAGGAGTTTGAGACCAGCCTGACATGGAGAAACCCTGTCTTTCCTAAAAAAAAAAATACAAAATCAGCCAGGTTTGGTGGTGCATGCCTGTGATCCCAGCTACTCAGGAGGCTGAGGCAGGAAAATCACTTGAAGCCTGGAGGCGGAGGTTTCAGTGAGCCAAGATCATGACACTGCACTCCAGCCTGAGCAACAAGAGCGAAACTCCGTCTCAGGAAAAAAAAAATAGTTTTCACAATAAATATATTGTCTTAGCAGTCAGAAGAAAAGTCCACACTTCGTGTTCTTTGTTGTTTTGAGAAAGTGGGTAAACTGGTATACCTTATACAGTCATTCCTTAGGATTTATGGGAATTGGTTCAAGGACTCCTACAGATACTAAAATTCATGGGTGCTCAAGGACATGATATAAAATGTCACTCTATTTGCATATAACTTATGCACATGCTTTCCCATGCTTTAAATCCTCAGATGATTTATAATACTGCATAAAATATAAATGTTATCTAAACATAAATATAAATGTTATAATACTGCATAAAATATAAATGTTATATGGTGCATTGTTTTATAATTTATATTTAATACTGTATTGTTATTTTTTGTTGTATATTTTTTCCAGATATATTTGATCCTCTGAATTCTTGGCTGTGGAAGTAATGTATACAAAGCACTGACTATATATGTATATCTTTATATCTGCATGTGAGTGTTTACACATGCTTGCATGTGTTTGCATGTGTATTTTTTTCTTTAATTCAACTTCGTGCCTTACCTGCAAGTAACACAAGTGACAATGTTTTTTGTTTTGTTTGTTTTTTTCTTAGACAAGGTCTCAACTTTGTTTCTCGGGCTCGGGGGCAGTAGCATGATCTTGGCTAGCTAAGTTTTGTATTTTTTGGTAGAGACAGGGTTTCACCATTTGGCCAGGCTGGTCTTAAACTCCTGACCTTAAGTGATCCACCCACCTTGGCCTCCCAAAATGCTGAGATTACAGGCATGAGCCACTGAACCCAGCATACAACTGACAATCTTTATAGATTCATAATTGTAAAACAATCATATCCTCATTCCTTATTGTATGCTCATGTGAAATTATTCTCATTAAATTGAAAATTTTGTAGTAACTTCTTTATATTACAGTTGGGTGAGACCAGAAAAACCTGTAATCTAGGGCCAAACTACTAAATAAGTACCCTTTAGTTTTTCTAAATTTTTTTTTTAAGAGACAAGGTCTTTGCTGCCCAGGATAGATTGCAGTGGCACAAATCATTGGTTACATCATCCTCAAGTCCCTGGGCTCAACAATTCTCCTGCCTTAGTCCCCCAAGTAGCTAAGAATATATGAATACACCACCATGCCCAACCTAATATTTTTATCTTTATTTTTGTAGAGACTAGGCCTTGTTATGTTTCCCAGGCTGGTCTTGAACTCCTAGTTTCAAGTAATTCTGCTACCTCAGCCTCCCAAAGCACTGGGATTACATGCATAAGACACCATGCCCAGCCTGAAGCAGTACTCTTGAGTATATTCTGTGTTAATGTCCTGGGTGTTAGGCAGTCTTTTCATTTTCACTGATTAGGAGATAGAATATGCTCTTTCCTTTACAATGTGTAGGAAATGTTCTCTCTGTCTACTACTAAACAGACAAATGGACCCTTGATAAACACATATTTCATTCATTGAGCCTACATATACTCAGATTTTTAAAAATAAAAGTTACACCAAGTGTGTCTGCCTCTCTTGACTCCTCTCCCACCCTCTGCTTCTCTGCCACCTCTGCCACCCCAAGACCAACCCCTCTGTCTCAGCCTACTCAGTGTGAAGATGACAAGGATGAAGACCTTTATGATGACCCACTTCCACTTAATGAATAGGTAATATATCTCTTCTTCTTCATTATTTTTAATATTTTTTCTGTAGCATACTTTATCATAAGAATATAGCATATCATAAAAATAACTTACGCAAGATGTGTTAATCTGCTGTTTGTGCTATCAGTAAGGTTTCTGGCCAACAGTGAGCTATTGAGAGTTAAATTTTGGGGGAACCAAAAATTATAGATGGATTTTCATATTATGGGAGGTCAGCATACATATATCAATTTTGTTCAAAGGTCAGCTGTCATATTTCTACTATCCAAAATCTGTATCTCACTATAAGATATTAAATTCTGTGATTGCCAGAAATTTTGGTCAGATGTACACCAGGGGATGTATGTTTAGAACCTGGAATTGTGTCTAATACAAAGAAGGTATTCAACAATTATTTTATGAAACAATGAATTTTTCAATACTTAAAATAACAAGGTTATTTTATAAAAATTGTTATTATTAAAAATATCTTTTTATATCTTTTAAAAACAGAATTTCTGAATAATAATATCTTACTAAAGAGCTGGGGAATTGTTTTGAGGTAGTTCTTATGCACTTTTATGTGACCACCTATACCCTATCAGTTGATGATTGAAAATTTGTATAAAAAGAGTTACTTTTCTATAGACATATGTCCTTACTTTAACTTTATATGGACACATATTTTATACCAAATTGAGAATTCTATACTAACTGCAAAAAGTTTTCACATGAACAAGCTATATTCAAATTTTATAAATGTATTCCAGAGCAAACTTCAAAAATATATATGCAAATGTACACTTCTCTCAAAAAGGTAGAATTTGCAAAGGGTGTGTCTAACCAAACATTAGTAGTATGCAAAGAAACATAAAAAAAAATCAAGTTGCAATAAATGAGTTCAATAGAGGCAGAGCAATAAATGACATAGATAGTACAATTATTAGAACAGAACATTAAGCAATCCACTGTAAATTCCCATGGTAATGAAAGTGGTGAAAATTATCAATATAAAACATGCCCAGAAAAATCTACAAACTAAATTAGGCCTCTAGATTTAGAAGATGCAATTTCTGGGATAAAGATTATATTAGATGAGATTAATATCATATTAGACACAGCAAAGGAAAAGATTAGTGAAATTGAATACTCAGCCGATGAAATTACTTAAATAAAACTTCAACATCAAAATGATGGATTAAAAAGAGGACAGATATCCAGGGAACTGTGAGACAACCTCAACCAAAATAATACACAGATGATTGGAATGATTGGAATCAGAAATCGTGGAAAAATTCATATTTAAAGGAATAATGTGAACAATTTTCTAAATTTAGTGAATCTCATAAACTCACAGATCCATAGAGTTCCAATGAATATGAAACAGAAAAAAATTTAAACACAAAAGCAAGGTATATCACACTCAAAAACAAAGTGTGTCTTCCAAAGTGTGGAGAAATCTTTAAAAATAGTTAGCTTAAAAATTATTATATACACAGGAATACAAATAACCATCATGTTTTCATCATAGAAAATGCAAGACATTAAGAAAATTTTCAAAAAAATTTTAAAGAAATGCCAGAAAATGTCAGCCTAGAATCCTAAACTGAGTAAAAATATCCAACAAAATTAAAATTGAAATAAAATTTTAAAAAACACACACACAAAACGATGGAAAAAGTAAACACCCACAAACCAATACTACAAAAAATGTCAAAGAAAATCCTTTTAGCAACAGGAGAATCATAACAGATAGAAATGCAGATTTATACAAGTGAATCATAAACCTCGTGGATAACGCATAAGACAGATGTAAAAGGAATGTGTGTTTTCTAAAACTCTATTTAGAGGTAACTGCCAAATGTCTTAGTCAGCTAGGGCTGCCATAAAACAAACCTGGAGTTTATCACTACTCCAGGCTTAGTGATATAAGCAATAAAAATATATTTTCTGGCCTTGCGTGGTGGCTCACACTTGTAATCTCAGCACTTTGGAAGGCCAAGGCAGGAGAATTGCTTGTGCTCAGGAGCTCAACACCAGCCCGTACAACATGGTGAAACTCCAACTCTACCAAAACTACAAAAATTAGTGTACATGGTGCCATGTACCTGCAGTCCCAGCTACTCCTGAGACTGAGATGGGAGGATAGCTTCAGCCCAGGGGGCTAAGGTTGCAGTGAGCTAAGATCATGCCACTGCACTCCAGCCTGGACAACAGAGACATACCGTCTCAAAAAAAAAAAAAAAAAAAAAAAAAAAAAAAAAAAGGGAAAAAAATACTTTTGTTTGTTTTTTGAGACGGAATCTCGCTCTGTCGCCCAGTCTGGAGTGCAGAGACGGGATCTCGGCTCACTGCAAGCTCCGCCTCCCGGGTTCACGCCATTCTCCTGCCTCAGCCTCCTGAGTAGCTGGGACTACAGGCGCCCGTCACCACGCCCGGCTAATGTTTTTTGTATTTTTAATAAGAACGGGGTTTCACCGTGTTAGCCAGGATGGTCTGGATCTCCTGACCTTGTGATCTGCCCGCCTCGGCCTCCCAAAGTGCTGGGATTATAGAAGGGAGCCACCGCGCCCGGCCAAAAATACATATCTTTATATTTTGTTTTTTTCTCAAAGTTCTGGAGTCTGGAAGCTCATAATTAGCATTAACAGCATGGTCAGTTTCTGGTGAAAGCTCCCTTCCTGTGTTGCAAATGGCCACCTTTGGTCGTGTCCTCACTTGGCAGCCAGAGAGACAGATTGCGGTCAGGTTTCCGTTCCCATTCTTATAAAGATAGAAATTCCTCATAACCTCACATAATTCTAATCACCGCCTAAAACCTTCATCTCCAAACACTATCATACTGGGAGTTAGGGCTTCCATGTATGAATTTGTAAGGGAACATACACTTTCAATTACATCATGTTACATGTAATTCCAACTACCAATAATCAAATGAAAAGTAAATGATCTAAATGCTTCAATTAGGCCAGGCACTGCTGCTTACACCTGTAATCCCAGTTTTTTTTTTTTTTTTTGGAGGCTGAGGTGGAGGATCACTTGAGCTCAGGAATTCAAGACCAGCCTGGGCATAATAATAAAAAAATCTCTAAAATACATAATAAATAAATAAATACATAAATACATAAATAATACATAAATAAGATTAGCCAGGCTTGGAGGTGCACTATAATCCCAGCTACTCGATAGTAAAGTGGGAGAATTGCTTGAGACCAGGAGGTAGGAATGCTGTTTACATGCACTATACAGACCCCTATGATTCTGGTCTTGGTGCCTGTGCTACCCAAGAGCTACTCTCAAAACCTGGGCACTATTTCAAAGGCAATTCGGTTCCCCAGCATGCTCTTATAGTTGAAACTGATATCAAACAGTATACTACTGATAACAAATTAAAGAAAGGAAAGCAAAATTCCTCTTTCAGCATCATTTCAACTATTTCACCCCGTTACATGCATTGTAGTTAATGCCCTGAAATGTAGTTTCCTGCCAAACAAAATATCTTGAGAACACGTTGTGGCTGAGCCTGTATATTTATCTACATTGTCTAAATAGCTATAGGTCATCAGAGAGCAGAAATATCCTATGCACTTATGTGACTCTTTCAATAGAGTTAACCACTTAGGACATCTCCAAATTCCTACAAGTGCAATGTTGCAATGATGTTTTCTAGTTGGTGGCTCACTGTGAACATAACCTATTGAAATATCTATAAAGGTAGATATATAAATGTGCCCATTTTGGTCACTGGTCTTACTATGCTCACATCATGTGAAAAAGATGAAGTAACTGACTAAATATGAAATATTGATAGGAACAGGAGGCAGGTAAATTCTGGGTAGAAGAGGGTGGGTCCCTGGCAAGGGCCTCACCCTCAAGCCAAAAAGGCTAACACTGAAACTGACAGTGAGAATTGACATCCTTGCTTTCCCACTCAGATGTTGCCTTTTCTAAAACCACCCATTGTCTGCCCTATCCTGCTCCTGTGCCCAGAAAAAACCCCAGGCTCAGCAAGCAGAGAAAGGAGAAGAGGAGATGCAGCAGGACCTCAGGGACTACGGTTGGACATCAGAGAGATGCAGCTTGACTTCACAGGGACAGCTTGACAGTGTAGCTTTGGTGAGGAGTCCAACTGTCCCCAGGGGAAGATTACTTTCCCTCTCTGTCACTGTTTCATCTCTCTTCCCGCTGAGAGCCACTTTCATCATCAATAAAATCCCCACATTTACCTCCTTCAATTCATTTGTGTGACGTCTTTCCTCCTGGATGCAGGACGACTTGGGTGCCAAGAGTGTAAGTGCAAACGGCTGTTGCACTGACCCTCCACTGAGCTGTTAACTTTTAAGCCATCCATGGGTGGCAAAGCTAAAAAGGTACTGTAACACTTCTCTGGGGATTCAGGAGTCATAGGTGAGGGGTGGAGCGCAGTGGGTCAAGTGAGTGGGGTTCGCTCCTGCTGACACCTGTGCACTGCAATTCCCACCCCTGAAAGGGTCAGGGAACTATCCTGTTTCAATATCATATCTGATAATATAGAATTTGCTGCTATTTGCATTCAATAAATCTGGAGTTAAACAAAACAAAACCATTTGTAATTCCAAATAATAAACACACACCTCCTCAATGATAGTTTCAGAAGCAATGATACCAGCTCCTCTTCATACCTCTAGAAGAAGTCAGCTGTGATGCCTTCTAGCCCTGGGCTTTTTTTGGTTAGTAGGCTATTAGTTACTGCCTCAATTTCAGAAGTTGTTATTGTTACATTCAGGGATTCGAATTCTTCCTCATTTAGTATTTGGAGGGTGTAGGTGTCCAGGAATTTATCCATTTCTTCTGGATTTTCTAGTTCAGTTGCATATAGGTGTTTATAGTATTCTCTGATGGTAGTTTGTATTTCTGTGGGATAAAATACTCCCTTTATCATTTTTTGGGGGGAGTTAGACATAAATATTATGGAAGTTAAGAAACGATAAAACCCTAAGCTTCTCTGGCTTAACAGGATCAACTCTGTTGGAGATGAAATCACTGTGGTGGGGAATAGATTGGAAGCCCCTTGCCACCATGAGTGCCTTCTGTTGGAGAGTCATTTCTTCTTCCAGCCTGTATGCATTCTGTTCTCTAAACTCATATTTTTATTGCTATAAACTACAGCAGCATTATTTCTGGAATTATTTTCTTTCTTCGACACCTATGTTTGTGATTAATTTATAACATATGAGATATATATGAATCTATATCTATATAATTTTTGCAGATATAATTGACATAAGATGAAGCAATACTGGATTATGGCAGAACCTAAATCTGACAGCTGGTATCTTTGTAACAGAAGGAGAGGAAGAATTGGATAAAGAGACATATGGAAGATCTGAAGATGGAAGCTATGTTCGAATGATGTGGTAACAAGCCAAGGGATTCCTGAATCAACCAGGAGCTGGGAAAGGCAGGAAAGGTCCTCCCTTGGAGCCTGTGGAGGGAGAGACGCACTGCCTCACTTTGATTTTTAAACTGCCAGCAGCAGGAGAGATTACATTTCCTAAGTAGTGGGGATTACAAGCATGAGCCACCAGGCCTGGGGAATTTTTGTAATTTTAATAGAGAAAGGGTTTCACCATGTTGGCCACACTACTCATGAAGTCCTGACCTTAGGTGGTCTGCCCACCTCGGCCTCCCAAAGTGCTGGGATTACAGGCATAAACCAATGCACCTGGCCAGAAATTCTTATTGTTTTAAGCCACCCAGTTTGTAGTTATTTCAATGGCAGGCATGGGAAACTTCTAAAACACATATACATGGATGTATAGGCATATTCACATACACACTTGTATGTACAGTCATATGCTACATAATGACATTTTAGTCAATGACAGACTACATATATGATAAGAATTCCATGAGATTATAATGGACCTCAGATATTCCTATTATAATGTGCTGTCCTAGGCTTCCTAGGGTTGTAGCACAAAAGCATTACTCATGTGATTGTGTCCATGCTAGTGTAGAGGCATGTTGCCAGTTAAATAAAAGTGTGCAATAATGTCGCAGGTCTTCATATCCCCTCATCACCCACTCACAGACTCACCCAGAGCAACCTCCAGTCTTGCAAGCTCCATTCACGGTAACTGCCCTATACAGGGCTACCATTTTATATTTTTGATGCTGCATTCTTACTGTACGTTTTCAGTGTTTAGATGAACAAGTACTTGCCACTGTGTTGCAGTTGTCTGTGGTGTTTAGCATGGTATTGTGCTGTACAGGTTTGTGGCCTAGGAGCAATAGGCTCTACCATATAGCCTAAGTGTGTAGTAGGCTGTACCATCTAAGACTGCATAAGTACACTCTAGGATGTTCGCACGAGAACTAAATCAAACAAGGACACATTTCTCAGAAGTATTGTCATTAAGTAACACATGACTCTTTATACATACACATAGGCATAGGCATATAGAAAAAACAAATGTAACTGAAATGGGATCTGGCAATGTGCAGAAACCAAGGCAGCTTTTCTCTGGGTCTCTCTCACAGGAGTCAGCATCCCTTTGCACATGGGATCCAACATGCTTCTCTGCGTATATGATTCGTCTTCTATCATGGGCCATCATTAGTCCTAGCTTAGAGTACATTAATAAAAACATGGCCTTTAATAGGTGGGAGTCACATCAAGTTTTACATTATCCAAGTGGCTGTGTGTGACACCCTATAAACAGTAGCAACAACCCCTGAGATCTCTGTATCTCTGTATCTTGCTTGTCTTTCTAGAGAGTTATAGCAGAAACACAAGGTTTGTAACCTATTTGCCAGAGTGTAACCATAAGCTCCCCTTTTTCCCATAACTAATGAGGTAGTGGTAAATTCAGAATAGGTCTATATATGCAGGTGTGTGTGTGTGTGTATATGTATATGTGTGTGTGTATATGTATATATGTGTGTGTGTATATATATATATATATGATATAGTGTTCTTTATACTCCTTGTGAGAGAATGTAATATATATCCACATATAGATAATATTGTGTATATTATATAATACGTATGAACTGTATTGTATGTTTATATTTATAAATATAATGCTTTTATATTATAGAAATATACATATATTTTTATGTTTTAAAAGTAAATAATAAATAGAATTGTACAAATATGATGTGTAATATAAATATTACATATTTTATTTATATGTAAGTTGTATTTTATTTTTATGTAAGTTATATATTACATATATGTAAATATTTATGTACTGTATGTTTGTATATTTTATATTTACTATATGTAAAATTTATATATATAAATATACATATATTACATGTTTAAGGTATATTTCTATTATAGTACAAGTTTATATTAGAAATAAATATACACATATATTTCTATATTAGAAATTTATATATTATATGTATTACATGTATATGTTTTTATATATAATATGCCTATTATATATATTCTAGTATCTATTATATTTACATATTACATATTATTTAGTCTTTGTGTGAACATCCTAGAGTGTACTTACACAATCTTAGATGGTACAGCCATGTATATATACTCATATATATATGAGGTTCTCCAAAGTGTTTCCGGTAAAAACACTAGGTCACTGGCCGTTGTGCTGTGCTAGGATTCATGACTAGAAGATACACTAGTATCTTCCCTCAAGAGTTTAACATTAAAGATGCATGGACACACAATAATAAATATAGTGGTAATATTGTAACTTCTATGTTTCTTGCCTAGCCACACCAAAGAATTAGTGTGACAGCTGACTGCAGCCAGTGATAGAGACACAGACCGATAGAAAAAGCTGTAGGCTTTATTGAGCAGAGTGAAAGTACAAAGATTCCACAGCGTGGAAGGGATCCTGAACAGGTAGCCAGAGTTAGATTATAGAAATGCCTTCTAATTTCTTTAAGGTGGGAAATACCTGTGGCGGGAAAATGTTACCAAAGCAAGAAACAAAGACAGTTAACAATTTGTGGCATGTTTTAGATCTTGAGGAAAACTGGAATTGTAACTTAGGATTTGTCTACTTTAGGACCTTGCTGCAGTATGGCAAAGGAGACAGAATATCACAGAACTTTACAAAGCATGTTTACAAGGAATTGGAATTGGGAGCATAGATAAGGTCTGCTGATCACAGAAAAATGGACAGCTAACATTCCTTTTACTTTAGTTTTGTGGGAGGGGAAGGCGGAGAGGGAGAGAAGACACAGGAAAACTTACAGCAAAATTGTTCCTGTTTATAGCTTTCTTGGGGGAGAAAACACATGAACAAATCCTGGTGTTAGGAATAGTTTAAGCCTATATCTTCGGTATCATTCATCCAGGATTGAGGTAATTCCTGATGCAGGAAATCAGTGAGTTTCCCAGCTTTCTGGGCCCCTACTGAATCCAGGAAGCCCAGCCGGCCCCTCCTTTCAGTCCCCCCTCTAAACAGGACCCTCCAACTGCTCTTGAGAACTGGGTGGCGGTCGTTCTGGCTACTTCCTGCTTGTTAGGGGCAAAGAAGGGACCCTGTAGTTGTGGTGTTCTTCAGAGGGGAACTTTCTAGGCCAGTCAAGGTTCCAATGTGTCAATCCAGGTGTCCTCAGTAGAAGCTGTGATTTGAGCTGATTTGAGGTTCCATTTGTACGACCATTTGTAGCATGATGGCCTCGATCCTGGAGGAAACAAATTTGACACAGAGGTTAAAAATGCAAGGCCTAAAGGTGAGTAAAAATAGGATGGGTGTCACAGGACCTAGAAAGGGGAGTAGCCAAGGTATCCATTGGTTAAACATATTTCAGGGTTCAGAGTGATCAAGCTCCTTTTTCCTACTTTTTTCCGTTCTCTTATTTATTTAAACTTTTCAGTAATGATTGCTGACTGGTTAATGAAACAGCAACCTTCTTCTCCCAAGAAGATGAAGGTTCCTCTTCTTTTAGCTGTTAATAGGTCCAGGGATCTTTGGTTTTGGAGGACCACTGCAGCTAGAGAAGTAAGCTGGCTTTGTAGGGTCACTAGGGTGTTGGAAATTTGTTCCATGTCATCATTTAATTTTCGTGATAATTTATAATAGAATTGAGTGGAGGAGGTTATGCCTCCAATTCCAATAGGAGCCCACCTATTATTCTGGCTCCTACAATAAAAGAGACAATAAGGGCTCATATGTGGCAAGATTGTGTTATAAGGAGACTTTGTAACTCTTGTTCAGTGCATATGGAGATGGGAGTTGCTATAAAGAAGAGAAAGCATAATTCTTTTGGAGTGCTATTTAGGCATCAACAGGCTGTGTTATTATAGATGAAAAAGATGCCTGAAGTTAGACAGGTGAAACCTGACATTACTGACATCCAGGAATGACATTGGGGGGTGTTTTTATTGAGAGTCATGCTGAAGTTCATGCATGTGAGATTTGAGGCCTCTGTGGCTGGTAAATTGGTGACTATGGGACCGATTAATTTGGTGGTGTTTAGGACTGGGGTGGATAAGTTCCACTATCTGGGGACAGGGACTGGGACATATGGTTGGAAACACAAGGGGAGACACATCCAATAGTTGGTTGGATTATTAGGAGAGGTCTCTTGTATTCTTGTAAGGGTGGTGTTAAACAGGCTCCAAGGAACAGTTTTATAACATTCTTTTCTCATGTAAGTATGAGTGGCAAAAGATGTGGGTGTTTGGAAGGGGCTACCCAATCTGCAAGAGTTTCTGATAGAATGCCAGTTGTCTCCTCCAGGGGAGGCACACTGACACGGGGTGTGTGTTGTTGTTGGAGAAAGGGACACGAGTATGAAGAGGATGACAGGAAGCCTAAGAGGAATCATGAAGTGTTGTAAGTGAAATGGTCACAGGAAAGAGGAGGGAAAAAGGAGTGAATTGCTGTTACAAGGAAGGCAGATAGAAGAAACGTGCTTAATAATGTAACAAAACAGTAGAAGTCTTCCATTAAAGAGAGCAAGGAGAGAAGTTAAAGATCATGTTGGTTTTTTTTTTTTTTTTTTTTCCCCACTGATCCTCATTTAGGTAAGGAGAAGTCCCTCTTCAGGATTAACTGCAGGATTTTTTCTGGTCTGAAGTGTTCCTTTCCAAAATAGGAGATGCAGGTCCTCTTGTGGTGGCCAGGTGTATCGAAGCTGGTCTGGCTGACTTGTGACTCCTGAGTTGATGATTCTGTAAGTTTCTCAGGAGGTGTCCAAGGCTTAATTTGGGTGTGGTGAATCCAGGATTCCATTCCCGTCACTTTAACTGCAGTGGGGGTAGAGAGGATTACCAAGTATGGTTCCTCCCATTAGGGATCCATAGAAGGAGAGCTAGAGGGGAGAGACTTGACCAATACTAGATCTCCTGGTTGAAACATCTCTATTCCTTTTTCCCTGTCACACTTTTCAGGTAAAGTTTTAAGATTTTGTTGATATTTTGCCAGAGAAGTTATATCTTTTACTAAATTGGCCTTTTCCTGATTGAGCAGGAGGTCATCTGTGAGAAAAGCCATCCATACAACACTTCATATGGACTGAGCCCCATTCTGTGAGGGGAGTTTCAGATTCTTAATAAGTCCATGGGCAACAGAGTGGGCCGAGCAAGATGAGTTTCTTGCTCTAGTTTTCTCAAATGCCTCTTGAGAGTTTCATTTGCCTTTTCAACTTTCCTTGAGGATTGTGCCCTCCAGGCACAGTGAAGTTGATATTGTATTCCTAGTGCCTTGGAAATTCCTTAAGTTGTTGTAGCTTTAAAAGCTGGACAATTGTCACTCTATAAGCTATGGGAAGTCCAAATCTAGGAATTATTTCATGAACTAAGACTTTAACCACTTCTTGGACCTTCTCTATTCTACAAGGGAAGGCTTCTACTCAATTTGTAAAGGTATCAACCCAGACCAATAAGTATTGAAATTCTCTTGGGTTTGGCATATGGGTAAAATCTAACTGCCAGTCCTCTCTGGGATAATGTCCTGTTCTTTGTCCTCCTGGAGAGGCCTTACAGTGGGCCAAGGGGTTGTTCTTTTGGCACATTTCACAGGCTTTGACTACTTGCCTGATGGTTTTGAGGAGGTTTGGCCCTGTAAATAGAGACGTGGTCATGTTATGGGTACTTTCAATAACAGTATGAAAAGTTTGGTGAAAGGTTTTAAGTATTTTCCAGTGGCTGGCTTCAGGTATGAGCACCTTTCCTTCCTATGTTATTAGCCACCCCGACGGGAGAAAACTATGTCCTTGTGAAAGTCCCCATTCTATTTCAGTTGGAGAGTACTGGGGCTTAACCTCCTGGAGGGAGGTTTCTCCATACCAGGTGTCCTTCCTTGGGCATTTCTGAAGGAAACTCCTGCCTGGCAGCAATTTTGGCCTCAGACTCTGTTTGGTACTTTCCTTCTGCTTCTTCTCCTTCACCTTTCTGATGGCCCCAGCAGTGTAAAACTGCCACCTCTTTAGGTTTTTGCACTGTGTGCATTAATTCCATGATTTATCTGTGGTATTTAATAGGTGTTCCTCCGGAGGTTAAGAACTCTCTTTCTTTCCATATTGCAGCATGTGCATGTAAGACTAGAAAAGCATACTTGCTATCTGTGTATACATTTATGCTTTCTTCTTCTCCCAGTTCTAAGGCTCAGATTAGCACAATGAATTCTGCTAACTGAGCACTGGTCCCTAGAGGAAGAAGTTTATTTTCAAGTACTGCTGTATCACTAACTATGGCATAGCCTGCCTTTTGTACCCAATTTTCTACAAATGAACTTCCATCAGAGTACAGATTAAGGTCAGGGTTAGTTAAGGGGACTTCTAAGAGATCTTTTCGGGTGGCAAAAGTATGAGCTAAAATTTGTTGGCAGTCATACTCAATTGGTTCCTCACCCTCTGGGAGAAAAGTGGCAGGATTGAGGGCCACACACATGCATATTTGAAATACTGGTACTCAAGGAGTGGCGCCTGGTATTTAAGTAGTCCACTATCTGACAGCCACAGACTTCCTTTAGCATTTAATATACCACTTACATCATGAGTGTTCCAGAAAGTGAGATCCTTTCCTTGTATTATTTTAACAGCCTCTGACACTAAGATGGCTACTGCTGCAACCACCGATAAACAGTGAGGCCAGCCTTTGACTACTACATCAATTTCTTTACTTAGGTATGCCACTGGTTGTGGGGCTGTACCAGGAGTCTGAGTAAGAACTCCAAGAGCTATTCCTACTCTTTCAGTGACATATAAAGATAAATTTTGTCCTGGGGGATGCTCAGGGCTGGAGCTTGTACCAGGGTCTGCTTTAAAGTTTTGAAGGCTGTTTCCACCTCCAGTTCCCATTCTACTAGGTGGGTATTTGCCTTCTGATTTTCCTTTATCAGGGGATAGAGTGGCCTGGCCATTTCACTCTATCCAGGAATTCACAGTTGGCAAAAGTCAGTGATTCCAAGGAACCCCCCCTCAACTTTTTCAACGTCTTAGGGTGAGGGTAGGCCAGTATAAGATAAATACACTCTTTGCTGAGGACTCCAGTTCATTTGGCCAGGATTAGGCCTAGACACTTAACTTGTTGTAGACAGAGCTGGGCCTTTGTCCTAGATGTTTTGTGCCCTTGATTAGCTAGAAAGTTTAAGAGGTCTAGAGTAGCCTGCTAACATGTGGCTTCCAAACTCATAGCCAGAAGTATGTCATCCATGTATTGAAGGAACAGAGTGCCTGGACTGGAGAATAGGCCTAGGTCCCGGGCCAGTGCCTGCCCAAACAGATGAGGGCTATCTCTAAACCCTTGGGGTAAGACTGTCCACATAAGCTGGGACATGTGCTCTGTATAATCCTCAAAGGCAAAGAGGAACTGGGAGTCAGAGTGCAGAAGAAGGCATCTTTGAGGTCCAGAACAGCGAACCATTCTGCTTTTTCTGGTATCTGAGAGAGCCGTGTATAGGGGTTGGGTACAGCTGGATATAAAGTAATTACTTCTTCATTGATGATTCTGAGGTCTTGCACTAGTCTCCACTGACCATTTGGTTTTTGTATTCCTAGGATTGGGGTGTTGCAATGACTGCTTACATTTTCTTACTAAGCCTTGAGCTTTTAACTGTCTAAAAATATCTTGTAATCCTTTGTGAGCTTCAGGCCTTAAGGGATATTGACTTTGATAAGGAAAAGAGGTGGGGTCTTTTAGCCTGATTTTAACTGGATGGGCATTCTTTGCCCTTCTGAATTGTCCATCCAAGGACCAGACTTCAGAGTTGACTCATTCTTCAAGTAGGGGACAACAAAGGGGTAATTTGTTCCCCATATTCATGTAGATAATAGCCACAGCTTTGGCTAATATGTCCCTCCCTAATAAAGGTGTGGGACTTTCAGGCATAACAAGAAAGGCATGTGAAAAGAGCAAAGTCTCCCAATTACAACTGAGGAGCTGGGAGAAATGCCTGGTTACAAGCTATCCTAAGATTCCTCGGATAGTAACAGACTTTGCAGACAGTCGTCTGGGGCAGGTGATTAAAATTGAGAAGGCAGGGCCAGTGTCTAGGAGGAAGTCCACTTACTGGCCCTCAATGTTCAAACTTACCTGGGGCTCTTTGAGGGTGATGGCCTGAGCTGTCGCTTGCCCTGGCACCCTCAGTCCTGTTGCTGAATCACCTGACTGGGTGCTTCTGGCCCAGAGGGCCTTCATCCTCTGGGGCAGTGTGACTTCCAGTGATTACCTTGGCATCTTGGACATGGGTAAGGGGGCAGCAACTGTCCTACTCCTCTTTTGGTTCCCTCTGAGCTGCCAAGGTCTGCCTGTCTGAGGGCCATGACTAAGGCTGGAGACTTTCTCTTATATCGCTTTTCCCTTTTGGCATGTTCCTCTTGGTCCCTATTATAGAACACTGAGGTTGCCAAGTTCAATAATGCCTCCAAATTTTGTTCTGGGCCTAAGGCAGACTTTTGGAGTTTTTTCCTAATGTCAGTCACTGACTGGGTGATAAATTTATCCTTTATGATAAGTTGGCTTTCCATGGAATCCAGAGCTAAGGAGGTGTGCTTTCTTAGGATCTCCTTTAACCTTTGTAGAAAAGTTGAGGGGTTTTCCTCTTTTCCTTGCACAACTGTGGATAGCATTGAGTAGTTCATAGGCTTTTTCCTAGTTTTCCTCAACTCTTCCAAAATGCAACTTAGCAAATGCCTGTGGCTCCAGTCTCCAGGATCTGAGTCAGTATCTCAGTGAGGGTTTACAGTAGGGACTGCCTTTTGCCCTGTGGGGAATTTTTCCCTCACCTTCTGGGCCATTTGATCATTTACCTGGCTAAGGTACCACGGATCCCCAAATTGCCAGGTTGTTGTTAAAGCTTCTTGCTTTTCAGTAGGACATAATGTCTAATCAAGAAGTAAAATTATATCTCTCCATGTTAGATCAAAGGACTGCCTTAATCCTTGCAAGGCATCTATATACTTATCAGGTTCATCTGAGAATTTCCCTAAGTTTGACTTTATTTGTTTTAAGTCTGAGAGTGTGAAGAGACTCGTACAAGGAAGGGCCCAAATTCCTCTCCTACTGCTTGTAAGGGACATAGTTTGGGTGCCTGGCTTGGGGAGTTTACATTCTCTTTACCACTTCAGTGGGGCAGGATGGAGGAGAGTCAGTGGGGGAGGAGAGTGGGGCTGAGGGAAGAGGCTGTGAGTATGGAGGTAACTGTGGGCCTTTGTCATTTTGGCAAAGCTTGTAGGCTTGGCACAGGGCAGTATTGTCATGAAGGGCAAAGAAAGCCTGTACATAAGGGACTATACTCTATTTATCTTCCTGTTCACAGAAAAGATCTAGCTGTAGAAGGGTATTATAATTAATACTTCCCTCAGGGGGCCAAGTTTTTCCATTTTGTAAGAAATTCCATGGTCAGGCAGTGGTATAGAAGAAAATTAGCTGCTTCTTTTGTAAGGTTTCAGGGTTGAATTTGTCCCAGTTATTCAGGATACATCTTAAGGGGGTGTCCAGTTTTGAAGGTATGGAGCCCATCTGGAATTTTACACACAGAGATGCCCACACCCCTGGTTAGTACTGGGACTCTTCTTCTCTTAGGGTGTCCCCCAAGGGTCAGGTCCTATTGTGCTCAAAGCTCATGGCTGCATTTCCTGAGCCCTCCGCCTGCCGGATTTAACCATGCTTACCAGCAGGATGGAAACTTCCTTTGCCCCTGCCATGCACCCATTGACCACTAAATGGGGCACAAGGACTGTTGGATTTATTGTGGTCCTTCCTCCAACACATCCTACCTTTTCCAGGGTGACAAGGCCTGGGTCGGGGCACCACTGATGCTTGCATGCTAAGGCCCAATTTATGTGGGCCTGGTCATCAAAACTGTCCTTCAAGGAGAAATCTCTGAATTAGCAACAGGAGGCTTAAGAAGCTTTAAGGGTGTGGTGGATGTCCTCTAGGCCAGGGCCGAGAGAACAGCTGCTGTACTCTAGCCTTCTGTCCCCACTTGCCATCAAAGTAGTAAGCCCCCCTTTCAAGGTGGTACTAGTATCATGTGTCCAAACTGACCGTATATTCACCCTTCCATTACCAATTATTGAATGGTTGAAACAACAATTCAACAACTCTAAGACTTTGCCTATGCACAACAGATTGTCCTTGAGTGGCCCCAGGTAGGAGAAAGCCTATCTGGGGAGCAATGGTGGAAATGCCCTAAGGCTTCTACTATCCACATGAAAATTACAGACCTGTCTTTAAATTGTCCTGATGTGGGTGGCCATACACTATGATGGGGGACTGGCCTTTCAAAGTGGCCATCAAATGGTGACACCTGCCTAAATCCCAGAGGGCAACATGAACAGAGGTCTTCTGGGCACCACCCCAAGAATTTAAGACTTCTAAATAGGGAATCTTGATCCTGCCTAGCAGGAATAACCTACTTGTGAGATGAGGAAAGAAGTTTAGCCATTGGACATAAGGACCCAGGAGGCAGGAGTCAGAAGATGTCTCATGCTCAGTAACCTCTGCAGGGGTAGACTCTGGTGGGACCATGGTCTCAACCAGGGTATCTGGGAGACTAAGATGTTCACTGAGCACTCCCAGTTGTACTTTGGGACCACCATGGGAAGCAAAACTGGGAACAAATTCTCCCAACCCCAAAGAGTCGTGGGTTGTTAGAGAGCCCTTTTCCAGACAGCCTGACATCCGTGTCTTTAGTCCAGTGGCCATGCTAATTGCCTCTAAGTGGCCAACTGGTTTTTATCCTCCTAATTCTAAGGAAGGATACAACAGAATAGCAAGAGAAATAAGTCCAATCATACCCACCACCTGAAGATCTAGGTGCTTTTCCTGGAGCCTCCTGGCTGGCTCACCGAAATGTCACAGCTAAGGTTGTTGCCTAGCCATGCCAAAGAATTGGTGTGGTGGCTGAACCTGGGCAAGTGATAGTGACATGGCCCGATAGAGAGAAAAAGCTGTAAGTTTTGTTGAGCAGAGTGAAAGTATAAAGCTTCCACAGCATGGAAGGGATCCCAAATGTGTAGCCAGAATTAGAGTATATGAATGCCTTTTAAACTCCATAAGGTGGAAAATACGTGCAACTTAGGTTTTATCTACTTTATGACCTTGCCACAGCATGGCAAAGGAGACAGGATTTTACAGGATTTTACAAAGTATGTTTACAAGGAATTGGAATTGAGAGCATAGATAAGGTCTGCTGGTCACAGAAAAGTGGAAAGCTAACATTCCTTTTACTTTAGTTTTGGGAGAGGGGGAAGGCAGAGAGGGAGAGAGGACACAGGAAAACTTACAGCAAAATTGTTCCTGTTTATAGCTTTCTTGGGGAAGAAAACACATGCACAAATCCTGGTGTTAGGAATAGTTTAAGCATATATCTTCAATACTATCCATCCAGGATGGAAACAATTCCTAATGCAGGAAATCAGTGAGTTTCACAGCTTTCTGAGCCCCTACTCAACCCAGGAAACCTAGCTAGCTTCTCCAGTCAATATTGCAAGTTATTACATTAAAAACGTAATTATCTGAACAAAGCTTTATGAATGACAGTGCTTAACAAGGTGGCAGTGAAAAAGTGAAGATAAAGAAGACAGGGTTTCAAGAACTGTATACCTACTTTGCAGCCATGTCACTAAACCAGTTGTGATCAGAATGACAATTCAAAGAAAGAGGAGTATTCTGTTTAAATTGTCTCTGAGCTTGAGGAGTAAGAAGTATAAAACATGGGAGAAACTGATTGCATGGAAATATAGTGGAAACAAATTGTAGATGAGGGTTTGCATCCGCAGAAGCTAGTGATGGGATGGGAATTCAAGGAACTCCTAGTGAAATGCTCAAACATTTTCAGGGACATAAGATAAAATTCCTGGAAAGTTTACAGAATTGGAAAAAGCACAGGCAGCACAGTCTCACTGTGAAAATAATTGCAGCTAAGTTATAATGGATGTTTAGACTATATCACATTTGGCACCAGCTATTTATGCTCATTTCATAATTTATCAGTGCATCAGTTGTACCAGGAAGATAATAATATTCAGCTGCTTTCCCAGAGTCTGAAATCATCTGCACACATTCCAAGGGTGACAGATGGCAGACTTGCTAGGGGACAACTCTCTTCTTCCCCCTCCCATAGAAACCTTTCAAATTCTAGCACGTGTAAAAGAGGAAGCCATTTCCTCAAAGCACCATTTTTTCTTTGCTTATTTCCCCTACCAAACTTCTTCCTTTGATTTTAAGTCCAACTGCAGTCCTTTCAAAGAATCAAAATCAGCAGCAATGCCGTTACTTAACAGCAAAAGTTACTCAAATTCTGAATTAATAAGTGCCATTTGGAAATTTAGCTGCAGAAACTCAAAAAATGAAACTAGAGAAACCCATAACATAATAGGGGATTTGACAAACTTCTCTAGGGAACTGATAAAATAACTAGACAAAGAATCAGTAGAAGGTTATAAATATTTAAAATTGGAATACATGATTAGTAAACTAGTCTTGTAATCTATAAAACCTTACATCCACAGTGTAAAATACACATTCTTTAGAACATGTGAAATAATAACTGTGGAAGGAAACTATCTGGGGGGCTCCAAAATCACTAATCTAAATGGAAAAGTCAAGCTGGGAACTGCTTAGGGCAAATCTGCCTCCCCTTCTATTCAAAGTCTTCCCTCTGTTTACTGAGATAAATGCATACCTGATTTTCTCCTTTAAAGAGGCTAATCGGAAACTCAAAAGAATGCAACCATTTATCTCCTATCTACTTCCAACCTAGAAGACCCCTCCCGACTTGAACCCTTCTAGGCTGAACCAATGTTTATTTTACATATATGTTGATTGATGTCTCCCATCTCCTTACAGTGTGTAAAGCCAAACTGTACTCTGACCAACTTGGGCATATGTCCACGTGTCCATATAGAAGACCACGTGAACAGGCTTTGTGTGAGCAAACAAGGCTGTTTATTCAGTTGGGTGCAAGTGGGCTGAGTCTGAAAAGAAAGTCAGAGAAGGGAGATAGGAGAGGAGAAGCTTTATAGGGCTTGGGTAGGCAGTGGAAAGTTAGAGTTAAAGGTGGTTGTCTGTTTTCAGTAGGGGAGGGGGTCACATGGTTCCTGGTGGAGAGATGATGAGACTCATTGTCCAGGAGAAGAATGTCACAGGATCAATTGATCAGTTTGGGCAAGGCAGAAACAAGTCATAATGGTGGAATGTCATAAGTTGGTGGAATGTCATGAGGTCGGTCAATCAGTTAGGGCAGGAGCTGGCTGTTTCACTTCTCTTGTGGTTTTTCAGCTGCTCCAGACTTCTTGGCTCCTGCAGGCCATCTAGATGTATATGTGAAGGTCACAGAGGCTATAATGGCTGAGCTTTGGCTCAGAGGCCTGACGAGACCACCAAACAGACCACATCCTGGGCTGTAAAGCAAAGTTCAATAACTTCAACAACTTTTTTTCTCTGAACACAAAGTTTCACCACTAGAAAAAAACGCTAAAATGTTTGAAATTAAGAAAGAAAGTTCTAAGTAGTTCCTTTACCAACTGAAAATAAATATGGAAATTAGAAAATACTCAGAAATAACAAGGAAACTTTCATATGACACCTGGCAATTTTTTGGAGGCCATGAAAAATGGTGCTAAGCAAATTTAATTATTTTAAGTAAATTTGGCCCTACAACAACATAAAGATTAGGGACACGGATCCCCACTCACAATCAACAGTCTGCATTTAATTTCTGACTGCCCCGGAACTCTACTCTTAATAGTGTACTTTTGACCAGAAGCCTTATTGATAATACAAACAGCCAATAAACACATATTTTGTATGATCTATGCATTACATACTGCTATACTGTATTCTTACAATAAAGTAAGCTACAGAAAAGAAAATGGTATTAAGAAAATCATAAGGAAGAGAAAATATATTTACTATTTATTAAGTGGAAGTGGATCATCATAAAGGTCTTCATCTTCATTGTTTTCACATTGAGTAGGCTGAGGAAGAGGAAGATTAGGAAGAGAAAAAGGAGAAGAGGTTGTTCTTGCTGTCTCAGGGGTGTCAGAAGTAGAAGAAAATTCATGCATGTGTGAACTCATGTGGTTCAAACCGATGCTTTTCAAGGGTGAACTTAGTCATGTAAAATTGAGTTTGGAAAATAAGTTTGTAGCAGAGGGATTAAAAAATGAGTCTTTCTGATATGTAGATGACATTCAATGGCATCCCACTGTATGAAAGGAGTGAATGTCAGTAAAAGACTGAGTCAGAATTTAACAATATCAGGGAAAAGCAAAGGAAATGGCAAACTGAGAATTAGCAATGGGTATAGTAGGAAAAGAAACACACACACAAGCAAGGCAGTGTATTGTCCTAAAGACCAGTATGCAGAAGTGACAAGTCATTTCAAGATAGAGATTGTGAATTGAAAATAGAATTCAACACTGTGACGTTATCAGTGACCTTTACATAACTTCTCAGAAAGGTAGTAGAAAATTTTGAATGGACATTATTAAAAGAGAATGGCAGGTGGAAAAAACAGGGGCATGGTGAGGAGACACAGCTATCATGGAGGAATTTTGCTGATATAGGAGCACAAAGAAAGGAGTGGGGTTGGTGCCACTATCTGACTGATAAAATGAGATTGTCTTAGCTCACTCAGGCTGTTTTAACAGAATACATTAGACTGGATAATTTGGAAACAACAGAAATTTATTTCTTACCGTTCTGGGGCCTGAGATGTCCAAGATGAAGACATGGCAGATTCAGTGACAACTTGCTTTCTGCTCCTCTTACTGTGTCCTCACTTGGTGGAAGAGGCAAGGGAGCTCTATGAGGTGCCTTCTATAAGGATACTAATCCCATTCATGAGGATTCACCCTCATGATCTCATCACCACATGAAGCCCCCACCTCCAAATACCATTGTAATATGGTGTGGCTGTGTCCCTACCCAAATCTCACCTTGAATGATAATGATCCCCACATGTTAAGGGCAGGACCAAGTGGAGATAACTGAATCATGGCAGTAGGTATTCCCCATGCTGTTCTCGTGATAGTGAATAAGTCTCATGAGAACTGATGGTTTTATAAAGGGGAGTTCCCCTGCAGAAACTCTTTTTCCTGCCACCATATAAGATGTGCCTTTCTTCATGATTGTGAGCCTTACCCCTCAATCATGTGGAACTGTGAGTCAGTTAAAGCTCTTTCCTTTGTAAATTGCTTTGTCTTGGGTATTAGCAGCATAAGAAGAGACTAATACACATTGCATTGAGGTTTATGATTTCACCATAAACATTTCAGAAGACACAAAAATTCTTACCATAGCAAAGATCAAGATAATTTCTTTTACAATTATAGAAAATATGACAAATGTATGTGTTTGTTGGATGGAAAGGTTTCACTAGGGCAAGAGCTAAGTAGCTGTATCCTTGAAAGGAAAAGAGAAGAGAGAATCTATTGCACAGATAAAGGGATTATGTTTAGAGGAAAACATGTACCACTCATCCACATTAAGAAACTACAGGGAAGAGTGTGTAGGTTGAGATGTCGGTAGCTTGATGCATGTGCAGGTGGAAGCCCATGGAAGCTTGTATCTCATCCCTTCCCTACTCTTGATGAAAGAGAACTTAATCTCCTGATTAGCAGAGAAAAGTGTTGGAATTCCAGGAAAAGAAACTATAAAACAGCTCTCAGAAGGAGTTAAAGTATTCATAGACTGGGAAAGTATAGCAACAGCTCCTGGAATCCCAACTTGGAGCTAATTAATCACAAATATAAAGTCTGAGCAGCTGGTATGGTTATTTGTGTGCACAGATGAAGGCCAATGGAGTGTAGGTGGAGTTTTATTTAGCCAGAATTGTGGTTAAAACCCAGTCTAAAAGAAAGCAAGAAGGAAGCAAGAGATTCAGGGAATCCCCGTGGGAGTGATTGTGAGGTTTGGCAATGTGATTTCAGTGGGGAAATAGGAAAAAGAAAAGAAGATGCATTTCAGTAAAATGTAGTGGTGTGCTGCAAATACTTGAGTTATTAGAAAGGGGAAGTTGTGCTATTAAGATTATAGAGGAGTGGTACTTATTGGAACTTATAATACGTAAGAAATTAGGTAAAATATAGAAAAATGTATTGGAGGTAAGATTTTAGAGAATTTGAGAGGTGAGTGTGTTGAAAAATTACATGTATATATCCTAATATCAAGAATTAGGGCTTGGTGAAGTGGTTCACACCTGTAATCACAAGACTTTAGAAGGCTGAGGTGGTAGGATCACTTGTGGCCAGGAGTTTGAGAACATCCTGGGTAACATAGTAGACCCAGTTTCTACAAAATAATTAAAATAATTAGCTGGGCATCATGGTGCATGCCTGTATTCCCAGCTATTCCAGAGGTTGAGGCAGGATGATCACTTGCCCTCAGGAGTTCCAGGCTGTAGTGAGCCATAATTGCACCACTGTACTCCAGCCTGGGCCGTAGAATTAGATCCTGTCTCAAAAGAAAACAAAAAAGAATAACCTCATTAGGAGATGACGAAAATTAAGAAGGAGGAACAATGTTGAGAAATAATTGGTACTAAGTTGGGTGTCAGTATAGGAGGTTGATATAATTTGATATCATAAGATCATAAAATGATGAAATTGATAAAATCAGATGCCATGACATCCGAAGCTGGGTGGTTTAAGAAGCCAGAGGACAAATGATCTGAAGGTGGAAATTTGAACGAGGCAAACATGGAAGCTAATTCCAGCATTAAGAGTCCAAGGCTTTAAGGCATTTCTTCTTATGACCCCTCCACTTAACCCAGAATCTTAAATAACTGCAGGGGAGGTGATGTCCTTGAGGGAGGGTTTGAGAAGCAGTAGTAACAAGATCTCCATAATTCCATGAAGCAATGAGAAAATTTCAGAGGTTGTATACAGGAAGGAGATGAATCATCAGATGGGTTCCATGGATTATTGGAGTCCAGGAGGTGAAGCGTGATGACCTGTAAGCTACTGCTATTGTATGACTGATAAACACAGAGAAATGGAATGCCAGGCCACAGTGGGAGCCAGGACATGAGTGCCGCAGGTTAGGGCTGTCTGCGTTTCAAAAGTTTTCTTGTTACCCCTGGCAATGGAGCCTGGAAGAGGAGGTAAAGTATTATCATGTCCCAGAGCCTCACTTTTGGGAAGTTATGTGGCTCTGGATTGTCTGAAATATCTAAAATCACTCTTATTTACACAACTGTATAATTATTTAAGCATTAGACCTAAAACCATAAACACCCTAGAAGAAAACATAGGCATTACCATTCAGGACATAGGCATGGGGAAGGACTTCATGTCTAAAACAACAAAAGCAATGGCAACAAAAGCCAAAATTGACAAATGGGATCTAATTAAACTAAAGAGCTTCTGCACACCAAAAAAAAAAAAAAAAAAAACTAACATCAGAGTGAACAAGCAACCTACAAAATCGGAGAAAATTTTCACAACCTACTCATCTGCCAAAGGGCTAATATCCAGAATCTACAATGAACTCAAACAAATTTACAAAAAAAAAACACCAACAACCCCATCAAAAAGTGGGCGAAGGACATGAACAGACACTTCTCAAAAGAAGACATTGATGCAGCCAAAAAACATATGAAAAAATGCTCACCATCACTTGCCATCAGAGAAATGCAAATCAAAACCACAATGAGATACCAGCTCACACCATTTAGAATGGTGATCATTAAAAAGTCAGCAAACAACAGGTGCTGGAGAGGATGTGGAGAAATAGGAACGCTTTTACACTGTTGGTGGGACTGTAAACTAGTTCAAACATTGTGGAAGTCAGTGTGGCAATTCCTCAGGGATCTAGAATTAGAAATACCATTTGACCCAGCCATCCCATTACTGGGTATATACCCAAAGGACTATAAATCATGCTGCTATAAAGACACATGCACACGTATGTTTATTGTGGCACTATTCACAATAGCAAAGACTTGGAACCAACCCAAATGTCCAACAATGATGGACTGGATTAAGAAAATGTGGCACATATACACCATGGAATACTATTGCAGCCGTAAAAAATGATGAGTTCATGTCCTTTGTAGGGACATGGATGAAATTGGAAATCATCATTCTCAGTAAACTATCGCTAGAACAAAAAACCAAACACCGCATATTCTCACTTATAGGTGGGAATTGAACAGTGAGAACGCATGGACACAGGAAGGGGAACATCACACTCTGGGGACTGTTGTGGGGTGGGGGGAGGGGGGAGGGATAGCATTAGGAGATATACCTAATGCTAAATGACGAGTTAATGGGTGCAGCACACCAGCATGGCACATGTATACATATGTAACTAACCTGCACATTGTGCACATGTACCCTAAAACTTAAAGTATAATAATAAAAAAATCTATGATGGCATTTAGGAATTGCCTGGATACACTAGAAACGAAACCCAGGCAAAACCACCCAACAATCCTCAGTATGCATTTATTAAATCAATGCTATAAAATCATCTTACCTTGTTAACATTTACAAAGTCCCCTGGAGGTTTTCTTCAGTGACTTAATCAGCTTGTGTCTTCAACACCTTCCTATATCCCTTATTCATTATAGATCCTTCCTATATAGATGGTCTATGGGAACTGGCTGATTATTTTTAACATAGCACACATCAAAATAGTTTTCCACTTTTTTACCTTGGAATTCAATAATTTTTAACAAAAGACACTGGTATTGTTTTCTTTCCATGAGTCAGAAATAAGTCAATTTGCTTTTTAACTTTCACTAAGTAAGTCATAGCAAAGAATCCAAAGTAAGTATCTTATGTATGCAAAATGTAGACGATGCTATTGGAAGTTTAGCAGTAATAGGTGTATACATGTTAAAGAAAAAGTTGAATATACCATATAGCACAAAATATTACTGAAGTTGGCTTCCCGATCTTTCAACAGGACTGAACAACAAGGTGCATAAAATTTCAGAGACATGGGAAACACTCTCAAGCAGAAAACAGAGTCAGCTCCTTATGGGACAAAATTGGCTTGAGCAATTATTCCTTGGAAATGTTGCAAAGAGTTCAATGGCCACCTATTGTCACCAAGAGCTGCTGATTTTGCTGGAAAGAGCTTCCCAAAATTGCCTCAGGCAGCTGCTAGTGGAAGACAATCTGAAGCTCATGGGAGTGGACTTGACTTCAAGTTTGTAAGAAGTAAAGTAGAGGTTCCTCTTCAAAGACTTTCCTCCCCATTTAGGAATAAATAGTAACTTCTCTTAGAAGCAATATTTATTCAAAGACCTGTGCTAACATTCTTAAATGTCTGCTAGCCATAATGAATCAATGTATTTTATGTTCTTAGCTCCCACAATTTAGCATAAATATTTGCCCTGGCATGCTTATACTGGTCCAAGCAAGCGTTAGGTCATAGTGTGTTCTTCTTCCTTATTTAAAAGTGTTTTTAACTTTCTCAACATCTCACAAGTTACTTCCTCCTTCCTTTGTTCTCCTATACCTTTGTGTCTTTTAAAACATTGCAAGTTGCTGGCCAATCGGGACAAATACAGAATGTGAGGTCACATTCCAGCTGATGGAGACTGGACACGGCAGTAGGATGGACGCATCAGGATATAAATGACCCTGTCACCTTTGTTCGGTGTACTCTCGTGACAAAACTGCTGGAGAGTGTATACCCTTTTTACAGGAAGTAAAAATTGCCTTACTAAATAGATTAAATTTATGTTCGGGTGCTATTTCTTTATGGCACCAGGCCACAAACACTTCAGACAAGTTCATAAACTACCAGGTATGTTAAATTGATTGGCCCCAATATTTCTATTGTCTACTGCTATACCAGTGTAAATCATTTTATTGGACATTTAAAGATGTTCGCAAATTTGAAGTTAAGAGTTTATGTGAGATAAGTAGGCAGGGTTGAAGGGAGAAGAAAGAAATTCTGTTACAAATATGATTACCATTTTTAGTAAGAAAGAAGAAAAATAAAAAGAGAATATTTAATGGCATTTTAAAAAATGTTCAGATACATAGTCATAAAGAGAAAAACAGTAGTTCTTAGGGATGGGGTGACAAGTAGGAAATGGTAAGATGTACATCAAAAGATATAAAGTAGCAAATATGTGGATGAATAAATCTAAAGATCTAATATACAGCCTATGGACTATAAGTAATAACACTATTGTTTGTAGGATTTCTACTAAAGGAGTAGATTATAACTCATCTTGCCAGAGGGGTGAAGTGAGTAACATGTTATGATAAATATGTAAATTAATTCCATCATAGTGAATGTTTTACTATATGTATGTAACTTATAACATCATGTTGTATACCTTAAATATATACGATAGATTTATTTTGTAAACAGTACATAATATGCAATACACATGTGTGTATACATATACACACATATGTACAAATATAAAATTTAAATATGCTTATAATTTACAATTGCCTATACCATAATTTACACTTGAATTTACAGAATTTTTCACATGCTCAGAAGAGAATAAAATGTAAAGGCAGAAAGAAAATACGATGGAATTAAAGCAAAGTTACACAAACAACCTGTTTTCAGATTCCCTCGATCATGCTATTCTCATTGCCAGAGAATGTTTTGGGTTTAATGCCATAATTTGCTATGGTTGACCATACTTTATGCATTGAGCATAGTGTGGAAATATGAAAATAAAGATTGTCTGCAGACAATCTTTTTTGTTTATGCAACCTACACTTAGAAAATGCAATTTCATTTTGCTAAATTAGGTCTTTAGTAAAATCTCATACATGTATTCTAGGACTTCAGTTTTCAAAGGATGTTTATTGTATATCCTGAGTTTGAAAATTAAGTACAGTCTTCAGATGGATTCACTCCACTTTCTGTTAAAAGTCTATGATAACTTCTTCTAAAATGTGAGGTTAAATATTTTTATTGTCGAACAACCATGTCAATAACCATGCGTTTAAAGATTCACGATACATGAGGAAAGGGCTTATGTAAAGAATATGCTAAAACAGAAGTCTCTGTAAGTAGTGATGATATTAAGAAATATTTCTGGACAAAGACTATACAACCAGTCATAATCAGTGATAACCTAGCTAAAGAATATAGTAACATTGTACTTTATCTATACAAACAGGTTTTATTAACCTAATGTATCTTCTTCATGTTTGTTTATAAGTTAGCAAATTATTAGACTGTCTTCACCTGTTCAACTACATTAAACAGTTTTATTACTATCCTTGCTGTCATAGTAAATTACCTTGTGTTCACAAGATAACATAACATACATTGTCCTGCTTGTCTTTCTGATGTAGTTTTGCTTGGTGAAAATGCCTAACATTGAGGAATAAATGTGTGGTAGATTTTCTAGTTGGATCTTTGAGGTGGAGTCTCATTCTCTGGACCAGGCTGTAGTGTAGTGGCCTGATCTCGGCTCACTGCAACCTCTGCTTCCTGGGTTCAAGCAATTATCCTTCCTCAGACTCCCAAGTAGCTGGGATTACAGGTGTGCACCACCACGTCCAGTGAATTTTTGTATTTTAGTAGGGATGGGCTTTCATCATGTTGTCCAGGCTGCTCTCAAACTTGTGACATCAAGTTGTCATTCCACCTCAGTCTCCCAAAGTGCTGAAATTACAGGTGTTACCAACCATGCCCAGCCAACTATAAACATATTTAATGATACACAACACACATATAAATATAAATATTTCTAACGGAGTATTAGATTGCTTCTTTCTTTAAATTTTGCAGAGACAATTGATAAACGAATCGAAAGGTGACTCCTACCTTAAAGGGAAGTCAAATAATTTTCTTATAAGAGGTCTAAAATCTTCAGATTGTTTTATTACAATATGCAGCAGTAAAAGCACAAAAAGTTTCATTACTTATTGGCAGCTCGGCCTTACTGTATTTTCCCAGAAACTGTTATAACATTTTTATGTGTTGGGTTTATTAAACACTTCTATGGCATTTAACCTGTAATAAAATTTGTAATTTATTATAAGGCATATATGTTGTATAATGCTTAAGTGTCAGGAACTACAGAGTAATACTTCATATACCTTATCTTCCAAAACCATACTTGATTATGCCTAATGCTCTTGGGTCAACAAGAAGTCTAGAAATAGAATAGTCCCTGATTCTGATCTTTGATAATGAAAGAAAATCCTGCATTTGACATATATAAAGGAAGAAATAGAAAATCCATCTATTGCCTCTGATCAAGGAGAGTCAAGATCTGTGTGAGAAGGAGAAAGGTGTTTGCTGAGCATCCAACATCAGTTGGGGTTGGGGGAGGCATTTTCTAACAGTGATGTAGGTGCAAAGTGATCATCTCAATGGCAAGCAGGAAGACTATTTTTTTTAGCTGGAAAGAAAGACCAGTGGACTGCCCATCATTGCTATTTTTTGCACAGTAAAAATAACTAACAGCTTTATTATTTGTACTTTAACCAGTTTTTATTGTTTTGTTTTGTTTTTGAGACAGGGTCTCATTCTATCTGCCAGCCTGGAGTACAGTGCTGCAATCAAAACTCACTGCATCCTCAACTGCCTTGGCACCAGTGGTCATCCCATTTCAGCCTCCCAAGTACAGGTGTGCAGCACCATGAGAAGGTAATTTTTAAATTACTTGTAGAGATGGAGTTCTCACTATGTTTCCCATGCTGGTCTCAAACCCCTGGGCTCAACCAGTTCTTCCCACCTTGACTTCCAAAGTGCTGGAATTACAGGCCTAAACTGTTGCTCCCAAACTTTTTTTTTTCCTTATATGCAGGATATTTATAGATAACTAGTTTTTACTGATTAACACTATCTCATACTAATTTCTAAAAATACAAATTATATATTATTTTCTATGATAAACAACAATATACACACCAGTACATACACACACATACATATATATAATGCACATCCTATACAGGCAATAATGTGCATATGTTAAACACCCATATATACACATATTTGTGTGTGTGTTTATATATACTCAATACATGCACACTCATACCTGTATAGAGTGTGATTTATCTACATTCCTAGAGCACCTGCAGCTCAAACTTTAGAAAACATTTCCTCAATATTCCTCTTTCCTTTGTTGAGTATTCACCACCCAGAAGAGGGAGGGCTTATGGAAATAACTCATGGCTGTTGGTATAGCAGATTTGAAGTAAATTTTATACTACTGGGAAAAAATATACAAAATCATACATGCACACATGCACACACACACACACACACACACACACACACACACAGAGCTGGTTGAATTTCACCTGGCACAACTTTGATACATTCTTTTCTTTATCTACTACATTTATGGACCCATGTGATTACATTGGCACTACCTGGAGAATTCAGGAAAATTTTCCATTGTCAAGGTCAACAAATAAATACTAAATTCAAAACAGGAAAAGAAAACACACCTATTGAAAAATTTCACTAAGCCACCAAATATTCTTAATGGTAAAACAATAATAGATAACATACTTTGACTGCTTACTGAATTCTATGTGTTATGATAAGCATCTCCAAACATTCTCATTTCTTTCTCATTTCCACCCTATGAACTAGGTATTTATTGTTATCCCATTTCACAGAAGAGGAAACTGGAAATGGGGACCTAAAAAAAAACAATATTCATTGGGAAAGATACACTGATTTTCTGGGTTAGGGCTAACTAGTAGGAAAATCAGAGTTTTGTTTTTTTAAAGACTCTTCCCATTTTGGATAAAAATAAGATTCAATTTTTCTTTTACATCAGTTTCAGAAGGTTTATTTGATGATTAAACATGGTAATAATAATTAACAACCTTAGAATAATTCTTGGTTTTTCATAGTTACGGTCTATCTCTCTTATTAGTTTTAGTTACTGCTCACCTTCTCTTATTAATATCAAGATATGTTAATGCAAAGAGAACTAGCCTAATAGAAAGTCTGTACTCTGAAAAAATCCTAGGTCTAAAGCATATGCATTTTAAAATAGCAACAAAATGAATCTTCTTGCCCATTGCAACAGATTGCTTCTAGTATTGTATTTGAAGAGAATGAATTAGTTATTTCAGTCTAAATATATACAATGTATACATAAATATATATATATATATATATATATATATATATGTCTAGGCGATTATGTATGTTATTATTTTCTGTCAACTTCATGGAAACTAATCCAGTCTAAGATTTTTTCATGGGCTAATTTGTTAAAAATTGCATTTATCTCATAAGATACCAAAAGAGAGTAAGTCAATTAGAAATCTACATGATTTTAAAGTCATATTATTGTGAGAGGCTTTAAAACCTTAAAATATTTTTAAAAGCAAACAATAGAGAACATATAATTGTATAACATGCTAAGAGACTACTCTTCCTGTTTACCCTAACAATAATTTTCTGCCTATCTTCTATACTATTCCTATTGTTAAGAAACCCAGTAAGTTTTTTACAGTGACTTTCTTCCTTTTTTTTTTTTTTTTTTTTTTTTTTTTTTTGATTCAGAGTCTCACTGTTTCACCCAGGCTTTAGTGCAGTGGTATTAATACAATCATAGATTACTGTAGCTTCAACCTCTTGGGCTCAAGTAATCCTTCTACTCAGCCTCTTGAGTAGCTGGGCCTATAGGCATGTGCCACCATATCTGACTAACTTTTAAATTTTTTGTAGAGACAAGATCTTGCTGTGTTGCTGAGACTCATCTTAAATTCCCTACCTCAAGGGATTCTCTCATCTCAGCCACCCAAAGCTCTGGCATCTCTGGTGTGAGTCACTGCACTCGGCCTCCCTTCCACATTTAAAGCTAGCAGAGCCTGGTCAAATCTTTCTCATGAAAGACCCTATCTATGGTTTTAACTCCTCTGCCTCCCTGTTCCTGTTATGTAACATCAACAGAGACATATTGCATTGATGGTTTTGTGCTTTACAATTTTCATTTAGTGACGTTTGTCTTACTATTAAGGATTTATTAATATTAAGCAAGGCTTGTTCTGATTTTCTTTACATGTATTTTCATAGAGGTGTTGACCTCTCTTAAATTAAAAACTCTTCTGATTAGATTTGAGTGTATCTATTGACTGTATAAGTTTACATTTCATTTATTGATATGGTGTCAGAATTCATAAAATGTTAATCCAGCATTTGATTGTGATAATTTTTTATGATATCTCTTGTTATCACATGTCTTTCAATGGGCAGCATGTACATTATTTTAGTACTTTACCTCCCTTATTTGATGCACCCTTTTGGTGTATGAATGATGTGGTAGTGTTTCATGCAACTATTTCTCTTTTCATAACAAAACAGTCGAGAGTAAGGCTTTGGCTCCTGAGGCGCAGTATTTCTCAAGATAAGGGAAAAGACCGTTGCAATAAACCAGCTGAGTGATTGAAAAATATGATTTCCCTTTCAGATAACCACTTAACTAGACTCTCTTAAGGACAGCATTTTGGAATATGTATTTCATAAGAACTCATGTAATTTTAATACACTGTAATGTCTAAATAACACCCTTCCAGGCATTACCTATTCTGAAACACTATTTGCCCATTTTCACCATTAGAATATCTTGTACACCTACTGGGGAAACAAACAAACAAACAAAAACTATGAAACTAGCAAGTGTTAAATCTTCCATCTTTCTCAATTGACATCAAAATATTTAAAGGTGCATTATGGGTACTTTCAGTTTTGTAACTGAAGTTTAAAAATTGTGGACAGATGGCTATTTATTTCAGTGGATTCAAAGTTCACTGAGAATCGTTTATAGACTTGTTTTCATACATGATGAGATATTTACTTCACTTTCTTTCTTTGGCTGGCTGGAGTTTTATTTTTCCAAAAATTGTCTCAATTATTTGTTTGCCATTTGGGTTTTGATTAGATGATTTATAAAGAGGTGGTGACCTCTATGATTCCAGTCTTCTTACTTTTCATAATGACTGCTTTCTTCTGATTTAAGTAGGAAGTAATCGAGGTATCCAAATTTGAGAATCTAAATGTATTTACTATGTAAAAATTGTGTTAATCTATTCTCTCAGTTAGTGTAGCTGTGGAGATGTCTGATGGAAATGTTATCATTTTCTGCCAGTAAATTGCTTGCACTCTGTACCTTATTCACATATATATACACATATATATATATATGCATAATATATCATATAGATTATATGAGTGTATGTGTCAATAATATATGGTTACTCTTTACTGTGGATTGAAATTGAGCTCTATTTTTCCTTGGGAAATAATGTATAATTTTGTATCTGTACTTTGGAAAATTATTTGATTTTCTTTCATGATGTAATTGCCCAATAGATTCTTCTTGCCTGCTACATAGATAGAGCCAATTCACTGATACAGCAGAAGTGGAAGGGTTTAATCAATGCAGAGCTAGGCACAGGGAAGACATTAGTTTATTATTCAAATCAGCCTTGCTGGACATTCAGAGACTAGGTTTTTAAAATAATAATTAGGTGGGCAGGTGGCTAGGAAATGGGGAATACTGACTGCTCAGGTTGGGGTTGAAATGATAGGGAATTTTGGCTTTCTTCTTGCTGTCTCCAGTTTCTGTGTGGAAGTCACAAGACTAGTTTGAGCCGGTTTCTTGGTATGGGTGATGGATCTGACTGGCACCAGCTTTTTCACCAGAATGCAGGGTCTGAAAAATACGTCCACTCACCAATCTTAGGTTTTACAATAGTAGTTTCATCTATAGGAGGAACTAGGGAGATTGGGAATCTTGTGGCCTCTGGCTACTTGGCTCCTGAGACATAATTTCCAATCTTGTAGTTAACTTGTTAGTTTTCCAAAGACAGTGTTAATATATTTATTTTTTAATTAAACTATAAACTAAATTCAATAGATTCGTAGACATATACTTATCTTAAAACACATCACAGTGTGTATAATACATATGTACAGCTTTTTGTATGACAACCATACTTCAATAAACTGGTTTTAGAAAAAGAACCATTTTTAGGGTAAAATACTTTAATTTCTTTCAATATTTATGTAATAAATATTAACATTTATTTTAATATTTTGATATTTATATTTAAATATACTTAATAATTTACTATTATTATGTAACAATAACATAACTATTGAAATAATCAAAATATTTTACCCCAAAATGTTGTCAACCAAGAGCAATAAAAAAATGTCAGAATCTAGTCTCAAGATAGTTTATTCAAGTCTGAGGATGGATGACATTCCAATCAAAGATTCTGAAGAAGAGAAATCAGGGTTCCAAAGGGTAACTGTTTTGAATTCCTTATGTGGACAAAGTTTAGAAAAGTGTGACAGAATTTCATCATCTTTCTCTGTATCGCTTGATGCATGGTTAAAACAATCTGGTTACTTAAAGTGGTGTTCTTCTTTTGGGAAAGGTGTATGCAACATTCCCAACACTATGTAAAAATTGTGTTAATCTATTCTCTCAGTGTAGCTGTGGAGATGTCTGAAGGAAATGTTATCATTTTCTGCCAGTAAATTGCTTGCACTCTGTACCTTATTCACATATATGTACACATATATATATGCATAATATATCATATAGATTATATGAGTGTATGTGTCAATAATATATGGTTACTCTTTACTGTGGATTGAAATTGAGCTCTATTTTTCCTTGGGAAATAATGTATAATTTTGTATCTGTACTTTGGAAAATTATTTGATTTTCTTTCATGATGTAATTGCCCAATAGATTCTTCTTGCCTGCTACATAGATAGAGCCAATTCACTGAAGATGTAACGGACATCTTGGGCACCATCTAGTCTGAGCTAGGTACAGGATGATAAAGAAGGCAGTTAGTCTGTAAGATCGATCAATGATTGTTAGGGGGAAGTCTAGTTTCTGGTCTCTGGTAGGAATTTACAGAACAACATAAATACGGAAGATAGTTAATCTACAATCTAAAAAGCAAAATTGCAGACATACTCTGTGTCTAAGTATCCAGGATTTAACTTTTCCCTTGGCATCATGAACATAGAGGGTTCTGAAATTTTGTTTTCTTTTACAATGTATTTCGTTTGCATATTTCTGCATGGGTAGTCAGAAGTGCAGTAAATACAAGAATTGTTCAAAAGCTGTCTTTTGTGGGGGAGATTTGCATCTGTAGAAAAAATCTGAGGCCAAATGCAGTGACTCATACCTGTATTCCCTGTACTTTGGGAGGCCCAAGCAGGCAGATCACTTGAAGTCTGGAGTTTGAGACCAGCCTTCCCAACATGGTGATAGCTTGTCTCTACTAAAAATACAAAAATTAGCTGGGCATGGTGGCAGTGCCAGTAATTCCAGCTAATCAGGAGGCTGAAGCAAGATAATTGCTTTAACCCAAGAGGCAGAGATTGCAGTGAGCCAAGACTGCACCACCGCACTCCAGCTTGGGGGACAGAGTGAGACTCTGTCTCAAAAACAACACCACCAACAACAGCAACAACAACAAAAACCAAAAGAAAAATCTGCATTGATACAATCAGGTTTTCTCTGAGGTCCTCTTTGTCTAATCTAGGAAAGATGAACTGAGAATCAAACACCATTACAGATCTGAAAGAAACATTCACCATCTATTCTCTCTGAGTGCTGCTACCTGTGAGGTTTCATCTACATGCCACCACCACCTTTGCTAGCTAGATGCTCTTCTCCCTGTTCCACAACCTGTCTGGTGTCCGTAACCTGAGTTACCAGGTTTTATAATCTGTTTTTGCACATGCTGTAAGACCCAAGCCCAGGATGGTATAAAAGCATCAATAATCTGGCCACTTCTTTAAGAAATTTTGTACTTTTCCATCCAAATTAATAAATTCGTATAGAAACCTCCTTTGCAAAATTATGACAGTAAGAGAAACCTGACATAGCTCACTCCATCTTGCTTCTAGCCTCACAGGTTGGCTATCTTCACTCTTTCCTGGGCATGTGCCAAAGCTAATGTTGAGAGAAATTTAGTTTATAGTTTATTTTATTATCTTTATTATTTTTTTAAGAAAGGGACTCCCTCTGTCACCCAGGCTGGAGTGCAGTGGCATGATCTCGGCTCACTGCAACCTTCAACTAGCTTGGGAGTTGAAGCTATTCTCCCACATCAACCTTTTAAGTAGCTTAGACTACAGGCATGAGCCACCATTGCTGGCTAATTGTTTTATTTTTTATTTATTGTTTATTTTTTTTTAAGTAGAGGTGGGGTTTTTCCAGGCTGCCCAGGCTAATTTTGAACTCCTGAACTCAAGCAAGCTTCGTGCCTCAGCCTCCCATGGTGCTGGGATTACAGGTGTCAGCCAACCACTCCTGGCCTGCAAGTTAAATTATAAAAGCATTTTCCAAAACAAAATTGCCTTTATAAAACTAAGGAAAGCCTACCAGGTCAGGAGGATAAAGGTCTGAATTCTACTATGATATAAGCATAGTTAAATAATTACCAGCCATTATTTAGGTGGTCACAAGATTTTGAACTTCCCCAATTACTCCTTCAGATAACATCACTCTTGTAGAACCCAGGATTGACATTTTGAGATAGCTTTTCAGATTTTTTGCATTTCTGACTACCAATAGCTGTACCAGTACTCACCAACTGGTCTTTTGCCTTCTACTCAGGAACTGATGCAGGGCAAGAGGACAGCTTCAACTCCCTATGATTTCATCTCTGACACAACCAGTCGGCACTTCCCACTCCTGGGCCCCCTGCCCACCAAACTATCTTTGAAAAACCCTGATCTCCAAATTTTTGAGAAGACTGATTTGAATAATAATAAAACTCTGGTCTCTTGTTTATCTGTGTATGCATGAATTAAACTCTTCCTCTATTGCACTTACCTTGTCTTGATCATTTAGTTCTCTCTGGGCAATAGGAAAAAAGATCCCACAGGGCAGTTAGGTTGTGGAAGGTTATTAATCTACCTTTCATCAGGTGATTTGTAGCGAACCTTCAGAGAGCAAAGGGCAAGTTTTTCCTTGGCTTCTGTAATATGAACAGGCATGGTTATAAACATAGACATAGACATTGACATGGAAAATGATGTAAGCTGTTTACAGTTAAGGAGGTGCCATAGACTAAATGTCTGTGTCCCATCACAGTCACACACCGTATGCTGAAACCCTAGCCCCCAGTGGGTTGGTATTTGGAAATGGGGCATTAGAAGGTAATTAGTTTTAGATGACATCCTGAAAGTGGGTCTCCCATGATGGGATCAATGTTTTTATGAGAAGATGACCAGCCCAGTGCTCTTTTTTTTTTCTCTCTGCCTTTGAAGCCACCTTTGCAAAATTATGACTGAGAGTGAAAGACATCTTGTTATAGGTAGGTCTTTGTTCTTAGAGCTCCCAAGATGGTGGTGGGCTGCTCCCAAGATGGTGGCAGCTGCTCCCAAGATTGCAGCCAGCCTTTTATTCTCTGACCTGCGTTTCTTGGCCTCTCAGGTTCCAAGGAATGGAACTTTGGGCCACACGGTGAGTGTGATACCTCTACTACAAGCCATGGGTCATGGAAGAGAACTGTGGAAACTGGTGACTAGTGTTCAGCTCTATTAGGATGACCCTGGGCACCTAGCCATGCAGGAACAATAGCAAGCCTCTAGCTTGAACGGGAACAGCAATAGGTGCCTCATTGGATCAGAAATGCAGCAGACACCCTGCCAGATCTGGAGGGGTGGAAGTCAGTGGCAGGTCTATGATGGTGGTGTACAGCAGTGGTGGATGATGAGTGAAAACTCAGCTTGAGCTGGAACAAACACAGAACAGAAGAGTGTGCAACCGTAAGATTTAATAGAGTGAAAACACAGCTCCCATAAAATGGGAGGGGACCCAAAGGGGTTCCCAATCCCAGCTCAAATGCCTGGGGTTTATATCCCAATCATTGTCCCTCCCCCTGTGCTCTCAGATGATAGATGATTTGACCATTTCTTTAACTCCTGCTTTTAGCCTGATTGATATTTAGTGAGCTCTCTTTACTACCTGATTGGTCAGGTGTGAGCTGAGTTACAAACCCTGGGTTTAAAGGTGGTTGTGGTCACCTTCCCCAGCTAGGCTTAGGAATTCTTAGTCGGCATAGGAAATCCAGCTAGTCCTGTCTCTGAATCTGACTTAACTCCATCTTGCTTTCAACCTCCAAGCTGTTGTTGCTTATTCCAGGGCGTAGGCTGAACTACTTTTGGGAGGGACTTACGGTTTAAAACAAAGATGATAACAGCCCTTTCTCAAAACAAGGCTTATTTCTCCCTTGGGACTAGACTGCCTTTGTTGGACTAACAAATCAGCCACAAGATTACAAATTATGGTTTAGTAGTCGACTAATCAGCTGAAAACTACAAGATTCTGACCTTCTCTAAAATGCTCCTAAGACCAATGCTCGAGATATTTTGCAGAGCCTACACTTGATTGATCAGCTGGAACCACCCAGACTGATAAACTGGCTCACCTGACGTTGTGGCCCCCACCCAGGAAATGACTCAGCACAAGACGATGGCCACGACTTCCCATGATTTCATCTCCAATCCCACCAATCAGCACTCTTGACTCACTGCTGCACTACCCACCAAATTATCCTTAAATACTCTGATCCCCAAATGCTCAGGGAGACTAATTTCAGTAATAATAAAACTTCAGTTTCCCATACAGCCAGCTCTGCATAAAATACTCTTTCTCTATTGTAAGTCCCCTGTCTTGAGAAATTGGCTCTCTTTAGGCAGCGGGCAAGGTGAACCCACTGGGCAGCTATACTATGTGAACTTAGAGTGAGAAACTGACCATCAACAAACCAGGAAGAGAGCTCTCTCCAGAAACCAGGTTGACATCTTGATGAACTTGGACTTCCAAAATTCTGATAAATAATTTTTGTAAGCCCTCCAGTTCATGGTATCTGTTACAGCAGACTGAGCAGTCCTTCAAGAATCCCTCACATAGCCATAGATCTACCTACACACATACAAAAATCTTTAACAACCTAGGACATGTCTTTCAGGTACCTATGAATGTGTCACAGATACAAAGATAGTGTCAACTTTAAATAACCAAAAAGGTTAGAGTATAATTCAAACAAAGTTTATTCAAGACCCAAGTGTGAAGATGGATGGTTCACACCCATCATACCAACTCCAAAATTATGGAGTAGGAAAGTTAAGGTTTCATGTATAGAGCCAGAGACAGATGAGTTTTTAGCAAGATTACCACATCATTCCTACAAGATTGGCACAGAGTTGCAGCCATTAGATTGGTTACAGGCAGTTTTTATGGGGGGAAGAGTACATTTAACAATTTTTTTAAACAGAGGCTGTAACAGTCATGGATTTTCTTTATCTACTCTCAGTGAAGCTGGACAACCCAGGGGGGCTTAATCTATCACAAGTATCATTAATTAAGAAGGGCAGACAGGGGCCTGGCATGGTGGCTCATGCCTGTAATCTGGAGGCTGAGATGGGCAGATCACAAGGTCAGGAGAGCAAGACCATCCTGGCTAACATGGTGAAACCATGTTAAAAATCTACTGGAAAAAAAAAAAAAAAAAATAGCCAGGCATGGTTGTGGGTGCCTATAGTCCAAGCTACTTGGGAGGCTGAGGCAGGAGAATGGTGTGGACCTGGGAGGAGAAGCTTGCAGTGAGCTGAGATCATGCCACTGCACTCAGCCTGATGTTGCTTAATTCTCCCTAGTCTTTTTACAGAACACGGAGAATTAAAAAGTGAGTTAATCTATAATCTGAGAACAGAAGTTGCTACCATATGTGACTCAGATGACGGTCACATCTCTCTCATGGCTTAAAGTGCTCTTGTGGGGGACTGCCATAGCTTTTAAATTATATTTATTTTCACAATAAACATAGTCATAGGCATAGATGCAAACTGTTAACAATAAATGAGATATCCTTCAGGAATCAAGGATATCGACATGACAAGGATGAGGTTAGATCAGAAATTTAATAAAGGAAAGAAAGCCCTATGCCGCAGAGAGGCATCCCAAAAAAGGGTTGCAATTTCACAGTTGAATATAGAGCCTTTTATAAGAAATCGTTGAGGGATGAGTGTTTCATTTGCATAAGGTGTGAAGTTCTGGTAGCTCCACCCCATCCTCCTAGTGCACCCACAGGCCTTTAGCTTGAGTTACTCCATATTGTTTTGTTCCCCTTATGATGCCTGTGCCAGGGGATGGAATTTTCCATTGCAGGCAAGTCTAGTCAAATCAGCTATATAGACTTTCTTATCTGTATGGCTGTGGGCATGTCTCAGTCAAGCTCCCCTGTGTAAGTTCCCTTATGTGTGCCTGCAGGCTATTCTTTTGTTTAAAAGAATTCAACCATTTAACCTTGGAACAACTCTAACTGGCTGCTTAATGGGTTTCTTCCTCTTTTCCCTCTCAGTACTAGATGATCTAGGCAGAAACCTTGACCTCCACTAGATGATCTAGGCAGAAATCTTGACCCCCAAGCTCATCTCCTATCTTCAACATATGTAAGGATAAGCTCAGTATTCAGCAAAATAACTGAGAGCTGGTGAGGGCTACTTTGCGGGACATTTTCAAGTTCTGTGCATTTCTCTTCTGTTAGGAGAGTATCAAGGAGATTCCACGTGAAATTGATTGAAGGGACGTCAAGTGTCTCATCCACTTTGGGCTGCAATAATGAAAATACCATAGACTGCGTAGCTTCTAAAAAGGATAAATTGATTGCATACTCTTCTGAAAGCTGGAAGTCCAAGATCAAAACGTGGTAGATTTAGTGTCCCGTGGGGACTTAGGTCCGGTGAGGACTTAGGTCCATAGACAGTATCTTCTAGCTGTATTCTCACACAGTGAAAGAGGTGAAGAAGATCTATTGGGTCCCTTTTATAATAGCACTAATTCCATTCATGTGGGCTCCACTCTCATCACCTTCCATCTCCTAATACCATCACCTTGGAAGTTAGGACTCAAGATGTTATTCTGGAAAAACACAAACATTTGGAGCATAGCATCAAGAGACCTTCTCAGTGAATCTGGGGGTCACAGAATAGAGAGACTATAGGCTGACTCTTCTTTGAAGAAGGTGAATGATACTAGGTTGTCTGCAAGTTTAGTGAAGGGTGAATAAAGAGGTGAGACTACAAGAACACAGGCTTGGCCATCTGGTGTTGTTGGGCAGCACAGAATGATTGACAATTTCTTTTGGCCAAGTGTGCTCTGAAAGATGACAGCCTTGATCACCCAGATGGGACACTGACAAAGTTTCTCCCTTCTGAGAATGTGACACTACAGGGAAAATAGAACCAGAAGTATAGTCAGAAGCTAGAAACCAGAGATGTGGGTGTTGCAATAAGTCCTATAAAAGCAACAATGCCCCAAGGAAAAAAAAAATTATGTAAGTGAGTATGACATCCTTCTTCAAATATCCTTGCAAACTTGATAAAGTTTGACAGATGAATGGAAAGTGAGATTGTTTTTGTTTGTTTTGAGACAGGGTCTCATTCTGTTGCCCAGGCTGAAGTGCAATGGCTTGCTCTTGGTTCACTGCAACCTCTACATCCCAGGCTCTAGTGATCTTCTCATCTTAGCTTCCTGAGTAGCTGGGACTATCGGTGTGCACCACCTTGCCAAGCTAATTCTTTTATTTTATTGTATAGGTGGGTTCTCACTGTGCTGCCCAGGCTGGTCTTGAAATCCTGAGCTCAAGCAATCCATCCCAAAATGTTGGGACTACAGATGTGAGCCACTGCATCTGGTCTGGAATTTTCAAATATAATGAGATATTGAAATTATACTTTAGGTTGCATTGGTCATTTAAACATACATGAATCAGATTATTCACCAATATCTTGAATAGTCCAGAAAATATTTGAAGTGTGCCTGAAATATCACCTACAGAAAAGATATGAAAATGTGATAGCATGACAAACTTATATTTTCCCATCATTTTATCCAGTGACTCAAAGAAAGAGAGAAGCCTGCTGAGAGACATACTGAGAAGAAAAATGTAAAAAGACTATTCAAAGAAGGTTGAGTGTCAACAAGGAACTCTTATTGGGACAAGAGAGGAAGAATAGACGTCTCTTCTTGCAACAAGAAATAGAAGAGTAGTTGTGAACTCCAGGGAAAATCACAATCATGCAATGTTTTCAAGTAATGTGCTAGACTTTAAGAAAGAAGGATATGACTCTCCTGATACATGAACTCTTCTTAAAGCAGTTCATGTTGAATATCGTGGGACTAAATCACATGGGTTTCTGTAGATTCATTCATACTCTCTGGGGTCCACTGGTAAATATCCACACAAGGATTATTCTCAATTCTATTGATTGGTTTTTAATTTTCAGAATTAACTTTATTGGAAACCAATAGGAAGTCATTATTTTTACGGATTAAAAAACATCAGTTTCAAAGGTTAATTAATTAATGAATGGAAAAGCCAATGTAAATTAAGGAAGGAAAGAGGGGATATCAAGGAAAATATATAATGCTTACTTTGCTAATCACTTAAGAGTAAGATGTTATATCCTACAGTCCAAATGTAATGGTTCAAGAAATAAACATAGAAAAAATTACTTTTAGATTCAGTCTTTCAAAAAATGCAGAATTATAAAAGTTATGATATTATGAGCAAGTATTATTTGTCATTGTTATGTTGGAGTAAATAAATATACCTTAACGTTTGTAAAGATGTTGGAAGTATCATCTTGGCTCAAGAAGACTTAAAGAAAAAATGATGAGAAATGATTAACGTGGTGAGAGAACTTGGCATGAGGGCAGGTGAACAATTTTCCATTCCATTATTAGTCTTTTGTGTGGCTAAGCTTTTTTTTTTTTTCCCATGGACATCCCAAAATATTAGTTTTAAATGGTATTTGAAGTCATTCTCCTTTAAGAATTTTCCTCCCTCCAGTGAGTAAAGAGGGGCTTAGAGGACATAAGTCACTTGCAAGTAACTTGCCTGTATTTAAGGTCACAGTGTGATATCCTACCTTGTTTTAACCTGAATTGACTCTCCCTTGGCTGAGAGAAGTGGACAGACTCCATTTTGGCTCCTTCACTTGCAGCCCCTTACCCACCCCCTTCCTCAAAGACTTAACTTGTGCAAGCTGACTCCCAGCACATCCAGGAATGCAATTACTGATAAGATACTGTGGCAAGCTATATCCGCAGTTCCCAGGAATTCACCTGGTTGATAGTACTCAAAGCCCCAGTGTTTGTGTCCAGTTGATAGCGCCCAAAGCCCCCGCATCTATCACCTTGTGATAGATTTAAAGCCCCTGCACCTGGACCTGTTTGTTTTCCCGTAACCGTTCGTCTTTTTAACTTTTTTTGTCTGTTGTGCTTCTGTAAGATTGCTTCAGCTAGGCTCCCCCTTCCCTTTCTAAACCAAAGTATAAAAGAAAATCTAGCCCCTTCTTTGGGGCAGAGAGAATTTTGAGCACTAGCCATCTCTCGGTCACCAGCAAATAAAGGACTGCTAAATTAGTCTCAAAGTGTGGCGTTTCTCTACAACTCGCTCAGTTACAACATTTGGAAGTCCCGGCGAGATTTATTTGCCATGAGATGAGTGCTGAATTCATTCCAGGCTCCCCTGGACAGACAGTGGTCTTATAGGGGAGGTGCCACCTGAAGACTTTCCAAGGCACCATAGGCCACCGTATTCCGGAGGGGGAACGGATCGACTGCTGGTGTGTGCCCACCAAATTCAACTCCTGAGTCCTCAGTCTCTGGTCCTGGGACGGTAAGTCAGATCTGACTCTGTTTCTCTGGGAGGGAAATGGCCCTATTGAGGGCCCTCCCTCAGACTCTGTCCACACTCCAGGACACTGGAGGGCAAAGTCCTGGTTTCTGTCAGGCTTCTCTGTTAAGACTCTCACACTCCCTCTCTGTCTCTTCTTCTTCTCTCATTCAGGTCTCAAGGAGACCCCTGTTTAAATGGGTATGAAAAATTATAATAAACTCTGAAGGAGTGAGTGAGTGAATGTGGAGTTCAAGGGCTTTTGCTTGAATTTCAAGTTTGTAGCTCCATGGCAAAAGCTACAGAGTTTGAGTGGGCCCTCACCTGTGGTTCCGGGTGACCTCATAAGGCTTAGGGTAGCAAAGGGCATAGCTCGACCTGAGCTGGGGGTTTATACTGGCCTGCCAATGTCAAGAGGAGCCTAAGTCCCTGCAAGGGGAGTGGCCAGGCAGGCATCTGACTAATCACATCACAGAAGCCCCTCATCTTGTCTGTTTATAAAAACTTTCATAACTGTTTATATACCCCAGTGTCTATTCTCCTGTCTGGTGTTTGCCTAAGTTTCACATGTCAGGTCTTCAATACTGCCCAAGATGACTGGGCAAGGACTTCTTCAAGGTCGTTAGTACAGATTTTCTATCCCAGGAGTTCAAATCTTTCATCAGTCATTTGGGCTGGCCATCCGAGTCCTGTCTTTTCTGTCGGAAAAAAGTCAGGTGTTGTTATGGGGAGGTGTATGGGAAACAGTCTCTCGTTTGGGATTTCTGGCACCATAAAGGTTGCTGGCATTTGGATTGCCATACCTCAAACCCCAGTGACTGAAACACCTCCTCCTTAGATCAGTGGGGGATTCAAAATAGCCACCCTGCAGATTTCCTTGCTCACCTTTTCTGTCATCCTGTAACTTTTCCCATGCCCTTGGATAAGGCACTGTGCAGAGAAACCTACGCCTGTACTGTCTTATTCCATCTGGACTCTTATTCTATCCCTCTGTAGCTACTCTCCTACCTTAGGAAAGATCCAAGTGGCCCCTTTCCTACTCATCCCCATCCCTTACCCCGTACATTTCATTTTCCTGTGTCACAGCAAGTCCAGCACCTCCAAGACTTGGCTCTGCTCACCCTCCTAAAACCCTTAAAAGAAAAAGCCAAGTTTGAACTGTTTGCCTTTGAGTCATGAAGACACCAAAAATATTCAGGCTATAAGTCAAAAAGGAAGGAGGGATCATGTAGGTCCCACAGGCCTCAGACCCACCTCTTGTCCTCTCCCTAGATCTCAAAACCTAAAGAGAAAGAGCTTATGTGGCAAGAAGTGTTGGCTATAGTTGCTTTCCTACTTCTTCTGGTCGTAATATTTCTGTTCTTCTGATACTACGGGCCCCCAGAGAGTGAATTGCTCTGTCCATGCTGGATTTAATATTTCTGCTCAATCCTTGTTAAATTGCTTCCAGAATGGGAAGCTCTTCTTCCTGGCCTCATAGAGATTGGAGCCCTCTCCAATGTATGTTACAAAATTTCTCCCTGGGCTTCTCAGAGGATTATGGGGTTTGCCTTAAAAAAGGCAAATTCTGGACACTCTGTGAAGTAGAACGGCTACAGTTTGGAACCGGGTGGCCCCCAGAAGGGTCACTGAATGTGTGTGGCAGTTCATTGCTGGAACTCCCAGTCACCCTGATCAGTTTCCCTACATTGATCAATGGCTGAGCTTGGTCTGGGGCCCTTCCCCTTGGCTCCACTCATGTGCTGTTCATAATCCTACCTCCAAGGTGCTTTTGAGCCAGGCCTCACTGTCATTCTGACCCTCAGCCCCCTCAGCTCCTCCTGTACTGCCTTTTTCTGAAGAAGAGGAAAGTTTTTCTCACGCATTTCCACCACCCCATAACCCTCCTGCTCCACCAAAATCTTGCCTCGTTTCTTTGACTACATCCCCTGTGGCCTCTCTGCCTACAGCCTCCTGATTATGACCGCTGGAGAATAAAGCTAATCCTCTCCTATTGTATCTACAGATTGTGTTTCCTTGAGTCTGGGCCAAGTCAAAATCCCCAGGACTAGCAAAGCATCATCCACTGTTAGTTGTAGAACTCCTGGTCACTGCCCTGCCAGTCCAGGTAAAAAAAACTATCCTATGAGTCAGCGGGCTAGAGAGGGAATCAATCCCCATATTCAGGGGCTATTACAAGCTGGTATACTCACAGCGTGTTAGTTGGCCTGGAATACTCCATTTTTGTCGGTCCAGAAACCTGGAACAAATAATTACCAGCCTGTACAGGACTTGCAGGAAGTTAACAAGTGGACAGTCACTGTCCATCCAACTGTCCCTAACCCTTATACTTTATTCAGCCTGCTTTTGCCAGAACATACAGTATGTGCTGTCCTGGACTTAAAAGAGGCTTTCTTTGCTATTTCTCTGGTCCCCAAATGCCAATCTATCTTTGCTTTTGAATGGACAGATCCTGGCTTGGGAGACACCACTCAATTAACCTGGACTCAGCTACCCCAGGGTTTTAAAAATTCCCCCACACTTTTTGGAGAAGCCCTCCAACAAGATCTCATACCATTCTGAGCCAGTCACCCTAACTGCACTTTTCTCCAGTACGTGGATGACCTTTTATTAGCTGCTAAAACTACTGACAGCCGCCTGCAATATACTAGAGACCTGCTTTGCCTTCTCCAGAAACTTGGGTACTGGGTTTCAGCTAAGAAGACCAAGCTTTATCTCCCCAGGGTTTCCTATCTGGGGTATGAGATAGACAAGGGAAAAAGGGCACTCACCAGTGCTCAAAAGGAAACCATCCTGTGGATCCCCACTCCCATCACCAAGAGACAGGTACATGAATTCCTGGGGTCTGTAGGATACTGTCATCTATGGATATCAGGGTTTGTGGAAATCACCAAGCCCCTAAACTCTGTTATAGGAGAAAATGACCTGCTAGCTTGGACTTACACAGAGGAACAGGCTTTTCAATACTGGAAAAAACCATTAACTGAGGACCCTGCTCTAGCCCTCCCAAATAATCTCAAAACCATTTCACCTTTTTGTTCATGAAAGCCAGGGAGTCACTAGACGGGTACTCACTCAAACTTTGGGGCCATGGTGATGCCCAGTGGCCTATTTGTCTAAGAAACTGGACCCCTGGACCCTGTGGCCTCCAGGTGGCCAAGATGTCTGCGAGCCATAGCAGCCACAGCAAGCCTGGTTCAGGAGTCTGATAAACTGACTCTAGGTAAAAATTTAACCCTTATGGCTCCTCGTGCCATAGAGACATTGCTACAAAGTGCTTCTGCCAAATAGATGTCGAACGCTTGCATCCTGCAGTATCAAAATTTACTGTTAGATCAGCCTCGTGTAACTTTCTCTCCCACAAGGTGTTTAAATCCATCTACCTTGCTCCCTGATCCAGACCTTACCACACCTATCCATGACTGTGAGGAACTGTTAGTGACTATAGAAATTGGCTGACCTGATCTCCAAGATGTGCCTTTAAAGGAGGCAGACACCACCACATTTACAGAGAGTAGCAGCTTCCTCAAACAAGGAGTATGAAAGCCTGCTCCAGCCATTACTATGGAAACAGATATACTGTGGGCCCAGGTGCTGCTGGCAGGCAACTTGGCAAAGAGGGCTGATTAGTTGCCCTCACTCAAGCTTCCGATAGGGCAAAAATAAATGCATTAACATCTACACTGACAGCAGATATACGTTTGCTACTGTCCATGTACACAGAGCCATCTATCAGGAGCATGGGCTACTCACCTCAGAAGGAAAAACTATCAAAAATAAAGAAGAAATTTTGGCCTTGCTTGAAGCTGTTTGGTTCCCTCAACAGGTGGCTGTAATTCACTGCGAAGGACAACAAAAAGAAGATATGGTCATTGCTTGTGGTAACCAAAGAGCAGATTCTGCAGCTAAAAAGACAGCTCAGTTTCCAGTCATGCCTTTGACTCTGCTGCCCTCTATATCCTTTCTGCAGCCTGACTTTCGAGACCACCCAGAATACTCCCTAGAGGAGGAAAAAGAGGCTTCAGATCTTCAGGCCAGTAAAAATCAGGAAGGTTGGTGAATTCTTCCTGATCCCAGAATCTTCATGCCCCAAGTCCTCGGGGAAACTTTAACCAGTCATCTGCATTCTACCACACATTTGAGAGCAATAAAACTGGCCCAGCTTCTAAAGAGCCATTTCAAGATCCTCCACCTTCAGGGCTTAGCTAACCAAGCAGCCCTCTGGTGTATAGGTTGTGCTCAGGTAAATGACAAGGAAGGTCCTAAACCCAGCCCAGGCCACCGCCTCTGGGGAGACTCACCAGGAGAAAGGTGGGAATTGACTTTACAGAGATAAAACCACACTGGGCAGTGTATAAATACCTCCTGGTGCTAGTAGACACCTTTTCCAGATGGACTGAGGCATTTGCCACCAAAAACGAGACTGCCACCATGGTAGTTAAGCTATTACTCAATGAAATCACTCCTTGACATGGGCTGCCCGCTGCCATAGGGTCTGATAATGGACCAGCCTTCACCTCATCTGTAGCTCAATCAGTTAGTGAGACATTAAACATTCAATGGAAACTCCATTGTGCCTATCAACCCCAGAGCTCTAGGCAGGTAGAATGCATGAACTGCATCCTAAAAAGTAATCTTACAATATTAATCCTAGAGACCAGTGAGAATTGGGTAAAACTCCTTTCTCTAGACCTTCTTAAAGTAAGATGCACCCCTTACCAGGCTAGGTTTTCACCTTTTGAAATCATGTCTGGGAGGGCTCCTCCTACCTTGTCCAAACTAAGAGATACCCATTTAACAGAAATCTCACAAGCTAATTTGTTACAGTACCAGCAGTCTCTGCAACAGGTACAAGACATTATCCAGCCACATGTCTGAGGAGCACATCCCAATCCAGTTCCCGACCACAAGGGGCTCTGCCACTCTTTCCAGCCAGGTGACCTGGTGTATGTTAAAAAGTTCCAGAAAGAAGGACTTACTCCTGCCTGAAAAGGACCTGATACTGTCATCCTCACCACACCAAGAGCTCTAAAAGTAGATAACATTCCTGCTTGGATTCATCACTCTTGCATCAAGAAGACTAACAAAACCCAGCAAGAAACATGGGTCCCCAAGACTGGTAGAGGCCCCTTACAACTGCACCTAAGTCAAGTGAAGCCAGTAGATTAATTCTTTATCTCTTTTGTTTGTTTCTGCCTGTCGTGCCCTCTGCTTCTTCCTACTCTTTATTCCTGACTTCTTTCATGACAGGAAGTGTGTTTGCAAACACCACCTGGAAGTCGGGGACCTACAAGGAAGTCTCTTTGGCAGTCGATTTATGTGCTCTGTTTCCAGAGCCTGCTCATACGTTCGAAGAGCAACACAATCTGCCAATCATAGGAGCAGGGAACATCGACCTTGCTGCAGAGTTTGGACACTCCAGAGGCTAGACTGGATGTGGAAGCTCCAAAGGTGCAGAAAAAGGACTCCAGAACGTTGAACTTTACTTCTGTCCTGGAAATCACCTTGACTCTAGGTGTCAAGATTCTTACCAATTTTTCTGCCCTGACTAGACATGTATAACTTTGGCCACCTACTCTGGGGGATCAATCCGACCTTCAACCTTTTCCATAGCTCATGCTTCCCATCCTAAACTGTGTGCAAGGGGAAATTGCAATCTTCTTACTATAACCATCCGTAACCCCAATTTAGCTCAATGGCATTATGGCATGTCATGGGGATTAAGGCTTTATATCGCTGGATTTGATGTTGAAACTGTGTTCAGCATCCTATGTTCCAAAAACACCCAGACAGGGTCAATTTAACTGTTCCACCACCACTCCTGGTTGCTAAACCTCAGCTGCAATGACAAGACCTCCAGCTCAGCCTGATATCCATTCTGGGTGGGGTACATCAGCAAATAAAGGACTGCTAAATTAGTCTCAAAGTGTGGCATTTCTCTATAACTAGCTCAGTTACAACAACAGGACCAGTTTAAAAGGGGTCAATGAAATAAGCCAGGTATGTTTAATTTCAACATCTGTTTTTTTTCTTTTCATCCACAATTATATCATCAATAAAAATATCTTCAGAGATTCAAAAAAAAGCCATTGATTTTTGTTATATTTCCTGAATAAATTCTGAGATCAGGATAGCCCTTGTTCTCCTTACTTGAATTTTGGCATATGGGCTGGGCACAGTGGCTCACGCCATAATCTCAGCACTTTGGGAGGCCAAGGTGGACAGACCACTTGAGGTCAGGAGTTCAAGACCAGCCTTGCAAACATGGCAAACGAAGTATCTACTAAAAATACATAAAGTTGGCCAGGCATGGTGGTGGGCACCTGTAGTCCCAGCTACTCAGGAGGCTGAGGCAGGAAAATTGCTTGAACCTGGGAGGCAGAGGTTGCAGTGAGCTGAGATCATGCTACTGAACTCTCCAGCCTGAGTGACAGACTGAAACTCTGTCACCAAAAAAAAAAAAAAAAAAAAAAAAAAAGGAAATGTTGGTGTGTGTGAAAAGAAAATTTGGATTTAGGTAAGGAGACTTTTTTTTTTTTTTTTTCTGGATAGGATGATTGCAACAGGAGAGAGAAGATGACTATAGCAGTCAGGTAAACTCTCCTTTTATGATATCTGCTGGCAGTTCACAGGTTAAGTGGAAAATAAGCTTTTCTTTTATGGGTATATAGGATGAAAAGGTAACTGTACCAACTAGTAGGTGAGAGGATGTTTTAACCCAGGCCACCCTTTTCTCAAAAGGGCCTCTTAACAGTAGGCAATGTGCTTGTTAACAAATGTTCCTTTAGCAAGCATTTTGCTTGACTAGTGTATGGGGAAGAAACCATTCAGTTAGTCATTGAAAAGTCAATGAATTCCCAACAAATGGATCCACTAGCATGTAGATCCCCATCAGATATGGGGGAACTAAGGACTTAACTCTTGCCAGTATTCTTTGTTTTACATTTCTTCCTGATGAGATTGGAGGAAGTCACACCCACAGACCAGAGTTAACGTTCTTTTCTGCTGAAGGCAATTTTTTAGATAAAACTTTCCCTCCTTAACCAATCAGAAATCAGAAAATATTTCAATCCAGCTGTCATTTTTGGGTGGCCCACTTCAAAATATCCTGCCTTTTTAATTCAAACTGTGGGATATGAGGAGGTTTCTCTTTAAATAGCCTGATCAATCCTTTATTGTTTAATTTATAGCATCCCCCCTACATCCCTTTTTCCTTTTTCTCTCTTTTTTCTTCCTTTCTCCCTTTTTTATATGCCCAGACATGCCACAGTACCAGGCGTTGCCAGCTCACATTCCTTTCACTATTTAGAAACAAGACTAGCTGTCTAGCTCATTACAGACACCGTTTTTTTCCCCTCTCTCCTTTATGTGCCCAACTTATTTAAAAAAAAAAAAAAAGTTCAGATGTTTAGCCAACCAGGATTAGTTTAGAGAGTATGACCCGACCCTGGCCAATGGGGAAAGGGTACATATGGGGCAGGACTTGTCACACACATCTGTGTGAAAAGAACAATTAAACAGGCTTTGCGTGAGCAATAAAGCTGTTTTTTTCCACCTGGGTGCAGGCAGGCTGAGTCTGAAAAGGAGTTGGCAAAGAGAGTTATGGGTGGGGCAGTTTTATAGGATTTGGGTAGGTAGTGCAAAATTATAGTCAAAGGGTGTTTGCTCTCTTGCAGGAAGGGGTGGGGGTCACAAGGTGCACAGTGGGGGAGCTCCTGAGCCAGGAGAAGGAATTTCACAAGATAATGTTATCAGTTAAACAGGAACGGGCCATTTTCACTTCTTTTGTAATTCTTCAGTTGCTTCAGGTCATCTGGATGTATACGTGTAGGCTTAGACTCAGAGGCCTGACATGACTTGCATCAGGAATGATGTCTCTTGTGCCCCTTTATTCAGGTGTGCTCTCATGGCTACTGGCCAAGGAGAAGCACCCCTCTGTGCAGAAATAAAATGGCTTTGCTAAGAATCCTTTGTTTGAGTGTCCAATTTCCTTAGGATTTTGAATATTATTCCCATTAAAACCAATGTATGATCTCCACGTATTCATTTACAATGTTACCTGTGACTTCTGCATTCCTGAAATGTACTACTGCCTTTAAAAACCATTACTTGCAAGCCACCGGGAGGTTAGGTCTTCAGTGAGAACTGCCCAATTCTCTTTGCTTGGTGTCCTGCAAATATAAACACCCTCCTTTCCGCTGCTTCAAAACCTCAGTGTGAATGTTTGGCCTTACTGTGCCAGGCAAGGAACCCCTAGATGGGTCCAGTAACACCACCAGCATTTTGTTGGAATCATAAAGACTGAGTAATCTTCAAGGTCAAGACTGCAGAGCCTCAGAGCTTGTCTGCTGCCGATTACAATTAAACCCTACTCACAATCCCTCCTTTCCCGTGCTTAAATCATGGAATGAGAGACATTTGAGACGCCAGGACAAAAATCTTGGAAATGCCAAATACCTGTAGTTATCTACTTCTCATATGCTCTTTCCAAAACAGAAAGTGAAAAATTTTAAAGTGGTTGATATTCCCAGTAGATTCCAAGTTTATCATATCTGTCTGAAAATGTTAATCTCTGATTACCCTATCAAATGTGCCCATAAGTCTGCAGTATTTTATTTATTTATTTTTTAGGGCACTTTCCTTCATAATTCTTCTATTGTGTGAATAATTCTCCAAAAATAAAATGAAAGATGGAAAAATAAAACCTCAGTAAAATACAGGAAAGTAATTGTTTCTGTGATTCTCAATACATATTAAACAGAAAAAAAAAAAGCAGTTGAGTTTTGAAGAAAACAGATGTTGAAGATATGTGACTTCATTAAGCCAGAGATCAAATTAATTGCTATGAAGGCAGTCCACTGAGGTAGCCAGGAAATTAGTGAAAGCAGGTTTTCAGTATTGAAAAAAAGGAAATGAAAATTATGACTTAGGCACAATTCTGTAAGTACGGTATTTTAAAAATACATTATAAAATTTACAGTGTATATTTTCAGGTTTCATCAATGCATGTGTCAAGATGCTGGCATAATTTTATTGATCCTAAACATCAAACTACTTTGGAAAAATATCAAAACCTGTAGAAAAATACATTAATTTAGAAAAATGAATTAGAAAAATGAATAAATTTTCCATCATGTCTCAGGGTTACAATAATTTTATCTTCAAAGAAAAGCTATCATTACACCCTGAAATAATGGATGGATACCCAAGGCATATGATAGTTTGCCTCGTATGTCTTTCAGAAAATGAATAAAATTACTGAAAATTGTCCGGTTATATACAACTTAGAGTTATGTTGAAAAAGACAATAGTTTCTCCTTCATAGACTCAGTAGCAGAGGGATGTCATAGAATTGTCAATAAAGTCATAAGGGTTCCCTTCTATAAGTGTAATGCCAAAGGGTCTTGTCTTAGCCATGCCAAAGGATTGGTGTGGCAGCAGCCTGTGGTGAGAGAGAGATACGGATAGGACTGAGAGAAAGAGGTTGTAGGCTTTATTAAGCAGAGTAACAGTACAAAGCTTCCACAGCATGGAAGGGCTCCCAAGCGGGTAGCCAGTGTTAGATTTTTCAATCACCTTTTAAACTCTTCAAGGCGCGAAATACGTGTGGACGGAAGATGTTACCAGAGCGAGAAACAAAGACAATTAACGTGTCTCAGATCTTGAAGAAAACCAGAACTGCCACTTGTTTTGTCTACTTTATGACCTTGCAGAGTCAAGGCAAAGGAGTCAGTATCTCACAGGATTTTACAAATTGTGTTTCCAAATAATTGGAATTGGGAGAATAGATAACCTCTGCTTGTCACAGAAAAACAGGCTTTTAATATTCCTTTTAGTTTCAGGGGATGGGGAAGGGAGAGAGGACACAGGGAAGCTTACAACAACATTTTCACTGTTTCTAGCTTTCTTGGGGAAGAAAACACATGTACAAATTCTGATGTTAGGGATATTTTAAACATATATCTTCAATATTATTCATCCAGGACCAAAGTATGTCCTGATGCAGGAAATAAGTGAGTTTCACAGCTTTCTGAGCCCCTACTCTACCCAGGAAGACCAGATGGCACCTCCTCTCATAAGCATCAACTCCCCTTGAAAGTGGCACAGTTACATATACAAACAAGAATAATATTAATGCCAATTAATAGAGATATTGAATGGAATTTTGCAAATAAAATACATAACCTAAATTGACAGCTTCCATAGGCCCTGGGGAATGACTTCAAAATACACTGCCTACTTGCTTTTCTCTTTTCTTTTCTGTTAACAGACTAAGTTGCAGTAAACACTCAGCCTTCTCTGTCTCACAGAACCACACCATCTAGTCCCATTCTGGAAAATGGGGGTAGAATACTGGGAAGAGGGTACCTTGGAAATATGCCTCGGGTTTTTACTCTTCTCCTTCTCTTTCTCCTTGAAATTTACAATCTGTGGACAGTCAGTACCACTCAGATGTTTGTGTATGTTTCTGTAGATGGATACGCCAGATAGATAAGATTGATAGAAGATAGACAGGTGAGATTGATAGATGATGGATAGATGGATAATAGAAGATATATTTAAATAATAGATATAAAATATGGATAATTGATAATCGATGTATATAAGTTGGATGATAGATGGGTACCTAAATGGGAGAGATAGATGTTGGATGGATGGATAGACAGTGGAAATGCTATTTCAATAATAGATATGACACGTAGATATTTGAAAAAAGTAATAGATATAGATGATGAATGCATACATGAAGAAATGATAGAAAGTATGTTTAGATGCCAGCGATGAATATAGCTTATTGATAATAGATAATTGATAAATGGATAAATAGGATAGATAGGTAGTTTAGCTAGACAATATAAAAGACACATAAATAATATATATATAATTTAGGATATTAATAAATATTTAGTAACAAGTGATGCTGGATTGAGGGACAGAGAGGTAACAGAAAAGATACTTAAGTTTTATATAAAATATTGATTATTGATGATAGAGAATATTTGATGAACTAGAGGATGAACGATGGATGAACAGGAGATATGAATGAAAAGTTAGATGGATGGATAACAAGATAGGTGGTAAATATTCACTTCTATAGCTCACTCTTTTTCTATGCAAACAAACATAGACGTACACACGTACACACTATGTATGTGTATGTATGTGTATACCTCTCTATATGCAAATTTTTTTTCTGTTTTTTTTTTTTTTTTTTTAAGATGGAGTCTCACTCACTGTCTTGCCCAGGCTGGAGTGCAGTGGCTTGATCTCAGCTCACTGCAGCCTCCACCTCCTGGGTTCAACTTGTTCTCCTGCCTCAGCCTCCAGAGTAGCTGGAATTACTGACAGGCACCACAATTTCCAGCAATTTTTTTTTTTTTTTTGGTGTGTGTGTATTTTTAGTAGATATGGGGTTTCACCATGTTGGCCAGGCTGGTCTTGAACTCCTGGTTTCAAGTGATCTGCCCGCCTTGGCCTCCCAAATTGCTGAAATTAGAGGTATGAGCCACTGTGCCTGGCCAATATTTTTCTTGTTATGTTTTTGGTAAAATACACTTGGGCCAAAAATTGTATGCAATTACAATATTTTCAGATTCCATTTCATTACTTGCTGTAACATTCTAGCATTGAATTTCCACCTATTTATTTAAAGATGTTTTCCCTTGCATCACTGCTCTCTTTAAACCTTTTGAACCTTGCAAGACTGAGTGCAGTAGTAAAGTGGCCTGTTCTCAGTGTTTGGGCAGGTGTTTGAATGGATCTGCCTGATGCACAATGAAGAGGCACTGCATCTCACATGGTTTCCAAGAAGGCAGTGACTACCTGAGTCACTATAAACAGGAAGGGAAAAAATACGTTTGTCCTGACAGATTCCTAGAGAATTCAGCATATCATTGCTCAGATTCAATTAAAGATAAAAATCTTTTTCCTCTTACAGGAACACACAGTCTCAGAATTTATATATATTTTTCCTATTTGCATTTATTGCTCATTTAGATTTATAATGTTTCTGTTTTGCTTTGTACTTGCCTCTCTTGGTTTTAAGTTTTACTGTGAGAGTAACCCTTCTCATTAACTCATCTATTTGCCCATTCTCTTTTTTATCTCTTCATACGTTTATGAAATTCCCATTCATTCTCTTCTTCCATGTTCAGCTTCAACACTTAATTTTATAAGAAATATTTTTGTTATTGGTTTTGAAATTATTTTCTCCTTGAGTCAATAACTTTTAGGCAAATCTTTTGTCAGAGTACACCATCGAGAGATTTAATCAGTGGGGATAACCGAGGTGGTAGATTTTCAGAGAAGTTGGCTGTACTAAGTGTTTTCTTCACCTTCTAGAAAACCATTAAACAGAATTCTATCCATTGAACAGAAATCCAGCCCTTGAATATTCACTACTGATTTTTATTTATGAAATTTTTAAAAATTAGGAAATAAAAATATAAAAATAAATTTTAGTTTCAACTCTACCCACAATCAAAAATTAATTTCAAAATTTAATTTACATTCATCTGTGCATTGCTGCCTTTATATAGATGATGAATTAACAGAACTTAGTTAATTCTGTGCTTTAGTCATGGATTTTTATAGTGTTATTGTCTCTACCTCCCAACTGGCCCTCTTACCTGTTTTATTTTTAATTGACTTTTAAATGAAATAGCACATTTTATTTGAGGACAGAAATTGGTCCTAAGAATAACATTACTTGCCTGAATCTTTGGCATAGGTACAAGGGCCCTACCTGTGAAGAGAAAAATATATGGAGGTTCAAAGGTAAGAAGAATATTTTTCCTGATCCTATAAATGCCCATTTTTTTTCCAAATAAAGGTGTTTTATAGAGCAATGTATTAACCTTCTTTATGTCTTCGGGTTGACATGCATAAGTGTGTTAATACTGACTATTAGGATATTTATAAACATTCAGTCATGGGGTATTTTGTACAGTGGTAGTGCCATGGGGTATCGAGTGGCATGGGGATTGAGTGCAGTGGCACAATCATGGCTCACTGCAGCCTCAATCTCCCAGGCTCAAGCAGTCCTCCTGAAGCTGGCTACCAAGTATCTGGGACCACGGGTGTGCACCACCATACCTGCCTAATCATTGTTATTTTGTATCTCTGTGTCATCCAGGCTGGTCTCGAAATTCCTGGCCTTGAGCAATCCTCTTGCCTTAGCCTCCCAAAGTACTAAAATTACAGGTATAAGCCTTTACGCCATGTGAAAAAATGCTTTTCATTCAACTTAATTCAATGAGATTTTATAGAGTCTAAACACCGTTCCTAAAACAACCTCCACCACAAAAAGATAAACCACTTCAGTGTAATATAGAAAGATAGAAAGATATATAGATAAGGTAAATAGATAGAATGCATAGGTATGGTAATGAGAAAGATAGGTAATACCTAAGAATGGATGATAGGTATAGTACATGATAGCTAGATAATTTGATGACAGATATACATCATGATGATGATGGATAATATATAGAGACATATGGTAGATAAATATAGATATAGACAATAGATATACAGATATTGTCTGTGTAATAATTAAAACAGCACATACTAAATTTTCAAGATACAATACTAAACTAATGACAAACAAAAGTGACAATATGTGATTGTTTAAATAGAAAATCTCATAAGTAACATTTAGCAGAATATTGATCAACTGTTTACCCACATACTCTGTCACTAGGCAAGTAACATAAGGGGTTCGTTGAAGTATAATTAACACGAACCAAACTGCACTATTAAATGTTTTACTTAAAAAGAAATTATTTTACCAAATGTATTATGAATTAAATAATGAAAAAATAATAATTGTATATCCAATTTAAGTAAAAAATACAAGAATCAGGGAAACTTAAAGTGAGGGGAAACCTTGGGAATAATTTATTCTAACTCTGATACTTAGATAGCAATTATTTTTAACTTTGTTCTAACTTTATGAGTTCATTGTAAGAGTTTACAATGCTGAACTGAGATGTCAAATTCAAGTAACCTAGAAAAGAATGTAATGGACTGATTTACTCCACACCTGTCTCACTCATCACCACAGAAATGAAACTACAGATACACACACGTAAAAAAGTTGATTGCATAAAATGTAATATCATGATCTCTTGAAGTTGATTCCAGGAACACATAATATTTTTCTTAGTGCTGGAATATTTTTATATATAATTTACACTCACTAATATATACACCATCATCTCAATATGTTCACTTATTTATAGATACAAATAAATTCATAATATATTATAAACTTTCATGCACAGAGCTCTTAGAAAACTGGAATTCAAAGGTGCTTTCTTGATGAGGGACAGGACACTAAGAAAACCTATAGCAAACAATGTTTGTTGTATTTAAGATCAGGAAATGCAATAATGCTTTTTATCAGAGCCTCTCTTCTTTATTTTGCTGGATAGAAGAGGAAAGAAAGAACAGTTTTATGAATGGAAAAGGAGGAAAATGTCACTATTTATCAATCATATGATAATACATAGAGAAAATCTACACAAATATACTGTCAAACTCATATTGGTCAAATCAACATGAATATTTAATAGTGTTGTTAGATATAAAATCAGCTTTTAAAAATCAATTTTCTTATCTTCAATAGTAATAATCATTTAGAAAATGCAGATTATCATATAATTTATAAAGACAACAAACAAAAATTTTACTTGACAAAATATAATTAGACTCAATAAATAATGATGACAATTGTCTCTTAATTAACCTATGGAGTCAATAAAATTTAAATAAAATTCCCAAAAAGATGTTTTGTAGAAATCAATAAGCTAATCCAAAAATTTATATAGAGAGACAATTGCATGAGATACACCAAGAAACCCTTTATGGAAATGATGAAGGTGGAAGATGTGTTCCACGAGATTCCATATGCCTTACTGTTAAATCTTAGAAGAGCATAATACTGATGCTAGGATAGGTTTACCTACCAACAAAAAAAAAGTGAGACCAAACAGACATTTATGGAAACATAATTTATTCATGAATGAAGAAAGGTAAACATTTTAGTAAAGTATCTTGTACAAATTATAAAATTTAAATAAGTAATTACATTAAAAAATAATTACAGGTTTGCTTAGACCTTAAAGCCTGATATTAGAACTTTAAAACTTAGGAGCAATTAAAAACCTTAAAAATATCAAAGTGTTTGAAAATATCTTTATCATACTGTAGTGGGATTGATAAGGAATCAGAAAGACTGATGGGGTTGAGGAGGATATTTATTTTTTAGGTGCACCAGTCCAGTCAGATTAACATGCAAAGGACTGAGCACTGAACAAAGAGGTAAGTTACATTTTAAGCATTTTGTGGGTTGGGGGTAGATCTGTGCAGGGACAAGCATATTACAGAAGTGAGAAACAAAGACAGTTATTCAATTAAGACACGCATTACATCATTTCTACTTTTCAAGGAAAAACATGTTTTATGACTTGAGTTTATCTGTCTAGTGACCTTGCAACTGCACAGCTGGAGAAACAGGATCTTCGCCATGCCTGGGAAAGTAGGAGAGATAAGGCTCACTAGTGACAGAAAAACAGGCAGTTAATTTATAAAGCGCTCCAGCTCTTTCTCTTTCTCGGGGATTTTTTTTTTTTTTTTTTTTTTTTTTTACATATAACAGAGTTTCTGCTTACATATTCTTTAATTTCCTTTCATTGCTGCTCCAATACTAGATGATTAAGTATATAAAAAACTGGGCCAGACATGGTGGCTCAGACCTGTAATCTCAACATTTTGGGAGGCCAAGGCAGATGGATCACCTGAGGCCAGGCATTAGAGACCAACCTGGCCAACATGGCAAAAACATATCTACTAAAAATACAAATATTAGCTGGCTATGATGATGGGTGCCTGTAATCCCAGCAACTCAGGAGTCTGAGGCACGGGAATCACTTGAACCTAGGAGGCAGATGTTGCATTGAGCAGAGATTACAGCAACACACTCCAGCCTGGGCCACAGAGTGAAACTCTGTAATCTTAAACAAAGAAAAGGAATATAAAAAACTATAACCAAGGTTAAAATTTTGATTAATTCAACTACATTAAAGTTAAAAATTTTGCCCATCCAATGTTAAAATTGAGTGATATGTGATGCATCTAATTTGGAGAATGTATCTTCAATATATTTTACCAGAAAATATACCAATAACATATATACATGCATATACTATGCTATAATAATGGGAATTTTTCAAACAGGTGGTGTAGAAAAGTTATCATTTGGATTTTATAAAAATATAAAACCATAAAGTTTGTTCATAAAAAATTATAAATTTCACTAACAACGAGGCATCATTTCTTACCATATAGTTGGCTGAAACACTGTGATGTTGAGGCTTAGATCAGTTTGAACTTTCTCTCATATCTACTTGGATTATAAATTGTTACCGTGCTTTCAGAATACAGTTTGCTGTCACTCTACAATGTCTGTTCTAAAAATGAACCATAAGTGTAGAACTCTACTTGAATGCATATGTAACAGATACTCAGGAACTCCTTACACCATGAAATGCATATAGGGGTATTTCTAACAACGTCTTTTGACGGAGCTAGAAAATATAATATTCATCACGATCAACTGAAGTTCATTTCAGGAATGCACAACATTTTTCCTAGTGCTTGAATATTTTTAAAATATAATTCAAACATGTTAATATATCAACTATAATCTAAATAGATTCACTTATCAATAGATGCCAAAATATCAATAAAATATTACAAACATACATGCACAGAACTCTCATAAAAGTGAAATTCAAAGGAGCTTCAGAATGCTGAAAAAAACTCAAAATGCACACATACTTATCAAAAAGAAGATGGATAATCAATTTGTGTTAAATCAGTTACTCAGAAATATTATACAGCAATGAAGATCACTAGACTTCATGATTATGAATCACCCTGCGTGAATCTCTGAAAAATACCGTGTTCAAGGAAAGAACCTAAGGAAGACACTATAAACAGTATGATTCTCTTACATAACATTCAAATTCAAGCAAAACTTAAGAATGTATTCTCTAACAATAGAGTAGTGCTAGAAAAGTTAGCAGGACATTCAGTATAGTTGTCTCCTTTGATGAGGAAGGAAAATATTGATTGAAAACAGAAATTAGGCAGCATTCATTTACATTTCCATTCCATACCTCAGTGTCTCTTCCACAGGTGTGTGGCCTCAAGCAATCCCCAGGGTCCTGGGGTTCAGAGCGCCCCATGCTAGGTTTAGAGTTCTGCTACTGCTGTCTTGAAATTCTGAAGAATTAATCTTTGCACTTTCCTTTCATATGTGGAATGCAATGAAAGAAGAGGAATGCATGCACATGGTTAGAGGAGATATGCACCATATGCACTTCTGCCACTGTTCTTTCCTACCCAATTGCATACAGTGTTCATGAACCCTCTTGGGCACAGAATTCTGCTGGACTGGCAATAAGGGAAAATTCAGTAAGATTCACAAAGTGAGGTTATTACTTCTATGACAAAGTGAGTGCTCTTGCATCCCAGAGAGGTCATGCTTTGAGTACAAATTAGAACCTACTTTAAATATAGATAAGTGGCAATGAAATTCTAAAAAATCCCAGAACAAACAAGAACTCTATCCTATCTCTTATTCTTCTTGCTGTGTCAGGCAACCACTTATGTGGAAAATGATGTTATAGAGGAGATGGGGATGAGAGGACAACCTGTGGTTCCTGTTAGTTACATGCCTTCCTTATCATCAGTGAGCTGAAGGTACAGTGTTGCTAGAATATGTCAATATCAGGAAGTAAAATAAAATCAGCTGAGTTCATTTTGTGTAGCACACTTCCCCTGTTCTGGTAAGAATGCAGTAGATACTTATGCATATGCTACAAAATAACAGCTTGTGTAATTTCAGTGATTCTGAATACATGTTAACTGCTCAGATACTGGAGTTCAAAATTGGCATTACACAATATAAAGGTAAAAATGGAAAACCATGCCAGTGACTAAATATTTTATTTTTTCCTTACTTAGAACAACATCAAATATAAATTTATTTTGTAAAGACATGACAAGTTGAGAAAGATTAGAAAAAAAGGGGGAGACAGCTTTATATTTTAGTACTGTTAATAGTTCTATGAAATTGGCCTACTTTTAATAAAAAGAGTCAAATAGTAAACATTTTCATCTCTGTGAGATACATAATCTCTGTTGTAGTAACTGAGCTCTTCTATCATACCACAAAAGCAGGCACAGACAATATACAAATGAATGGGCATGGCTGTTTTCCAGTAAAACTTTATTTACAGAAACAAGTAGTGGGCTGGATTTGACCCACGGAACGTAATTAGTCCGTGGATGTCCTAAGGTACGAAGTCCACTGTAAGACTTCTTAGCAATTCAAACAACATCAGGGGAAACTCTCCTAAAACCTTATAAATTTTTAAACATTTCTGAGTTTCAGGCTAATGAGTCATTTGCATGATGCTGGGCAGTAATTGTAGATACATTTACAGCAACATTTTCAGTGTTTCAGAGTTACAGATGAAGGGATTGACTCAGGTAGTTCCACTATGGATCATTGAGTCTATTTTCATGCTGCTCTTTTGGCAAAGTATAGGAATAATGCCAGCAGTCTAGTGATATAGAATGTCTGTTTCTTGAAGCTATGGGTTATAACTTTCTGAGAATTGTTTCTCTAAAAAAAAAAAAAAAAAAAAAAAAAACTTGAGAGAGTCACGTGCAGCTATGGCCAGTGGTATGAATGTTTCATGCTCTCCAACTGCAGAATCTAGATACTTTCTGCTTCTATGTTAGTTATATAGAAAAACTGCAGCATGGTAGGACAATTGAATACAGAGATCAAGATTCAGGATAGTAAATCTCTATGCCTTGTGAAGAGTTTTGCTTTTGCTAAAGGGAAGAGTAAATCATATGGGTGTGTAAAACTCACCACTGGAATCACCTTTTTTTTTTTTTTTTTCAGGAGTTCAGAACTGATGAAAGGGTCAAAACATAGATGATGTTTTGATCTTCCACAGGATTACCCAACATTTCTTCTGACAGTATTTGTCAGCTATTTCTTCCTCGGGTGCCCAGAGAAAGTCTTGAGTTTAGCCAAAATTTCTCTATAATATCTTTGTTGTTGCCCCATGGGTTTTAGGAAGCAGTATCCATCTTGTGCCAAGAAAGGCTAATCAAGGCAACTTCCTGAAGTATAAGCTGAGATGAGGGGTGGAAGAGGATTAATGCAGGACTGTTACAGAAATAAAGAAAAAATCTGCAGCAGAGCAACAACTCCAACCCTTGCTGCAATGTTTCATTCAGACACTGAAATTTCCAAGGTGCCCAGAAATCAACATTTAATATACTGTGGGATGCATAGAGGAAGCTGTCCATATGTTTCTTCTTTTTGAAGTTTTAGGCATTTTTTTTTTTCAGTTCAAAGGTTCTTTTAACCTTAATAAGTTCAATTAAACAAAAATACACTTAAGTACTACTAATAACATGACTTGGCAAATTGTGAAATGTAAATTTAAAATGTAACAACAAACACACGTGTATGTTAATTTGATATCCATTTATAAATTTACATACAAGCTTGTATATACATTAATATACATAAAGTTAAAATATATTATGTATATGTAAATATATATACTTTTTAAATTTTATTATTATTATACTTTAAGTTTTAGGGCACATGTGCACAATGTGCAGGTTTGTTACATATGTATACATGTGCCATGCTGGTGTGCGGCACCCATTAACTTGTCATTTAGCATTAGGTATCTCCTATTGCTATCCCTCCCCCCTCCCCCCACCCCACAACAGTCCCCGAGTGTGATGTTCCCCTTCCTATGTCCATGTGTTCTCATTGTTCAATTCACGCCTATGAGTGAGAACATGTGGTGTTTGGTTTTTTGTCCTTGCAATAGTTTGCTAAGAGTGATGATTTCCAGTTTCATCCATGTCCCTGCAAAGGACATGAACTCATCATTTTTTATGGCTGCATACTATTCCATGGTGTATATGTGCCACATTTTCTTAATCCGTTCTATCATTGTTGGACATTTGGGTTGGTTCCAAGTCTTTGCTATTGTGGATAGCGTCGCAATAAACATACGTGTGCATGTGTCTTTATAGCAGCATGATTTATAGTCCTTTGGATATATACCCAGTAATGGGATGTCTGGGTCAAATGGTATTTCTAGTTCTAGATCCCTGAGGAATCGCCACACTGATTTCCACAATGGTTGAACTAGTTTACAGTCCAACCAGCAGTGTAAAAGTGTTCCTATTTCTCCACATCCTCTCCAGCACCTGTTGTTTCCTGACTTTTTAATGATCGCCATTCTAACTGGTGTGAGATGGTATCTCATTGTGGTTTCAATTTGCATTTCTCTGATGGCCAGTGATGATGAGCATTTTTTCATGTGTTTTTTGGCTGCATAAATGTCTTCTTCTGAGAAGTGTCTGTTCATATCCTTGGCCCACTTTTTGATGGGATTGTTTGTTTTTTTCTTGTAAATTTGTTTGAGTTCATTGTAGATTCTGGATGTTAGCCCTTTGTCAGATGAGTAGGTTGCAAAAATTTTCTCCCATTTTGTAGGTTGCCTGTTCACTCTGATGGTAGTTTCTTTTGCTGTGCAGAAGCTCTTTAGTTTAATTAGATCCCATTTGCCAATTTTGGCTTTTGTTGCCATTGCTTTTGGTGTTTTAGGCACGAAGTCCTTGCCCATGCCTATGTCCTGAATCATATTGCCTAGGTTTTCTTCTAGGGTTTTTATGGTTTTAGGTCTAACATGGAAGTCTTTAATCCATCTTGAATTAATTTTTGTATAAGGTGTAAGAAAGGGATCCAGTTTCGGCTTTCTACATATGGCTAGCCTGTTTCCCCAGCACCATTTATCAAATAGGGAATCCTTTCCCCATTGCTTGTTTTTCTCAGGTTTGCCAAAGATCAGATGGTTGTAGATATGCAGCATTATTTCTGAGGGCTCTGTTCTGTTCCATTGATCTATGTCTCTGTTTTGGTACCAGTACCATGCTGTTTTGGTTACCATAGCCTTGTAGTATAGTTTGAAGTCAGGTAGCGTGATGCCTCTGGCTTTGTTCTTTTGGTTTAGGATTGACCTTGCAATGCGGGCTCTTTTTTGGTTCCATATGAACTTTAAAGTAGTTTTTTCCAATTCTGTGAAGAAAGTCATTGGTAGCTTCATGGGGATGGCATTTAATCTATAAATTACCTTGGGCAGTATGGCCATTTTCACAATATTGATTCTTACTACCCATGAGCATGGAATGTTCTTCCATTTCTTTGTATCCTCTTTTATTTCATTGAGCAGTGGTTTGTAGTTCTCCTTGAAGAGGTCCTTCATGTCCCTTGTAAGTTGGATTCTTAGGTATGTTATTCTCTTTGAAGCAATTGTGAATGGGAGTTCACTCATGATTTGGCTCTCTGTTTGTCTGTTGTTGTGTATAAGAATGCTTGTGATTTTTGCACATTGATTTTGTATCCTGAGACTTTGCTGAAATTGCTTATCAGCTTAAGGAGATTTTGGGCTGAGACAATGGGGTTTTCTAGATGTACAGTCATGTCATCTGCAAACAGGGACAATTTGACTTCCTCTTTTCCTAATTGAATACTTTTTTTCCTTCTCCTGCCTGATTGCCCTGGCCAGAACTTCCAACACTATGTGGAATAGGAGTGGTGTGAGAGGGCATCCCTGTCTTGTGCCCATTTTCAAAGGGAATGCTTCCAGTTTTTGCCCATTCAGTATGATATTGGCTGTGGGTTTGTCATAGATATCTCTTATTATTTGGAGATACGTCCCATCAATACAGAATTTATTGAGAGATTTTAGCATGAAGGGTTGTTGAATTTTGTCAAAGGCCTTTTCTGCATCTATTGAGATAATCAGGTGGTTTTTGTCTTTGGTTCTGTTTATAAGCCGGATTACATTTTTTGATTTGGGTATGTTGTACCAGCCTTGCATCCCAGGGAGGAAGCCCACTTGATCATGGTGGATAAGCTTTTTGATGTGCTGCTGGATTCGGTTTGCCAGTATTTTACTGAGGATTTTTACATCGATATTCATCAGGGATATTGGTCTAAAATTCTCTTTTTTGGTTGTGTCTCTGCCAGGCTTTGGTATCAGGATGTTGTTGCCCTCATAAAATGAGTTAGGGAGGATTCTCTCTTTTTCTATTGATTGGATTGGTTTCAGAAGGAATGGTACAAGCTCCTCCTTGTACCTCTGGTAGAATTGGGCTGTGAATCCATCTGGTCCTTGACTTTTTTTGGTTGGTAAGCTATTGATTATTGCCACAATTTCAGATCCTGTTATTGGTCTATTCAGAGATTCAACTTCTTCCTGGTTTACCCTTGGGAGGGTGTAGGTGTCGAGGAATTTTTCCATTTCTTCTAGATTTTCTAGTTTATTTGCATAGAGATGTTTGTAGTATTCTCTGATAGTAGATTGTATTTCTGTGGGATCGGTGGTGATATCCCTTTTATTGTTTTTTATTACATCTATTTGATTCTTCTCTGTGTTCTTCTTTATTAGTCTTGCTAGCGGTCTATCAATTTTGTTGATCTTTTCAAAAAACCAGCTCCTGGATTCATTAATTTTTTGAAGAGTTTTTTTGTGTCTCTATTTCCTTCAGTTCTGCTCTGATGTTAGTTATTTCTTGCCTTCTGCTAGCTTTTGAATGTGTTTGCTCTTGCTTTTCTAGTTCTTTTAATTATGATGTTAGGGTGTCAATTTTGGATCTTTCCTGCTTTGTCTTGTGGGCATTTAGTGCTATAAATTTCCCTCTACAGACTGCTTTGCATGTGCCCCAGAGATTCTGGTATGTTGTGTCTTTATTCTCATTGGTTTCAAAGAACATCTTTATTTCTGCCTTCATTTCATTATGTACCCAGTAGTCATTGAGGAGCAGGTTGTTCAGTTTCCATGTAGTTGAGCGGTTTTGAGTGAGTTTCTTAATCCTGAGTTCTAGTTTGATTGCACTGTGGTTGGAGAGACAGTTTGCTATAATTTCTGTGCTTTTACATTTGCTGAGGAGTGCTTTACTTCCAACTATGTGGTCAATTTTGGAATAGGTGAGATGTGGTGTTGAAAAAAAATGTATATTCTGTTGTTTTGGGGTGGAGAGTTCTGTAGATGTCTATTAGGTCTGTTTGGTGCAGAGCTGAGTTCAATTCCTGGGTATCCTTTTTAACTTTCTGTCTCATTGATCTGTCTAATGTTGACAGTGGGGTGTTAAAGTCTCCCATTATTATTGCATGGGAGTCTAAGTCTCTTTGTGGGTCACTGAGGGCTTGCTTTATGAATCTGGGTGCTCCTGTATTGGGTGCATATATATATTTAGGATAGTTAGCTCTTCTTGTTGAATTGATCCCTTTATCATTATGTAATGGCCTTCTTTGTCTCTTTTGATCTTTGTTGGTTTAAAATCTGTTTTATCAGAGACTAGGATTGCAACCCCTGCCTTTTTTTGTTTTCCATTTGCTTGGTAGATCTTCCTCCGTCCCTTTATTTTGAGCTTATGTGTGTCTCTGCATGTGAGATGGGTTTTCTGAATAAAGCACACTGATGGGTCTTGTCTCTTTATCCAATTTGCCAGTCTGTGTCTTTTAATTGGAGCATTTAGCCCATTTACATTTAAAGTTAATATGGTTATGTGTGAATTTGATCCTGTCATTATGATGTTAGCTGGTTATTTTGCTCATTAGTTGATGCAGTTTCTTCCTGGCCTCGATGGTCTTTACAATTTGGCATGATTTTGCAGTGGCTGTTACCGGTTGTTCCTTTCCATGTTTAGCGCTTCCCTCAGGAGGTCTTTTAAGGCAAGCCTGGTGGTGACAAAATCTCTCAGCATTTGCTTGTCTGTAAAGTATTTTATTTCTCCTTCACTTATGAAGCCTAGTTTGGCTGGATATGAAATTCTGGGTTTAAGAATGTTCAATATTGGCCCCCACTCTCTTCTGGCTTGTAGAGTTTGGGCTGAGAGATCCGCTGTTAGTTTGATGGGCTTCCATTTGTGGGTAACCCGACCTTTCTCTCTGGCTGCCCTGAGCAATTTTTCCTTCATTTCACCTTTGATGAATCTGACAATTATGTGTCTTGGAGTTGCTCTTCTCTAGGAGTATCTTTGTGGAGTTCTCTGTATTTCCTGAATCTGAATGTTGGCCTGCCTTGCTAGATTGGGTAAGTTCTCCTGGATAATATCTTGCAGAGTGTTTTCCAACTTGGTTCCATTCCCCCCCGTCACTTTCAGGTATACCAATCAGATGTAGATTTGGTCTTTTCACATAGTCCCATATTTCTTGAAGGCTTTGTTCGTTTCTTTGTATTCTTTTTTCTCTAAACTTCCCTTCTCGCTTCATTTCATTCATTTCATCTTCCATCGCTGATATCCTTTCTTCCAGATAATCGCATCAGCTCCTGAGGCTTCTGCATTCTTCACATAGTTCTCGAGCCTTGCCTTTCAGCTCCATCAGCTCCTTTAAGGACTTCTCTGCATTGATTATTCTGGTTATCCATTCATCTAATTTTTTTTCAAAGTTTTTAACTTCTTTGCCATTGGTTTAAATTTCTCCTGTAGCTCGGAGTAGTTTGATCATCTGAAGCCTTCTTTTCTCAACTCATCAAAGTCATTCTCCGTCCAGCTTTTTTCCATTGCTGGTGAGGAGCTGCATTCCTTTGGAGGAGGAGAAGCACTCTGCTTTTTAGAGTTTCCAGTTTTTCTGCTCTGTTTTTTCCCCATGTTTGTGGTTTTATCTACTTTTCGTCTTTGATGATGGTGACATACAGATGGGTTTTTGGTGTGGGTGTCCTTTCTGTTTGTTAGTTTTCCCTCTAACAGACAGGACCCTCAGCTGCAGGTCTGTTGGAGTTTGCTAGAGGTCCACTCCAGACCCTGTTTGCCTGGGTATCAGCAGCCATGGCTGCAGAACAGTGGTGGCAGTAGAACAGTGGATATTTGTGAACCGCAAATGCTGCTGCCTGATCGTTCCCCTGGAAGTTTTGTCTCAGAGGAGTACCCGGCCGTGTGAGGTGTCAGTCTGCCCTTACTGCGGGGTGCCCCCCAGTTAGGCTGCTCGGGGGTCAGGGACCCACTTGAGGAGGCAGTCTGCCATTCTCAGATCTCCAGCTGCGTGTTGGGAGAACCACTACTCTCTTCAAAGGTGTCAGACATGGACATTTAAGTCTGCAGAGGTTACTGCTGTCTTTTTGTTTGTCTGTGCCCTGCCCCGAGAGGTGGAGCCTACAGAGGCAGGCAGGCCTCCTTGAGCTGTGGTGGGCTCCACCCAGTTGGAGCTTCCCAGCTGCTTTGTTTACCTAATCAAGCCTGGGCAATGGCAGGCACCCTTCCCCCAGCCTTACTGCCACCTTGCAGTTTGATCTCAGACTGCTGTGCGAGCAATCAGCAAGACTCCGTGGGTGTAGGACCCTCTGAGCCAGGTGCAGGACATAATCTCCTGGTGTGCTGTTTTTCAAGCCCGTTGGAAAAGCTCAGTATTAGGTTGAGAGTGACCCGATCTTCCAGGTGCCGTCTGACACCCCTTTCTTTGACTAGGAAAGGGAACTCCCTGACCCCTTGCACTTCCCGAGTGAGGCAATGCCTAGCCCTGCTTCAGCTCCTGCATGGGGCACTGCACCCACTGTCTGGCACTCCCTAGTGAGATGAACCCGGTACCTCAGATGGAAATGCAGAAATCACCCATCTTCTGCGTCACTCACACTGGGAGCTGTGGACCGGAGCTGTTCTTATTCGGCCATCTTGGCTCCACCCCCATATATACTTTTTTATAATATATAAATGAATACCCATCTCCATATTTAAATTACAGCTTTTTGTTGGGCACGGCAGATCATGCCTGTAAGTCCCAGGACTTGGCGAGTTTGGGATGGAAAGACTGCGAGAGCTCAGGAATTGGAGAGCAGCCTGCACAACATGGTAAATCCCTGTCTCTACCAAAAATACAAAAATTATATAGGCATCACAGTGCATGCCTGTGGTCCCAGCTACTGGAGACAGCGGCTGAGGTAAGAGGATTGCTTGAACCCCAGATGTTTAGGTTGCAGTGAGTCCAGATCACACCACTGCACCATAGCCTAGGCCACAGAGCAAGATCCAGTCTCAAATAAATAAATAAATAAAATAAAATAAAATATATTACATCTTTATATGTGTGCCTAGTTCTGTTTAGTAAAATTATTATAAATAATAATAATATATACAATATACTTACATATCACTGTATTAGTTCATTTTCAGACTGTTTTAAAGAACTACTGGAGACTGGGTAATTTTTAAAGAAAAGAGGTTTAATAACTTAGAGTGCTGCAGGGCCTGGGAGGCCTCACGGAACTTATAATCATGGCGGAAGGGGAAGCGGAAGCAAGGCACATCTTCTCATGGCAGCAGGAGGGAGAGGGAGCAAGGAAGTGCCACATTTTTAAACCATTAGATCTCGTGAGAACTCACTATCTTGAGAACAGCAAGGGAAAAATCCCCTAGGATCCAATCACCTCCCATCAGGCACCTCCCTGGACATGTGGGGATTACACTTCACAGTGAGGTTTTAGTGGGAACGCAGAGCCAAATGCCATCAATAATATGTAATTACATTTATTTATACATGTACACTGATATATTTATATATAGACTTGTATATATGTAAACATACATTTATGTATTTATTTACAAACTTGTATACATATAAATTGATATACAGATGGTCTTTCACTTGAGATGGTCCCATTTACAACTGCTGGACTTAATGGTGGTGTGAGAATAGCATGCATGCAGTAGAAAGTGCTGTTTTCCCCTCTTGCCAGGCTACAGGGAGCCAGTTCCCACTCAGCCTTGCAATCACAAAGGTTCATAGGCAAAACTCTACAGTGTTCTGTGTTGCTAGAGGAGTTTGCTCCATGATAGGTTATACAAGTGCTTTGAGCATATTTAAGGTATGCTAGGCAAAGCTATGATGTTTAGTAGGTTAGGTGTATTCAATGCATTTTCAAATTTTGGTATTTTCAACTTGCTATGGGTTTATTGGGACATAACCCCATCATAAGTTAAGGAGCGTTTGTACATAAACTTGTGTTTGTGTGTGTGAGTGTGTGTGTGTGTGTGTGTGTGTGTATATACACCTACACATATATATGTATATGGTACATATCTATAACTTGGATCTATGCATATTTCATATGTTTTTGAATATTTAATATATACATTTTAAACCAATACATACATTTATATGAACATTTAACATATACAGTTAGCCGTTGAGCAACATGGGAGGTAAGGAACAAACCTCCATCCGACTCTCATGTATAGTTGAAAATCCATGTATAATTTTTACTCCCGCAAAACTGAAGTATTAATAGTATACTGTAGATTGGCTATTACCAATGATATGAATGGTCAATTAACACACATTTTGTACATTATATGTACTATATACTGTATTTTTACAATAACGTAAGATATAGAAAATAAAATGTCATTAAGAATATTCCAAGAAAGAGAAAATACATTTATTATTCACAAAGTGGAAGTGGATCATCTTGAAGGCCTTCAGCCCCATTGTCTTCACCTGGAGTGGACTGAGGAGGAAGAAGGGAAAGGGTTGGTCTTGCTATCTCAATGGTGGCAGAGGTGGAAGGAAATCCACATATTAGTGACTCACACAGTTCAAACCCATGTTGTTCAAGGGGCAGCTGTATATGCATATACACACATACATACACATTTATATTTAAATTATATCATTATATATGTAGCTACTTGTGTTCAGTAAAATTAATTTTGTTACACTCTTGAATATTTTTTGTTATTTACATTTCTTCCATATGTTTCATGATTTCAAGACACAAAAAAATAGACACAATATTCTGACTGAATAATTATGTTATGGGCATCCAGGTAGTTCTGTTTAGACAGTTGCTAAACCACCAGCTACACAGACACATTTTATAGAATTGCCATATAAAAGGAGATACACTAGATTATTTTTATGTCATTAATTGATATACAACATGGGCATTTTTACCCAAGGGCTTCCTCTGTCATAGGATGTTTACTCAATTTATGTGAACAAATTCCAATTTGCAGTGGTGTGCCCTAAAAGCCAAAAAGAATGCAGTGAATTTTAAATCTAGTGTGTTTGATGTTCTAAATTTGGAAAATATTTTAAAAATGTTCATTGTTACAGCAATTCTTACATGTGTGTATATATGTGTGTGTGTGTCTGTGTGTGTGTATAAAATAAATGCCATATATATACATATACATTTATATATTCGTTGCATTTGTGCTTTTTATTAAATATAATGATTATTGGTAAATTTGAAGCTTGTTTGATGGCAGTCCCCTCCCTATAGCTGCCAAGGTGATGGTGGATTGTTGCTTTCAACAAATTTCACTTGGTAAACTTCAACTTTACCAATAATAATTTTATTTAATGAAAAAAAGTAATGTAAATGTAATATTTTAAAAATTCATCTCTAATCTCTGTTTTTTTCCAAGGGTCAACTGTACATGTTAAATGCTTATTAAAATGTATATATTGTTCAAAGGTATATATAAATGTGTATGACATTTGTTTTATTATATATACACAAATCTATATACATACATTTACACATACATACTGATTATTCTAACAGTGCATATGTACATATTGATATAATATGTATATATAAATGTATATGACATTTTTCTTTATGTATATACACATATAAGCATACCTATATGTAACATGCTGATTTACTATAACAGAGCACATGTATATGTTGATATAAAATATATATAAATGTATAGGACATTAGTTTTACACATATATACACACATACACATACACAACACACACATGCTAATTATAACAGTGCACATCTTTTAAATGTTTTCCAAATTAAGAACATCAAGCACACTATATTTAAAATTCACTCTATTCTATTTGCCTTCTCGGGCATTCCTTTGCAAATTGAAACTTGTTCACATACACTGTGTAAACATCTTGTGAGAGAGAAAACCACTGGTGACAAATGCTGAAGTTGTGTATCAATCAATTATATTCTCATAATGTCTTCCAAAGTACATTTTTATATTGTCAGTAAAAATATATGTATCACTAAACTACAGCTGGTGAATATTTTTTAAATTTACTTTAGAAGTACATTATTATATACATCTTTTTGTAATTATTTTATTGCCCTTTTAGATAGAGCCAATTTGTATAACTGTAATATACCTGGTATGCATACACTATGAGCTATTAATTCTTAATTACTCCCTTTTCCTTGATCTAAGTCATTTCCACTTTTCCTCTTCTACAAACAATATGGCAAGAAACAAAATTATTAATGCCTCTTTGTGTACATATGTGAGCATTTATTTGGCGGTATTTTGTTAATGCTCTTTATAAATATTAAGCTTATTTGCCTCAACAAAAGTCTAGTTGCCTTAATTCATAAAATGAAAATCTAAAGCCTAGTTACTAAATTGCTCAAATCACACACCTAGCAGGAAAAAAGCTGAGATCAAATCCAGCCTGTCTGTCCCAAAAACCCCAATAATTAAACATGTCTTGCCTTCTTAAAGGTACTGTTGAGTAACAAATGCCATTGCAGACTTTCCATTTCATTAGACAATACCAAATGGCTTTTCCAAAATTGGGTACAAATTCCCTTTTGCTACAATTCTGCAACAATGAATACAGCAGACATTTGAATTTTTGCTAAGCTAATGGCTGGGAAATTCCCTTTCTTTGTTTAAATTTTTCATGGCTTTGATTTCTGGTGGATTGGAATTTAATGAACTATGTTTATTGAATGATCTGTCAGATTTTCCACATTAGGGGAATTAGGCTTGTCTTGTTTTGTTTGTTTGTTTGTTTCTTTGTTTTAAGACCCAGAGACTGGAGTTCCTGTCACCCACCCTAATTTAGTATTATTTTTTTAGTTGAATGGGTCGAAATGAAATTTGACAATGATACATATTTACTTTTATTTTCTAATTATTAAAAGTGGCTCTTGCAACAGGCATTCCCAGAGGAAATGGGAAAGCTTTGTGGAAATATGAGAACAAGGCTGTGAAAATCTGATTTTGCTTCATTGAAAGCTGACACGAGATAGATAGTACCTACTTTTAAATTTAATTTTCCTCATACTTGTCAGTAAAAAATGTTTCTTATGCTTGAAAAGTTCCTTGCCAGAATATGTCATCTGTGAAGGTGCAAAACTCATTATAAAATGGATGGCTCAGCATTATACTTGTATAATCATGTCACCCCAGCAAAAGCTTTAAAGCCGTGAGAAATGCTATTTTACTTGCCCACTATAAAACTTGAATGGCATAAATTGAAACCATTTATATGTATACAGACACACACATACACACACACACACACACACACACAAATATATAAGACTTCTATTCATTTTAATTTAATTTTATTTTATTAATTAATTTTGAGACAGCCTGTTGTCCAGGCTGGAATGCAGTGGAATGATCCCTGCTCAGTGCAGCCTCTGCCGCCCAGGTTCAATTGATTCTTCTGCTTCAGCTGGGAGTAGATGGGATTACAGGAACCCACCATCATGCCCAGCTAACTTTTGTATTTTTAGTAAAGATGGTTTTTTTTTTTTTCATGTTAGCCAGGATGGTTGGTGTCAGACTCCTGGCCTCAAGTGATTCGCCTGCTTCAGACTCCCAAAGTGCTGTGATTACAGGCACGAGCCACCGCGCCCAGCTTCTACTTGTTTTAAAACACCTCATTTGCTCATTTTATACCTGAGATATAAATTTTATCAAGGACTGCTTTTTTTGTAAGCAGTCCTAGACAGTCGTAGATAGCATTTGTATTTATATTAAAAATAATATATGTATGTAATATAAATAAATTTATATTTATAATATATAATATAATATATAAATATAATTATGTTATTTAATATATAATATAGTATATTTATAGTATATATAATAATTTACTATAAGTATATTTATAGTATATATTATATTTTTATTATATAAATATGTTTCATATGATAGATAATATGAGTATTGTATTTATATTCTCCATTTATAGAGAATATAAATATTATCTATTATTTATATAATAGAAATATAATTATAGTAATAGATGTTTATATTATAGAGACCATATAATTACCGTTCAAGGAACTGAGACTACAGGGGTGAACTACCAAGCCTGGTTAATTAAAATTATTGTTATTATTTATATCTATACATAAATAATATAAATATAATAGATATACATAAAAATAGAACTATATTTATAAATAATATAAATATATTCATATTTATATTAGCTATATTTATAGATAATATGTATACACACATCAATAATTAAGAAAATAATTATTTTAGTAATATACTAATACTATAAAAGTAATAGTCTTGCAAATAATTGCTTATGTATTTGGAACCTTATTTAATCTTCTTAGCTTTCATTTGAAAACATGTTTGTCTGTGTCCTGTGAGCGTGTTTTCCTATTCTATTTTTATGTACAGATCAACTCTGTCTCAGTCTGCTTTGCATTGCTATAAAGAAATACCTGAGCCTGGGTAATTTACCAATTTATAAAGCCTGGTGTTTACCTGAGTCACGATTTTTCAGGCTGTATAAGAAGACTTTTCTTCTTGTAAACACCTCAGGATGCTTCCAGTAATGGCAAATGTGAAAGGTAAATGGAGAGTCATATGCAAGGGAGGAAAAGACAGAGGAAGAGGGGTGCCATGCTCAGATGAACTATACAGTAGGGACTCACTCCTTCCAAAGGGCACCAAGTCATTCATGAGGAATCCACCCCCATGACTCAAACACCTCTCGCCAGGCCCCACATACAACGTGGGGATAAAATTTCAATATGAGTTATGGCGGATCCAATATCCAAACTCTACCGATGCCTAACTCAGTCTTGTAGAAGAGCAATTGTTTTATTATGCTAAAGATTTTGTGCTTTAGGGATTCTGAAAGGGTTCGTTGTATATGGCTGTCTTTGCCTGTGGTGTTTGGAGTTTACAAAGTCGGGGAGGCACTCTGTGGCTGAGGAATAGAATGAAGTGAAGGTTTCATCACTCCTATGTGTGTGGATGGATGCTGGCTCAGTAAGAGCTCTCAGATGAAATGTACAAAGCACCTCCCCGAAGTGGCTTAGGCTTCATTTACAATCCAGCCTCAGAATGTACATAGTGTCACTTCCTCTGTTTTCACAGCCTTGCTCAGATTCCAGAGGAGAGAGCGTCTTTTTATTTATTTATGTATTTATTTATTTACTTATTTATTCAATTAATTTATTTTTGAGACATGGTCTTGCTCTGTCTCCTAGACTGGAGTGCAGTGGTTCTATCATGGCTCACTGCAGACTCAACTTCCTGGACTGAAGTGATCCTCCTGCCTGAGCCTCCCAAGTAACTGGGACTACAGAGGTGAACTGCCATGCATGGTTATATTTTAAAATAATAATAGTTATTATTATTACATTGTAGAAAAAGGGTCTCACTATGTTGCTGGTCTCCAATTCCCGGCCTCAACAATCCTCCCACCCTGGCCTCCAAAATGCTATTATTTCAGGCTTGAGCACACACACCTGCCAGGAGAATCTTTTGTCTGAGAAGAATCTTAAAGCTTTAAAGTTGCTCTATATGAAGGGTCTGTGGAATGGAAGAAATGCTCTGAACACCTTTGGTAAATAAAATTGATCACAAGGAATATGTTTGTGAAGTTTTGAAAAATGAGTTTATTTGAGACATGCATGTGATTCTAACATTCTGATTTCTTTCAGCTCCACTTGCAAATTTTTCTGTTCAGAATAAAAGTAGGTAATGATAGATAATCTATAACACTATAAAATAGTGGTAATTTTTCCCATCATGATGTTAAAATTTCCTCAAGTAAAGGATAGTTTCATCAAAATAATGGCCCTATCATTTATTCTGTATTATTACATAGCCCTTAGTTGAAACTTACATGGAAGAAATTTCTCCATTCCAATCACATTCTTGTCCTAGCAGGCTACTGAAAACCTTTGTTTCAAACTGAGAAATCAATCTTAAAAATATATATAAAATAAGCATAAAATGTTAAACCAGAAAAAATGACCAACGGCTTTTTCTTAATGAAAAATTAAGAAAACTTAGGCAATAAACACTGATGTTTGTTTTTGAGATAAGATTTCACTCTATGACCCAGGCTGGAGTGCAAATGGGATGATTATGGTTCACTACAGCCTTTTTCTTTGGAGATCAGCAATCATCACACTTCAGCCTCCCAAACAGCTAGAACCACAGGCATGTGCCACCACACCCAGCTAATTTTCAAAAATAAATTATTTTTAGAGATGAAGTGTCACTATGTTGTCTAGGCTGTTCTCAAATGCCTGGCCGCAAGCGACCCTCCCACCTTGATTTTCTAAATTGTTGGGATTACAGGTGTGACCCAACATGCTTGACCAAAACTAATTTTAATATTATCACCCTGCTTTTTTTTTTTTTTTTTTTTTTTTTCTGTAGGAAACTTTTGCCTAACCTAGAAATAGCATCAACATTTCTTAAAAAAAAAAAAATCAAGCTATATCCTTGTCAATATGGGCAGATATACACTAATGATCTAGACCAAGAGGTCACTTATTAAAGAATATCCTATTATTGGGAAAAAAGAAACTTTAAGGTAACATGGATAAGAATCCCATTCGGAAACACATTTTGAAGTTTGATGGTATTTAAGCGCACGATTAACCACATTATACATAGCGGAAGCCAAAGTTCCTAGTATGGAAAGAATGGAGATACAAGTATGTCCCATTATAATGAGGAAAGGCCCAAGACAAGGAAACAGTGTGCAAGGTACAAGAAAAGTGTGATTTTTCACACCCATCAGATGCTGACATTCTTGGAGTGATACAGAGAACAGGAAAAGCACATGATGGATTAGGCTAAATCCATTTTCTCCTTTCTAGCCTTAATTATTTTTGCTAAAATCAAACTCTGTGATGTCAGTCTCTCCTAATTCTACCTGGGAAATGCTGTTCATGCATTTAGCACCCAGTTAAGGGACAATGTGGTGGTTGGGGATGTTGCCCAAGGTTGGCACCCAGATATCAAAATCCATATTGTACCTGGATTCCTGGTTGATGTTTTAACATTTCTTCTCACTTTAGTGTCCTCATCTATAGATCAACCCAGCCAAATTTCTCCTCCATCAGCTTGCTGTGGTAATTTTTTTTTTAAAAAAATATTTATTTATTTATTTTATTTTTAGAGACAATTTCTCATTCTGTTGCCCAGGATGGATTGTAGTGTCCCAGATTTCACTGCAGCCTTGACATCCTGGGCTCAAGAAATCCTCCCATGTCAACACCCCCAGAGTAGCTGAGTCTACAGACATACACCGTCATGCACGGCTAATTTGTGTGTGTGTGTGTGTGTGTGTGTGTAAGACAGGTGTTTGTTATGTTGCCCAGGAGGGTCTCAGATTCTTGGCCTCAAATGATCCCGCCTCCTTTCTCTACCAAAGCAGTGGGATTACAGACATAAGCCACTGCATCTGGCCAGTTTATAGTGATGATTAATCTCCTAACTGATGCCTTAAACTGCCTGACACATAGTAAACCTTCCGGTCATGTTGCTTATTATTACTCCTATAATTATTTGTATTGTTATTTATGCCATTAATTTTTCTTTTACTTGAAGTCTTTCTCTTCAATTACAAAATAAATGTCATTTCATGTTAAAGAATTTCAAAGCATTGTCGATATGACATATGATTTTCTCAGTGGGTATCAAAGAAATAATACATACTTATATAATCATATTTAACAATCTATTACTATAAAATAGTTGTTTCAGAATTCTGAAAAAGTTATCTTTAACTAGAGGAAAATTTTAGAGAAATGGTGAAATTAAGTTGGGCTGTATAAAAGAAAATTAATATGTTTTTAGTAAACTAATATAAAAATTCCAACTGACAATGTTTAAAATACTAAATGAATGTTGCATATAACTATAACACCTAAAACATACATAACATGTTTAATGGTGATTGTAAAATGTTATGATTTTCCAAGTGATTGGCATTAAAATGTTTCACCGTTAAAGTCATTCATTTATGTAGCCCTCATATTCAGGGATTGAAAATAATTAGCTACAATGCAAAAACGTGAATCAATTTTATTTTCTTTCATTAAATTTAGGTAGAACAGGAGACAGGACTGTTGTTATTAATGAGAATACTACTACTGAACTGGTACAATTGTAGACAAAAAGCCCAGGGAATTTGTGGTATTGCTAGCTTCAGGAAAATTTTTAAACATCATTTAGGACTGTTAAGTCCATATGTAAAATGCTATACCTCTTCTTTCAAACCATCACAAAAAGTACACCATGAAGTCTAATGTTGAAGGCAAGTACATTTGGGATAGGTGTGTTCTCGGTGTGCTATTTGAAATACAAGTAACATCAATGTTAGCAGAAGCAGTAACCTTTCATTTCTTTGGTGTTCAATTCTACCACTATCACTCTTTTTTGCGTCACTACACATGGAGGGTGTATTAGTTCATTCTTATGCTGCTATAACGAGATGCCTGAGACTGGGTAATTTATAACGGAAAGGTTTAATTCACTCACTATTCTGCATGGATGGAGAGGCCTCAGGAAACTTACAGTACTGGTGGAAGGCAAAGGAGAAGCAAATACCTTCTTCACAAAGTGTCAGGCTGAGGCAGGAGAATTGCTTGAACCCAGGAGGTGGAGGTTGCAGTGAGCCAAGATCATGCCACTGCACTCCAACATGAGCAACACAGTGATACGCCATCTCAAAAATAAATACATACATACATACATACATACATACATACATACATAATAAGGAGGAACTGTCAAACACTTATAAAGCCATCAGATCTCCAGAGAACTCACTCACATCATGAGAATGGCATGGGGGAGCCTCCACCATGATACAATCACCTCCCACCAGTCCTTTCCTCAACATATGGGGATTATGAGAATTACAATCCCAGATGAGATTTGGGTGAGGACACAGAGCCAAACCATATCAAAGAATTAACTATGAGCAATGATGACCCTGATAGCTCATTATTATTTAAAAAAAGAAAACACAAAACTGATGCTTCTCTATACTTACTCCAGGACAATACAATTGTTTCACCTCCAGAGTTACAAGGCTATTTAATATGCATATATTCACATATTTAATCATTTTTTTCACTTATGTGCATGCATAATGATGGGCACACACAGAGAGATAAATCTACCTTCATTTCTCATGCTACAAGTTCAAATCTGTATGAGAACTTTGATGCTATGTTTTTATGACATGAGTATTTGCTAATTCCTGTGTGTGTGTGTGTGTGTGTGTGTGTGTGTGTGTGTGTGTGTGTATTTATACATATGTGTGTTTTCCTGTGTCTTTTGGTGTGTTTCTTGTTATTCTTCTACTTTTTAAATTCCAGCTTGTTCCAACATTATTCTCTTGAATCTAATGTGTCTGAGGTCCCTCTACAATCTGAAGTTAGAAATGGATATGCCCGCCTTAGGATAGTGAGATTTATTCAAGATTTCCAAATTGCATAGCCAATGGGAAAAAGAAAAATACAATGACTCTTTTGCTGCTTGCCAACTTGACCTTCACAGAATTGAAGACTGCCTTCTTGGAAGCATTTCCTTTTCCATATGAAAAAGCTCTGCATTTCTCCCCAATTTCACAATAATTAAATAAACCTAGGCATCTTCTAGGTCTATAAGGCACTTTGGGCAAAAGTTCCTAAGAAAGGGATTGTGCAATTGCTTCCCAGAAGCCCTCGTCTAGGCAGAATAAATCAGCCAGCGCTCCTGTGATGAAAGAAACACAGAACAGAGAAGAATGTGGGGTTTGATAATGTTAGTGCTAAGAATACCTCAAAACATTTAAATACAAATTCAGACCCCCAGAAAATGGTATCTTTCCCCTCCAGGAACCCCAAAGTAGTCTGATTCACCTCCTTTACTAAATCTAGTTCCATAAACTTGACCCCTTTAGCATCATCCAAAACATCTCCTAGTACTTCAATGTCTTAACCAGAAGGTATACAACTAATAGAATCGTAAAAATTACAAGGGTCCAACCCAACAGTAATGAGGCTGGTATTCAGGAAATCACACTAAAGAATGCTTGATGGACTTGCTGGAATTTGTCAGGGAAACATTAACTATTGGAAGAATAATAAACCTTCCCAAACTTAGCTGTGCTGGGGGGAATTGTTTTTATTATCCAGGAAAGCCAACAAATGTGGACATTATCTCTACCATCTAAGGCCACTCACTACACAAATATCCTGGAAAAACGTAGTACAGAACAAAAGCTCTTTCTTTATATTTTTGTGTTTTTTATTTGTTTCTTTGTTTGTCTGAGACAGAGTCTTTCTTTGTTGCCCAGGCTGGAGTACGGTGGTGTGATCACAACTAACTACAGCCTCCACTTCCCAGGCTCAATCAATACTCCTGCCTCAGCCTCTTGAATAGGTGGGATTAGAAGCATTCACCCCCATGCCTACCTAATTTTTCTATTTTTTATCGTGAGATGGGGTCTCACTATATTGCCCAGGCTGATCTTGAACTCCTAGCCTCAAGCAATCCTCCTACCTCAGCCCTTCAAAGTGCTGGGATTACAAACATGAGCCACCATACCAAGGCAGATCAAGGGTTGTCATGACATTGCTTGCAAGTCATGCAAACACATCAGTGACTGAGAGGAAATCAGCTTCTAGAAACCTGAAAGAAATGGGGTAGATAGAAAAGGTCACATTGGGATCACCAGTCATTTTAGGTTGAGAGACACTGCATGCCTAAGCTGGTTCTGCAAGCAGGAAGGCCATGATGGAAATCTCTAATCTCAATCCCCTGCCATCTTTTGAAATCTTAGTTTAGCCCACATGGAAGCCTCAAGTCAATGGATCCTATTATTATACAAAACTCAATCCTGGGCACAGGGTAGGGTGGAGAGACATAAACAGTTGTGGCAGAATCTATGCTCTGCAGTCACTCTACTCATCCATTCAACTTCACACTGCCTTCGTAAGGATCATCTGAGGTGATTTTAGTATAATATCAGCATCTGGATGGAAAAGAGTGGGTCAGGCAGGAGACCCAGTTCTCTTTTATTAGTCTAGCAAGAATCCATAATTGTTTCCCACTCCTGACAAACTTGGGACAAAATCCTTCTTCTCCTTTGAACTCCAAACACTGACCCTATCTATTATTCAGTTGTGACTCAATATAAACCACAGCACCGTGACAGTCTTATTGTCTAGGTTCAGGCAAAAGTTTCAGATTTATCCACTTGCATATATATCTCTGTGTTTTTCTCTTATCTCTCTAATAGCATTATTTAAATGTGGTGGATTTGATGTTAGTCCCTTGGTCTCTCATTTTAGTAGCTGGATGTAACATTAAGGTAAATTACTGAGTGTGTCTAGATCTGCATTTCATCACAAGATAGCACTAGTATTTATGCAAATTTCCAATTATATATTGCTAGGTTCTAAATGTGTGTACCTTCTGAATTTTTTTTGTTGAAGACTTAATCATCAAATTGATGGCATTATGAGATGAGGTGTTTGGAAAGTGATTAAATCATGAGGACAGAACCCTCATGAAGATTTGTATCCTTATAAAAGAAGAAACAACCGGAAGTCACCATCTATGTACAGAAAATTGGCCCTCACCAGAAATTCAATCAGCATTACTCTTGCACTTTCCAGACTCCTGAATTATAAGAAACAAATTTTTATTGTTGATAAGCCACCCATTTTATGCCTGAAACACATTTGTATTTAACATGTTAGCAAGGGATAAGATCCCAGGTGTACTCAATAAGTATTAAGGCGAAAGAACAGCACTCAATGGTAAATTCTTATCATTGATGTTTCATTAATAGTTCTTAATCAAATGCTAACTTTAGGTCTCCATGTCTAAATAACTAAACCCCAATAAAAACCCTGGACATCAAGTCTCAGGTGAGCCTCTCTAGTCAACAATGCTTCGTAAGTATTGTAATACATTGTTGATGTCATACATTGTTGATGTTACACATTGTTTCTTATAAGTCAAATCAAAGGGGACAACTTGTGCCTTGTTTCCTGAACTCAGCCATATGCCCCTTTTCCTTTGTTGATTCTAACCTGTAACCTTTCACTGTAATCATCCATAACCATTAACATGATAGATTTTCTGGGTACCATAAGTTCTCCAGCATATCATCCTACCTGAGGATGGGCTGACACAATAACCAACTAGAAAATTTGAAATTTGCAAAAATGTTTAATGATCTTAATTAAAACTAAGCATTAACCTCAAGAAAACATTAAAGATTATCTTCTTCGCATTTAAATTCTGGATTAATTTTAATACGAGGTTCCCTGTAAATATTCATTCTCTGTCTATTCAAAGAGGGTAGTTAATTTTTACTGATTCCATTGCAAACTCACATAAAATATTTCTATACTTAGTGAACATATACAGTAGAGATTCTGTTTTGTGTATCCAAATCATTTTATGAAATAAATCTTCTTTACATATTTATCTCAATTGCCAACTTATTGGTTATAGTTCATATGCCATGCAGTACTCTGTATTAGAAATAACAGATTATTCTTTGACAAACCTGAAAAAAACAAGCAATGGGAAAGGATTCTCTATTTAACAAGTGGTGCTGGGAAACCTGGCTAGACATATGCAGCAAGCTGAAACTGGATCCCTTCCTTACACCTTATACAAAAATTAATTCAAGATGGATTAAAGACTTAAACATAACACCTAAAACCATAGAAACGCTAGAAGAAAACCTAGGCAAAACCATTGAGAACATTGGCATGGGCAAGGTCTTCATGACTAAAACACTGAAAGTAATGGCAACAAAAGCCAAAATTGACACATACAGTCTGATTAAACCAAAGAGCTTCTGCACAGCAAAATAAACTATCATCAGAGTGAAGAAGCAACCTACAGATTGGGAGACAATTTTTGCAATCTATCCATCTGACAAAGGGCCAATATTCAGAATATACAAAGAACTTAAACAGATTTACAAGAAAAAAAGTAACCCATCAAAAAACGGGTGAAGGATATGAACAGACATTTATCAAAAGAAGACATTTATGCAGCCAACAAACATGAAAAACAGCTCATCATCATGGGTCATTAGAAAAATCCAAGTCAAAACCATCTCACACCAGTTAGAATGGCAATCGTTAAAAAGTCAGGAAACAACAGATGCTGGGGAGGGTGTGGAGAAATAGGAATGTGTTTACACTGTTGGTTGGAGTGTAGATTATTCAATCATTGTGGAAGACAGTGTGACAATTCCTCAAGTATCTAGAACCAGAAATACCATTGAACCCAGCAATCCCATTACTGGATATATACCCAAAGGATTTTAAATCACTCTATAGAGACATGCACATGTATGTTTATTGCTGCACTGTTCACAAAAGGAAAGATGTGGAGCCAACACAAATGCCTGTCAATGATAGACTGGATAAAGAAAATGTGGCAATATACACCATGGAATACTATGCAGCCATGAAAAAGGATGAGTTCATGTCCTTTGCAGGGACACGGATGATGCTGAAATCCATCATTCTCAGCAAACTAACACAAGACAGAAAACCAAACACCAGATGTTCTCACTCGTAAATGAGAGCTGAACAATGAGAACACATAGAGGGGAACATCACACATCAAAGCCTGTCTGGAGTTGGGGGACTAGGGGAAGGACAGCATTCAGAGAAATACCTAATGTAGATGATGGATTGATGGGTGAAGCAAACCACCATGGCATATGTATACCTACGTAATAAACCTGCACGTTCTGCACATGTACCCCACAACTCAAAGTATAATAATAATAATAAAGAAATAATAGATTACACATCTTGATCAATTATATTAACTTTAGTATAATTTCATCTGTTTAATGAGTATAAGATAGTCTTTTCTGTTTGTTTGTTTGTTTGCTTGATTTTTAGAATCAGGGCCACATGCTGTCATCCCAGCTGGAGTACAGTGACGTGATCCTAGCTCACTGCACCCTCAAACTCTTGGCCTCAAGTAATCCCCCTTCCTTAACCTCCTAATGTATCGGGATTAGAGGTGTAAGCTACCATGCCCAGTCAATATAAAATATTCCTGACTGGAAACTTCTATAAGTATTCACAAGGCATTTCATTTTTATAACTACTAGTTTCGTCTCTTACATCCTGTTTCCAAAACAGAAAGTTTCTAGTATTATGACTTATAAACTACAGTTTCCCTTCTATGTCACAGTTCTGATAATGTGTTCTTTTATGTACTTTATGATATATATAACACTACATCGATATTTTGGAAAATGATTTTTAATTTTGCTTATAAAATAAATATTGTATAATAAACAGTATGTTAACTCTCTTCTAAATTTCCTATTTTTTCCTGAAATGTAGTGGTTCTCATCTTGAGAAGTCTAAATTGGCACTAATTTACATGAAAAGAACTCCCTATTGACTTACTGTGGCAAAGAGGTGATATGTAAAAATTAAATCCGTAACACATATAGACATTTGTTTTCTAAATCATTCATGGGCAGAAATCATAAACACAAAAAGAGCTTAAGTCAATGGAGGTTTTATTTTAATATTTAGCTGAAGTATTTTTCTATTACAGTGTTGAAATAGGAGTGTCTGGCATTGTGTCAGCTAGATTTAAAAACAGCTAACTAAAGACAGGAACAAAGTCTGAACATGATTAATAAAAGGTATTAAAGAAATGGCAACAACTTTAGAAAATGCAGTGATAATCTGAAGAAATATTATGTTTATGCAAGTGAAGAAATAAAGAAAAAATATTTGCAGTTTCTACTGGGATCATGAATTACCTCAGATAAACTGAAATTTAACATAATGTCAACAATTACATTTTTTTATTCCTAGGCTTTATCCATTTGATAAAACTCAAAGGTAGACAAGATATATATCAATATCTCAGAAAAAAAATATACTTTTATTCCATTTTATTATAAATTTTACACTTAAGTGCCAAGATTGTTTATCCAAGAGCTTTTGTAATGCAAAACATACAAATGTTAGTTTGCTAGAGTGGCATAACAAAATAACACAGACTGGCTGGTTTAAACAAAGGATATTCTGCTGGCTGTAAGTGTGAGATCAAGATGTAGACAAGGCTGGTTTCTGCTAAGGTCTCTCTCTTTGGCTTGTAGATGCCAACTTCTCCCCAGGCCTTCACATGGTTGTCCCTCTGTGTGTGTCTGTGTCCTCATCTCCTATTCTCATAAGATTCCCAGTCCTGTCCTATGGGATTAGGACTCACCCTTGGGACTTCATTTTATCCTAATCACCTCTTTAAAGATTCCATCTCCAAATCCAGTCACATTGGGAGTTAGGACTTCAACATATATATTTTGGGAATGGTGTAAAATGTGTGCCATAAAAATATATGTAATCCATATAGGGTACCAGTATAGAAATTAACAAGACTTTTCTCACACATTAGTCATTGTGATAAAAACATCAATATTTTACCTCCATATATTAAAATTGCATCTTAATACATAATTTAGAAATATTTGAAGTAGGGGCCAGGCGTGGTGGCTCATGCCTATAATCCCAGCAATTTGGGAGGATGAGGTGGGCAGATCACTTGAGATCAGGAGTTTGAGAACAGCCTGGCCCTGTCAGTACTGCAAATACAAAAAATAGCTGGGGAAGTATTATGGTGGGCACTTGTAATCCCAGCTATTTGGGAGGCTGAGGCAGAAGAATTGCTTGAGCCAGGGAGGGGGAGGTTGAAGTGAGCCGAGATCTCGCCATTGCACTCCAGCCCAGGCGACAAAATGAGACTCTGTCTAAAAAAAAAAAAAAATACATACATGTATATGTGTGCGTATATACACATATACACACACATATATAGTCTATAGGTCTAAATATGTGTGTGTATATATGTGTGTATATATATATATATAAATATATGTATATATTTAGACAGTATATATAGTATATATTTATGTGTGTGTGTATATATAGATACACACACGTATATATATGTGTGTGTGTATCTATATATACACACACACATATATATAGAGAGAGAGAGACAGAAAATGACAATCTCTTGACCATTTTTTTCTCTGCAATATGCCACCAATCACAAAAGGAAAATTAGGTCTTGAGTAAGGCTCACTTTAGAAATGATGTTACTCTTGGCAAGTTGTGGTGGCTCATGTCTGTAATCCCAGCACTTTGGGAGGATGAGGTGGGCAGATGACTCAAGATCAGGAGTTTGAGAACAGCCTGACCCTCTACTACAAATACAAAAAAAAAAACCAAAAACAAAAAACAAAAAGCTGGGGGAGCGTTATGGTGTGAGCTTGTAATCCCAGCTATTTGAAAGACTGAGGCAGAGGAATTGCTGGAGCTGTGGAGGTAGAAGTTGAAGTGAGCCAAGATTGCTCCATTGTACTCCAGCCTAGGTGACAAAATGAGACTCTGTCTAAATAAATACATAAATAAATAAGAAGTCAGAAAACGGCAATCTCTTGACCATTTTTTTTTCTGGAATATGCCACTAATTAGAAAAGGAAAATTGGGTCTTGAGTAAGGCTCACTTTAGGAATGATGTTACTCTTGGCAAGGTGTGGTGGCTCACGCCTGTAATCCCAGCACTTTGGGAGGCGGAGGCTAGAGAATGGTTTAAGGCCAAGAGTTCAAGACCTGCCTAGGAAACACAGAAAGCACCAATGTCTATAAAGGATTTTCAAAGTTTAGGTGAGTGGGGTGGTGCATGCCTGTAGTTCCAGTACTTGGGAGGCTGAGGCAGGTGAATTGCTTGAGCCCAGGAGGTTGAGGCTTCAGTGAGCTATCATCATACTACTGCACTCCAGCCTGGGTGACAGAGCAAGACCATGTCTTGAAAGTAAGGGAAAGCGAGGGGTAAGTAGTGGAAGGGAGGAGGAGGAAAGGGGGGGAGAGAGAGAGAGAGAAAGAAAGAAAGAAATAGAAAGAAAGAAAGAAAGAAAGAAAGAAAGAAAGAAAGAAAGAAAGAAAGAAAGAGAAAGAAAGAAAGAAAGGAAAGAAAGAAAGAAAGAAAGAAAGAAAGAAAGAAAGAAAGAAAGAAAGAAACAGAGAAAGAAAGAAAGAAAGAGAAAGAAAGAAAGAAAGAAAGAAAGAAAGAAAGAAAGAAAAAGAAAAGAAAGAGGAAGAAAGAAAGAAAGAAAAAGAGAAAGAAAGGAGGGAGGGAGGGAAGGAAAGAAGGAAGGAGAGATGTGATGTTACTTTAGAGCTTTGAATATATAAAAGCAAATAATGAGGACTTGCTTACTAACTACATCAGAAAATACTTTATTAATTATTACTACAAATGGATCTGCACAATATGCAGTATAGACAGAATAATAGACTATGCACATCCAACAAATATCCTGGATGTATACATTGTCATTTCTCCTATAGATTTCAAGCTCCATGCTCCATCTTTCCATTGACTGGTTCCCTACTGGGATTATTTGGCCGCTTAGGAGATATTTGAACACTTTTCAGTTGCCCAAACTGGGGAACAGTACTATTGATATCCAGGGATTAAGGCCAGGGCTATATGTCCTAATTACTCATCTTTCATTTTGTCTTTATTGGAAATCAATTTCAAATTAACTTATGATTGAAATATATTATAGTAAAGTGTCAAATCTTGAGTCAGAAAGATTGCTTGAGCCCAGGAGGTCAAGGCTTTGCTGAACTAAGATCACACCACTGCACTCCAGCCAGGGCAGCAGAATAAGACACCAGCTCTAAAAACATAATAACTAAAAAAGTGTTTAATCCTTTGTTGATTTGTAATTGCATATACAGAAGAGGAGGTCCAAACTCTTCAATAATTTCTTCTTACTTAACAGAATAACTCAGTCCCTTTTGTTACTAGAGTTAAAATAAGTATTTTTTTTTTGCCATTTTTCTTGGTTCTGGATTGAAATAAATTGAGACAACATTGTGTTTAATAGAAACCAAATGAGTAAAGTGAAAAATAACCTGTGTGTTTGCTGTGTCCAACTAATTCATGATCTGTGTAGGAGTGATTATTTCCTACCAAAAAAAACAAAACTGAGATTTAATGGTATTTTTTTTAACTTACTCATAGGGCCAGCAGGAAGTAGGATAATTTCGACTGCCAAAAGTTCCATTAAAATTTTCACAGGCTACATTTCCTCTCAGATAAAATGTCATACCTTTGCCATATATCATCAAAAGTGAACACTCTTAGAAGAACAGACTTCTATTCTGACATGCAAGCTTTGAAATACATTCCCTATCACCTATATGGCCAGTTTCATTCCAATTCCATGTAAGTAAACTTAATCTTAGATCAGTTCCTGCTTAAATATTTTTAGGAATCCACAGAGTGCAACCAGTGAAATTGCATGTGGTTCTTTTCTTTAAAAAATATTGACCTCAAGCTTAACTTACTGACATCACTCTGCACTAGTCTTTCACAATTCTGCCTGTGAATTTAATACCCATGTTCAATATTTAATCTAAATATTTTCCCCCTATTTAGTTTCTGCCTACTGGTAATGTATACATCTTTTATATTAGTAATGTGTTATTTATCTTTCTTATAATATTTAATATTTGTGTATATATATATTATATATACCTGGGTATACATAATACAGGCACACTCTCTACATGGGTAATGGGATCAGTCAGACCCCAAACCCCAGCATCACACAATATACCCTTGTAACAAACCTGTAGATGTACCCCTGCATCCAACATAAAATCTGAAATTTAAAAAATGTATGTATTTGTTCTATACTCTTCCTTAGATAGACTATATATTTCTTGAGGCAAATAATGCTGTCACAGATTGGTTTGCTCAATAAATTATTTTTTATTGAGACTAAACATTTCAAGGCACAATTTTTCTCCAAAATTTTTTTGAAGATTTGATGTCATAAATCAGAATTGAATAGCTTTATCTCCTCCTGCATCACCATCTGTAAACTTTGCTATCTACTGTAGCCTCAGTAATTTCTCTAGGGGTCCTTCTTTAATTTTCTTTTTTCTGAACCTATGGCCATTGTCTGAACATCATTTCCTCCATGAGCCTGCACTTCCTAAAATGTTAATCCATAATAACATTTTGAAATTTGACATTATACATAGATTTCATTAGAGTTTGCTCTACACCAAACCCAAACTACTTAAAAAACAAATCCAAAAGTACATTTTTGTATCCAAGTGCTCTTTTATTCCCTGAATAAATTTCACTGGTACAGTCTATGGAAAAATGTGTATCTTGCATGTTTCATATACCTAAGCTTTCAGTTAGTTTTCCTGCAGGCAATCAAAATACAGTTAAGGTTTCCTAGCAATAGGGTGAAATGGGGCACTTAAAGTCATGAAAAACACCACAACCTACCAAGTAACAGAATAAAACTTTGTCAATTCACTTAGATATTGTGGGTCAGAGTCAGATTCATGTGTTACTTATATAACCTCCTTTTATTTGGGCTGAAAGGCTGTTTCTTATCAAAATAATAAGTGTGATTCAATTGTTGTAATTTTTTTGCAAATCTTTTCTGGCTGCTATTTAACATTTTGTTAAAATTGTATCAGTTGTAACAGTGGGATCAATTATAACAATTGCATCAATTTTAATAATTGTATCCACTGATACTGATACAGACCCCTTCCAGATACAATGCATACCTCTTCCTGGATTACTATATTGTCAATATGAAAAAGGCTCTTGAAAATAATCTTTAAAGATAAAATTATACAAACAGCTCAGAATCACTGCCATTTGTAGCCACAGCATGTCTAAGGTTGATTTGATTAGTCAAACTGCAACCGTTTCAACTTACAATCTTTAGACCTATGTTCATGACCTGTGTTCATGATAAATTTTGCATAATCATGTTATCTCTTCATTTGATCTAATAAACACTACGTAATCCTTGCTTTAATTTAACAAAAGGTGCATTTGCATTGCAAATACTTTGAATAATTTGTTTTCTCCTCCTCTTTGGAGAGTGTCCTTTAATCAGTTCTTCACAATTTGGAAGTATCCACCTCAGAAATGTCTAGAAGACCTGCTTACCTTTTAATGGTATTAAAATTACTCTTCCTTAGCTTAAATTCAATTTTCTGTCTCATGCTCAGCAGGCTTTTCCTACAGTTGTTCATGTTCTTGCTTTCATCCTTCTCATATACAATTTTTAATTCCTAAATTACTATGGCTGTCCCTAATACAAGAAAAACATTATTTTCAGCAATACGTTGCAGTGTGTGAATATACTTTACTTCAGTTCCTTTCCACAGCTATGAAAATGTATATAAAAATTCATGAAACATAAAGTTATACTATGTTTTTAACTAGAATAAGCCTACTCATGATCTCTTCCTAAAAATATATATATTTTTTCTCATCATTACTTTCATAATGATTAATCCTTCTCAAAGTGTTTCTGTTTGATGCTTGTAATCTTTGTGTTAAATTATAACACAGATAAATATTCTAGTTGTAATTTAAAATGACAACTCTGAATATAAATGAAAATATTTAGAGGTGAACATATGACTTTATTCTAAATGCTTTCAACAGGTATTGTAAAATAAAATGGTAACGTTTTCCTTATTTGAGTAAAATTTAGAGGAATAGAATATATTCAGAAGATCCATTGTAAGTTCTTCTAAAGAAATCTGCAAAAATTTCAAAAAGAGTTTTACAGTTACTTATCATTTTTTCCCATTGTTTTTGGTAACAAAATCACAATATTTTAGAAAAGATTGAATCATTGTGAAGTGAAAGGAAATGGAATGATGTATAATGCCTCACAAACCTGTTTGTTTGCTTGGTGGGGGTCAAAAGAAGAGTTTCATGGAAGTAAAGGTATAGTTTTACAATTGTAAGCTTGCTTTCTAAATAATTCACAGTTGTTTTATCATGGCATTTCTGAAGAACTTCTCTCTGACATGTCCCAAGTTCTGACTGAAGTAGATATTCCAGCAGAAATACCGACTAGATAGTTATTTCTTTGGATGGTTTCATCATCATGTAATTCTAGTTTCATCCAGCCTGACAAGTCCCTGGGAATATTGATGCAGCCTTGTTTCGTTTTTAAATACACTCACTTTATTCAATTACAATATGCAGAGAGAGAAGGGCACAAATCATATGAATACAGCTCAGCGAACTGCCACCACATCAGGATGCTGGAAAAGCACTATGCAAATCCAGGCATAGAATGATGGAAATATATACTATGTTCTTTTGCAACTCTGCCTAAGTGTTTTATTCAACATTATGTTCACCAAATTTATAATTCCGTCTCACTTGGCACTGGCACATTCATTCTTCTTGCTCTGTAGCTTTCCCCAAATCTCTTTATGGATCTTTTGTTGATTGTTACCTTGATTGTTTCCATGTAGGGATTATTAACAAAATGCTATCATGAAATGTATTGTATGTGTGCCAGTAGGTTTACTGTGTACAATATTTTCTTGGGCACATATATTGGAGTGAAAATTCCAGGTGCTAGGGAATTTATTCATTCAGCTTTAAGATATTTTGGTTTTGGTTTTGCTTTTGCTTTTATAGGCAGGATCTTGCTCTGTCACCTAGGCTGGAGTACAGAGGTGTGGTCATAGCTCGCTGCAGTATAGAGCAACTGGGCTCAAGTGATCCTCCCAACTCAGCTTCCAAAGTCGTTGGCAATACAAGTGCTCACCACATGCACAGCTAGTTTTTTAGTTTTTGTAGTGTCTGGTTCTCACTATGCTGTCCAAGCTGGTATGGAATTCCTGGCTTCAAGTGATCCTCCCACCTAAGCCTCCCAAAGTGCTGTGATTACAGGTATGAGCCACTGTGCCCAGCCAGCATAAAGTTTTATGTGCTAGTTCAGGAGATACACATTCTGACCTGTTTTGTCAGTTTTGTTTTGTTTTGTTTTGTTCAAGTGAGTATTTACTGCCATATCATGGTGGTTCATATCCCTTCCCTTGTTGCTAGACATTTTTATTAAGTTTATTGGGAAATCAGATATGCTTTTTTAAAAAGCTAGTAAATTATTCACACATTTTCATTTGGAATCCATTATATATTTTGGACGAAAACACAAACCCTTGTGGAATATATTCATCACATCTATAAAGTTTATTTATTTATTTATTTATTTTGAGGCAGGATCTCATTATGTTGCCCAGGCTGGTCTCGAACTCTTGGGCTCATGTCTCTCACCTCAGCCTCCAGAGTAGCTGGGATTATAGATGCATATGCTCTGCTGGGCATAAACTTCTATTCTTGTCATGGCACCTTTTGCAGAACAGAATATTTGGAGTTTAAGTAAGTACCACTTACTAATTCCTTGATTAAATTATGATGAAACACATTTGCATCTTCTTTGAAAAACTCCTACTTACTCTAATGCCAAAAAGAACTCCTACAAATACCTTCTAAAAACTTTATTTTCTGTTGCACAGCTAGATTGACATAATCAATACTTGGAATCATATGCTTTTGTTTCCGTTGTTTTGTTTTTCTTTTTGTGCATAGCACTAGGTGGGACTACCTGAGTCCCTCAAATTGATATCCTGCCAATTATTGAGAAGATTATTCTAACAGCACTGAATTTTTCAGAAAGCAAAACATGGTGTAGATGGCTGGCCATGGTGGCTCATGCCTGTAATCCTAGCACTCTGGGAGGCCTAGGCAGGTGTATCAATTGAGTTCAGGAGTTCCAGGCCAGCCTGCCCCACATGATGAAAACCCATCTCTACTTAAAATAGAAAAAATTAGCCAGGCATGGTGGCGCATGCCTATAATCCCAGCTACTCGGGAGGCTGAGGCAGGAGAGTCATTTAAACCTGGGAGATGGAGTTTGTAGTGAGCTAAGATTGCACCACTGTACTCCAGCCTGGGAGACAGAGACAGCATCTCAAAAAGCCAACAAACAAACAAACATAAGCAAAAAACAAACAAACAAACAAAAGCCAAAATTAAAACAAAACAAAACAAAAACCTGATGTAGCTATCTGCCTCTTTCTGGCTTATATGTGCTTCCAATTTCAATAGAACATTGCCTATCACCTTCCCAGCTTGCATGCTTTAATAAAACAAATGAAAGATACCATATTGGAGAGGCCAACAAAGTGGCCTCCTGTCAAAAATCAGGTAGAAACGGAGGCCCTGAGTGCTACAGCCCTGAAAAAATGAACCCAGAATTAATGAGCCTTCCTGTGAAATCATACACCTGAGTTAAAATTTGGCTGTAGTCTATAAGAAATCATGAGGCAGAAAACCCAGTCAAACTGAGTTCAGGTTCTTCAAGCTGTAGAAACTGTGAGATGGTTTGCTGTGTTGTTTGCAGCTACTAGTCTGGGAAGCTATTAGGTATGCAGCAATACTATTTTTAGTGGATGATGTAAAGATTCAATTTTCCACCCTTAAATTATCACTGTTTTGAATTAATATTATCCTTCATCACCTCCAGGCAAAACGCTGGAGTCAATGTAGGATTTACTTGATGTTTGTTTGGTTTGGTTGGTTTCTCCCTGGAGAATATCAGTCCTGTAATGATTTTTGTTAAATACACAAAATCAGTGTTTCTGAATATTGTGTCTTATTTCGATTGCTTATAAATGGAAGGTAGTGCTTGCTTTAGCAGCATATATACTAAAGTTGGAATGATACAGGAAAAATTAGTATGATCCCAGCACAAAGATGACATGCAAATTCATGAAGCATTCAATATTTTTCAGTATTTGACAGATCAACGAGATAGAAAATTAACAAGGATATTCAGGACTTGAAATCGGCTCTGGATCAAGTGGACCTAGTAGACATCTACAGAACTCTCTGCCCCAAATCAACAGAATATATATTCTTCTCAGTGCCGCATGGCACGGATTATAAAATCTTGCACATAATTGGAAGTAAAACACTCCTCAGCAAATGCTAAAGAACGGAAATTATAGCAGTCTCTCAGACCACAGGGCAATCAAATTAGAACTCAGAATTAAGAAACTCACTCAAAACGACCCAATTACATGAAAACTGAAAACTCTGCTCCCAAATTACTCCAGGGCAAATAATCAAATTAAGGCAGAAATCAAGAAGTTCTTTGAAATGAACAAGAACACAGAGACAATGTACCAGAATCTCGAAGACACAGCTAAGGCAGTGTTAACAGCGAAATTTATAGCACTAAATGCCCGCATCAGAAACCTTGAAATATCTCAGATTAATACCCTAACATCACAATTAAAAGAGTTACAGCAGAAAAAAAAAAAAAAAAACTAATCAAAAAGCTAGCAGAAAACAAGAAAAACCTAAGATCAGAGAAGAATTGAAGGAGACAGAGAAAAGAAAAAAATCCTCCAAAAACGTCAATAAATACAGGAGCTATTTTTTTTGAAAAAAATTGACAAAATAGATCACTAGCTACACAAATAAAGAAGGAAAGAGAGAAGAATCAAATAGACACAATAAAAAATGATAAAGGGGATATCACCACTGATGCCACAGAAATACAAACTATCATCAGAAAACACTATAAACACGTCTATGCAAATAAACTGGAAAATCTAGAAGAAATGGATAAATTCCTGGACACATACACCCTCCCAAGACTAAATCAGGAAGAATTCCAGTCCCTGAATAGACCAATAACAATTTCTGAAATTGAGGCAGTAATTAATAGCCTACCAACCCGAAAAAGCCCAGCACCAAATGGCTTTGCAGTTGAATTCAACCAGAAATACAAAGAGGAGACAGTATCATTCCTTCTGAAACTATTCCAGCAATTGAAAAGGAGGGACTCCTCTCAAACTCATTTTATGAAGCCAGCATCATCCTGATACAAAACTGGGAAGAGACACAACAAAGAAAGAAAACTTCAGGACATTATCCCTGATGAACATTGATGCAAAAATCCTCAGTAAAATACTGGCAACCCAAATCCAGCAGCACATCAAAAACCTTATCCACCATGATCAAGTTGGCTTCAGCTCTGAAATGCAAGGCTGGTTCAACATACGCAAATCAATAAAAGTAATCTCCATCACAGAAGCAAAACCAACAACAAAAAACAAATGATTATCTCAGTACATGCAGAAAATGACTTTGATAAAATTCCACATCCCTTCGTGTTAAAAACCTTCAAAACACTAGGTACTAATGGACACATTCCAAAATAATAAGAGCTATTTATGACAAAGCCACAGCCAATATCATATGAATGAGCAAAAGCTGGAAGTGTTCCCTTTAAAATCCGGTGCAAGACAAGGATACCCTCTCTAACCATTCCTGTTCAAAATAGTATTGGAAGTTCTGGCCAGGGCAATCAGACTAGGGAAAGAAATAAAAGGTATTCAAATACAAAGAGAGGAAGTCAAACTGTCTCTGCTTGCAGATGACGTGATTGTATATTTAGAAAACCCCATCCTCTCAGCCCCCCAAACTCCTTAAACTGATAAGCAACTTCAGCAAAGTATCAGGATACAAAATCAATGTGCAAAAATTACAAGCATTGTTATACAGCAACAAAAGACAAACTGAGAGCCAAATCCTGAGTGAACTCCGATTTACAATTGCTACAAAGAGAGTAAAATACCTAGGAAAACGGCTAACAAGGGATGTGTACTTCTCTCTTCAAGAAGAACTACAAACCACTGCTCAAGGAAGTAAGAGAGGATGCAAACAAATAAAAAACATTCCATCTTCATGGATAGGATGAATTGGTATCATAAAAATGGCCACATTGCCCAAAATAATTTGTGGATTCAATGCTATTCCCATCAAACTACCATTGACATTCTTCCCAAAATTAGGAAAAACTCTTTTAAATTTCACATGGAGTCAAAGAAGACCCCATATAGCCAAGACAATCGTAAGCAAAAAGAGCAAAGCTGGAGGCATCATGCTACCTGACTTCAAACTTTACTACACAGCTGTAGTAACCAAAAGAGCATGATACTGGTACCAAAACAGACATATAGACCAATGAGGCAGAACATACACCTCAGAAATAACACCACACATCTACAACCATCTGATATTTGACAAACCCGCAGAAACAAGCAATGGGGTAACGGTCTCCTGTTCAGTTAAAGGTGCTGGGAAAACAGTCTAGTCATATGCAGAAAACTGAAACTGGACCCCTTCCTTACACAATAAATGAAAATTAACTCAAAATGGATTAAAGCCTTAAACATAAGACCTAAAATCATAAAATCCCTAGAAGAAAACCTAGGCAATACCATTGAGGAACATAGGCATGATAAAAATGCCAAAAGCAATTGCAATCAGCCAAAATTGATAAATGGGAACTAATTATACTGGAAGAGCTTCTGCACAGCAAAATAAATTATCATCAGAGTAAACAATCAACCTACAGAATGGGAGAAAATTTTTGTAATCTACCCATCTGACAAAGGTCTAATATCCAGAATTTACAAAGAAATTAAACAAATTTACAAGAAAGAAAAAGTCATCAAAGAGTAGGCAAAGGATACGAACAGACACTTCTCAAAGAAAACATTTATGTAGCCAAAAAACATGAAAAAAAGCTCAATATTATTGATCATCAGATAAATGCAAATGAAAACCACAATGAGATACCATCTCATACCAGTCAGAATGGTGATTATTAAAAAGGCAGGAAACAATAGATGTTGATGAGACTGTGAGAAATAGAAACACCTTTACATTGTTGATGGGAATAGAAATTATTTCAACCATTGTGTTGAATCACAGTATGGTGATTCCTCAAGGATTTAGTGCCACAAATATCCTTTGATCCAGCAGTCCAATTACTGAGTGTATACACAAAGGAATGTAAATCATTCTACTATAAAGACCCATGCACACTTTTGTTTATTGCAGGTCTATTTACAATAGCAAAGACATGGAACCAACCCAAATGCCCATCAATGATACCCTGGATAAATAAAATACGGTACACATAAACGTGGACTACTATGCAGCCATAAAAAGAATAAGATTGTGTCATTTTCAGGGACATGAATGAAGCTGAAAGCCATCGTCCTCAGAAAACTAACACAGGAAAGAAAAACCAAAAACGACGTGTTCTCATTCTCTCGTTTTTGTTTGTTTGTTTGTTTTGTTTTTTGTTTTGTTTTGTTTTTTGGAGATGGAGTCTCACTCTGTCGCCCAGGCTGGAGTGCGGTGGCGGGATCTCCGCTCACTGCAAGCTCCGCCTCCCGGGTTCACGCCATTCTCCTGCCTCAGCCTCCCGAGTAGCTGGGACTACAGGCGCCCACCACTACGCCCGGCTAATTTTTTTGTGTATTTTTAGTAGAGACGGGGTTTGACCGTGTTAGCCAGGATGGTCTCCATCTCCTGACCTAGTGATTCGTTCGTCTCCGCCTCCCAGTGCTGGGATTACAGGCGTGAGCCACGGCGCCCGGCCATCATTCTTAAGTGAGAGTTGAACGATGAGAAAACATGGACACAGGAAGGAGAACAACACACACGGGCCTATAGAGGGGTGAGGTGGGTAAGGGGAGGGAACTTAGAGAACAGGTCTTCGCCCTGTTTCCTCACATGATTGTCCATCTGTGAGTGTCTATGTCCTCATCTCCTAGTCTCATAAGATCCCACGTCCCATCCTATGGGATTAGGACCCACCCTGGGGATCTCATTTTATCCTAATCACCTCTTTAAAGACCATATCTCCAAATCCAACCACATTGGGAGTTAGGACTTCAACATATATATTGTGGGGATAAAGTTTATTATTCCATAATAATATGTGTAATCCATACAGGGTATCATTTTAGAAGTTAACAAGACTTTTATCGCACGTTAGTCATTGTGGCAAAAACACCCATATTTTACCTCTAAATGTTAAAATTCCATCTGTATACATAAGTTAAAAATAAACATATTTGAAGTAGAGGCCGGGCATGGTGGCTCATGCCTGTAATCTCCGCAATTTGGGAGGCTGAGGTGGGCAGATCACTTGAGATCAGGAGTTTGAGACCAGACTGGCCCTGTCTCTAATACAAATAGAAAAAATAGCGGGGAAGTGTTATGGTGTGCACTTGTAATCATAGCGATTTGGGAGGCTGAGGCAGAAGTATCGCTTGAGCTGGGGGGAGGAAGTTGCAGTGAGCCGACATCATGCCATGGCACTCCAGCCTAGGTGACAAAATGAGACATTATAAATATCTATGAGCTTTAATCATTCGTAGAACTGCTCTCTAATCATGTCAATTATCCACAAGTGTGTTGACTCAGAGTTCTGTTGTTAATTGTAAACTAATTGTACACATATCGTTAATTGTATACGTGTGTATATATATATGTATGTATGTTGTGAATTGTATACATGTATATATATATGTACATGTATATGTGTGTGTGTGTGTGTGTGTGTGTGTGTGTGTGTGTGTGTATGTAGACAGAAAATGACAATCTCTTGACAATTTTTTTTTTTCTGGAATATGCCACTAATTAGAAAAGGAAAATTAGGTCTTGAGTAAGGCTCACTTTAGGAATGATGTTACTCTTGGCAAGGTGTGGTGGCTCATGCCTGTAATCCCAGCACTTTGAGAAGCCGAGGCTGGAGAATGGTTTAGACCCAAGAGTTCAAGACCTGCCTAGGAAACATAGCAAGGACCAATGTCTACAAAGGATTTTCAAAGATTAGATGAGTGGGGCGGTGCATGCCCCTAGTTCCAGTACTCGGGAGGCTGAGGCAGGAGAATTGCTTGAGCCCGGGAGGTTGAGGCTTCAGTGAGCTATGATCACACCACTGCACTCCAGCCTGGGTGACAGAGCAAGACCACGTCTTGAAAGTAAGGGAAAGGGAGAGGTGAGGAGGGGAGGGGAGGGGAGGAGAGGGGAGGGGGAGGGAAAGGGGAGAGAGAGAAAGAAACAGAAAGAAAGAAAAAAAGGAAAGAAGGAAGGAAGGAAGGATAGAAAAAGAAAGAAAGAGAGAAAGAAAGAAAGAGCAAGAAAAAGAAAGAAAGAAGGAGAAAGAAAGAAAGAAAGAGAAAGAAAGAAAAGAAAAGAAAAGGAAAGAAAGGAGGGAGGGAGGGGAGACGTGATGTTACTCTAGAGCTTTGAATATAAAAGCAAATAATGACTTGCTTATTAACTACATCAGAAAATACTTTATTAATTACGAAGACAATGGATCTGCACAGTATCCAGTATAGATAGAATAATAGACTATGTATATCCTACAAATATCCTGAATGTATACATTGTCTCTTCTCCTATAGATTTCAAGCTGTATGTTCCATCTTTCTATTGACTAGTTCTCCATTAGGGTTATTTGGCCCCTTAGGAGACATTTGGACACATTTTGGTTGCCCAGACTGGGGAACGGTACTATTGATATGCAAGGAGTAAGGCCAGGGATGTGCTAACCATCCTAGCATACACAAGATAGCCTCTACCCAGCCGAGGACCATCCAGCTCCAAATGCCAATACAGCTGTGGTTGAGCAATTGCACAGGGAGTCTCCTATAATTTCTTCAGCATTGCTCACATTCGGCTCATTTGACTGACAACTTGACATAACCAAGGGAAAGAAAATTCTCCCTTTTCTCCTTTTATAGCTTTCCCATAACTAGTCCAATCTAAATTTGTATCCAATGAATCCCAGTGACCAAATGTAGAACAAGGGCGAATTCTCCCCTGTTGCAGTGCTTGTTGCAAATTTGAAGGATTAATTATATCATTATGTTATGTGGTAATTAATTGGCTCAATTTTCTGTCTTCTCATACCTAGCCATGGGGAATCTGTGCTTCCTGGCTGGAAAACCCCTAATGAACATTCTAAAAATGCCCGATGAGTCATTGTTCTCTTTTACCACTTTAAGGAGGAACTGAACAAATTTAATGTCAGTTGGTGTAGTTGCCGTAATAGGTGGATTGCATTTCAAAACTACTTTGGGCAACAGATTTTAAATAATATAGAGGTAAAAGAGTTTAAATGTGTCCTGTGAAAGTCCATAATGAGAATCTTCTGTTCTCTGTTTCTCCATTATTACAGTGATTTATAGTGAGGAATAAAATCTAATAAATAATGAATGCTTCAACTAAAGCTTCATTTTAATTGAAAACTAGGGCACAGGCCACCTTGGAAAATATTAAAATAAAAAATGTGACTCCTTAACTACTGACTGGTTTTTAAAACTTACTTCTGTGAGTGATGCTATTAAATAAACTCTGCTGTTTTTATTGATGGGCTCAAACAATACTAAAAAGGGTATCTTACTAATGTTGGGCTTCACTGAGGATGGTGGCAGAAATATTACTGGGAAATATTAGGGAAAGTTATATGGAATAGTCACAAACCTTTCTGGAAGTCTGAAAGGTCACATAGTTTGTAATAATTGAACGGGCCGAAGGCAGCCGGTTCTCACCTTAGAGCATTAGATCATAGAGTAAATACCATGGAAAATAGAAGCTTCCGCAGTTAAGTCTGTTTATCCTACCTCCATTAACTAACCTTTAAGCCAGATGGCCCCCTGGGGGGAGGTTGACCAAGGATATTGCCCCCTAATGGTATTTACTTTAGACCCCGGTACCTGAGCTTTAATCATTTGTAGAACTACTCTCTAATCATTTTAATTATCCACAAGTTTGTTGACTCAGAGTTTCTGTTGTTAATTGCATACAAAATAAATGCCTGAAGTTTGAGCTGTTCAGGGCCGGCTGCAGTGACAAACCTCTCTTGGTATGTATGCCATCAGACACTCAGCTGGACTGGCAAAGCAGAATTTCCATGTGTCAATGTATGTTTCCTTCACCCATCGTTTGGGTCAGGGTCTGCGGCCAGACCCCTGCAGCTAATGCCCTCTTATGAGGAGCAATATGTCATATTATCCTTTTGGAAAACAATTTTAGTGTTTCTTTTTCTTTTCTTTTTCTAAAATAATGCAATCATTTAAAGGCTAAATAAACCACATATTTCACATGTCATGTGTATATATACGTGTGTGTGTGTTTATGTATATATGTATATATAAATTTTAAAAAATGAATAAAAATTAAACAAAACAAAAACATGAAGGATTTAAAATATGATCATTTTCCAAACAAAAAAGTCTCAGAGCAATGCATTTAGTAAAATCCCACTTTGTAAAAACAAATACAAATATATCCAAGACATATTTGTCCTCCCATTTACATGTAGTAGAAGTGTTTTTCAGTCCCTAAGAGATAAAGCTTTTCAACATAAAATCATTGGTGTCCTAGAAATGTAAACTCTTATAAACAACCTAGATGTCCGCAAGTCTCCCATTCTACGTTAATATTTCCATGTTACTATATATATATAAAGTATATATTATATAAAGTGCATATATATTTATATATAAAGTAGGATGGAAATATATATGGAAAGAAATAGTATTTCATTTTATATCAAATTATCCATACCTTATATCTCATATATATTATTAATGATATATGTATCATGTATACATTAAATTTGTGTGTGTGTGTGTGTGTGTGTGTGTGTGTGTGTATCTCCTCAAATTTCTACCTAATATTTACAGAATCTAGTCTCTATCCCAAAATGTCCTAGGAACTCATTAAATAAAGTTTTAAGGGTTGCCAATTTCCCATTATGGTTAATTCTTACTTTTGAAATCCTTTGCTCACAATCTGGAAAGTAACATTGATAACTCATTTAGCAATCCTCCAGTTTGTTTTAATGAATTAAAGTTTCACAAAGTAATAGAGGGTGATATTCATAAAGAACAAGCATAGGTACAGGAATGTGGCAATATATTATGAAACTTCCAAGTGAGTTTGTGTGGCAGATGGGAAATAAGATTGAACATTACAGTGGAAGTAGATTTGAAGGATTAATTACAATGGGTTGGATGGCAGAGGAGAGAAAGAAAGAGCAGAAGAGAAATATTGCAAGTTACAGGTTAAGCACCCCTTATCTAAAATGTTAGAGACCAGAAGCCTTTCAGATATTGAATTTTTAAAATTTTTGGAGTATCTGCATATTCACTATGAGATATTTTAGGAATGGGACTCAAGTCTGAGCACAACGTTTATTAATGTTTCATATACATCTAATACACACAGAATGAAGGTAATCTTATATAATGTTTAAAACTAATTTTGTATGTGAAACAACGTTTATGTATGCTGAACCATCAGAGAGCAAAGATGTCATTATCTCAGCGAACCACGTGGACAAGAGTCTTCCAAACCCTATTGTGAACTGCACATGCGAGGGATCTAAGTTGCACGCTTCATGTGAGAACCTAATGCCGGATGATCTGAGGTGGAACAGCTTCATGCCCAAACCATGCCCTGTCCCCTCCATCCATCGAAAAATTGTCTTCATAAAACCGGTCCTGGCCGGGCGCGGTGGCTCACGCCTGTAATCCCAGCACTTTGGGAGGCCGAGGCGGGCGGATCACGAGGTCAGGAGATCGAGACCATCCCGGCTAAAACGGTGAAACCCCGTCTCTACTAAAAATACAAAAAATTAGCCGGGCGTAGTGGCGGGCGCCTGTAGTCCCAGCTACTTGGGAGGCTGAGGCAGGAGAATGGCGTGAACCCGGGAGGCGGAGCTTGCAGTGAGCCGAGATCCCGCCACTGCACTCCAGCCTGGGCGACAGAGCGAGACTCCGTCTCAAAAAAAAAAAAAAAAAAAAAAAAACCGGTCCTGGGGTTCAAAAAATTGAGGACTGCTGATACAAGCAATACCTTTCTTACATTTATGCACAAATAAGTACTTAGCAGTAAAAATGTAACATAGCATTAATACAGTGGAATATTAATGTGTTCAGAGTAAATAAGCTGCACAGTAGCACTGTACGAATTAAAGAAAGAAGAGAGAAACAGAAGGATGTCTTTAGAGTCAACAGGGGCAGGTTTATTTTTAATAAACCTCACCGGGAAGGCTAGCTGAGTTAGGTCAGAGCCACCCTTTCTGTGTCTGTTCCCATGTGTATCTTTCTGCAGCTGCAGGCATACGACCCAAGACTGCTTTTAGCTTCCCTAACTTCGTGCACCTGAAGGGAAAAGAATGTGCTCATTAAGGCCCACTGTTTTACTGGGGTCCATTGTATGAGGGTGAAGTTTGGCAGTTACCCAAGAGACTTTCCCTGCTACCTCCTCTGTGCCTGAGCTGTCTTATCTGTGTTTTATTGCTCTTTCTGCTTGTAGTTTGAAGAGAAGTGATTTGCTTGGAATGCATGAAGCTAGAAAGGGAGCTGGAACTTAAAATCGTGGTGTTTGTGTGAGATGACGGTGCTCCTGCTCTGTCAAGCACCGCCAGAACACCTGTATCCGATGTTAAACAACAGAAGCAACAGACAATGGCAAGGTGTCCAGAGTCCACCTGTGATGCTGTGTTTTGGTTAAAGGACAACTGTATTTTTTTAATGAGAAGAAACTGTATGTGGTGATCACTCCAACATTGTACTCTTCTGTAAGATGCTGTCCAGTTTCTCCTAGTGCTTGATTTTCGGTGGTATAGATACACATAAACACGTCGTGTTTTTCTTATCACTGTTACCCATAGGGCAGGCTTTGGACATTTTTAACAATATGTTTACACCACAGAGCAAAAATAAGCATGGAAAAAAACCACAGAGAGTAATGCATGTAGGGCGTCCTGTGGGACAACTTCGGGAATCTGACGTTGGTTCACACAGCTGAACAAATGTCCATTATCTTTTTTTTTTTTTTTTTTTTTTTTTGAGATGGAGTCTCTGTTGCCAGGATAGAGTGTTGCTATCTCAGATCACTGTAACTTCCACCTCCCGAGTTCAAGAGATTTTCTTGCCTCAGCCTCTTGAGTAGTTGGGATTACAGACACCTGCCACTGCACCTGGATAGATATGTTTTTTTTGAGACGGACTCTTACTCTTTCGCCCAGGCTGAAGTGCAGTGGCACGGTCTCGGCTCATTGCGGGCTCCGCCTCCCGGGTTCACGCCATTCTCCTGCCTGAGCCTCCCGAGTAGCTGGGACTACAGGCGCCCACCATCACACCGGGCTAATTTTTTGTATTCTCAGTAGAGACAGGGTTTCACCATGATCTGCTTGCCTCGGCCTCCCAAAGTGCTGGGATTACAGGCGTGAGCCACCGTGCCCAGGCACACCTGCATAATTTTTGTATATTTAGCAGAGACGTGGTTTCACCATGTTGTCCGGGCTGGTGTTGATCTCCTAACCTCAGGCAATCCACCTGTCTCAGCCTCCCAAAGGGCTGATATTACAGGTGTGAGCCACCGCGCCTGTGCCTCCTGTCCTTTTATTGCTCTTTGTGGGTATGCATACATGGGAGTAGTGTGGCATGCCTGGAAAAGATATACTGCAGCTGATGGGAGCTGCAGGGGTGGAGAGTGAGGGTATCTTTCTTCCTTTAGTGACACTGAATAAACTGTGTGTTCTGCACCTGTGTTTTTACTGTCACCTATCACATGAGGTCAGAGATGCAATTTTCCACATGTGGTGTCATGTCCATGCACAAAATGTTTAAGATCCTGTAGCATTTCATGTTTTAGGTATTCAAATTAGGGATGCACCTATCACCTGAATTTGTTTATTTTGCCTGCTCTCCAAGAGAAGAAGGTGTTCGTTCATGTAGGAAATATCTCATGTTTTGTTTCTCTAAGGCCTTACGCTTCTGACAACTACATCAAAGAGTACAGTCTTGGGTTGAGGGCATTCTATGGGCTATGGGTCAAACTTTGGGATTCTTATTCCTCATGAAACACCACTGGGCTCCATTGCTGAGCCATATTTCTGAAACTGGATGGCCTAGAACTGTCATCCCCAAGAAAGATTAATGCATCACTTATATTCCAGCAGATATGACTAATCCAAATTACTGTTGGTATCATTTTGTGTCCAAAATTGGTTCCTTCTAGTGGGTTCTCGGTCTTGCTGACTTCAGGAATGAAGCCGCAGATCCTTGTGGTGAGTGTTAACAGTTCTTAAAGATGGTGTGTCCGGAGGTTGTTCCTTCAGATGTTCAAATGTGTCTGGAGTTTCTTCCTTATGGTGGGTTTGTGGTCTCGCTGACTTCAGGATTGAAGCCACAGACCCTCGTGGTAAGTGTTATAGCTCATAAAAGTAGTGAGGACCCAAACAGTGAGCAGCAGCAAGATTTATTGTGAAGAGCAAAAGAACAAAGCTTCCACAGTGTGGAAGGGGACCCAAGTGGGTTGCCGCTGCTGGCTTGGGTGGCCAGCTTTTATTCCCTTATTTTGCCCTGCCCATGTCCTGCTGATTGGTCCATTTTACAGAGCGCTGATTTGTCCATTTTACAGAGGGCTGATTGATCAGTTTTTACAGAGTACTGATTGGTGCACTTACAATCCTTTAGCCAGACACAGAGCACTGATTGGTGTGTTTTTACAGTGTGCTGATTGGTGCTTTTACAAACCTTTACGCAGACACAGAATACTGATTGGTGTGTTTTTACAGAGTGCTGATTGGTGTGTTTACAAACCTTTAGCTAGACCCAGAGAGCTGATTGGTGCCTTTTTACAGAGTGTTGATTGGTGCATTTACAAACCTTTAGCTAGACACAGAGTGCTGATTGGTGCATCTTTACAGAGTAATGATTGGTGCATTTGCAAACTTTTTGCTAGACACAGAGCACTCATTGGTGCATTTAAAAACCTTTAGCTAGACAGAAATGTTCTCCAAGTCCCCACCCGACCCAGGAAGTCCAGCGGGCTTCACCTCTCAATCCCCCCTATAAACAGGACAGCCCAACTGCTGTTGGGAATTGGGTGATGACCTCTCCAGCTACTTCCTGCTGGATAGGGGTGAAGAAGGGCCCCTCCAGTTGTGGTGTCCTCCAGAGGGGAGCTCTTCAGGCCAGTGAAAGGACCAATGGGTTGGTCCAGGGGTCCTCAGTAGAAGTTGTTAGTTTAGCTTGTTTGGGGTTCTATTTGTAAAACCATCTGTAGCTTGATGGCCTTGATCCTAGAGGAAACAAATTTGACAAGGAGGTTAAAAATACAGGGCCCAAAGGTGAGTAGTAGCAAGATGGCTGCTGTGGGACCTCAAAAGCGGGGAAGCCATGTTGCCCAACTCCAGAGTTGGTATAAGAGTTTGAAAGGCGGTATCTGATTTCAGAAGCCTTTTCCTGTAAACACCGGGTGGCAACTCATACTATCGCTGACTGGTTAGTGTAAAAACAACACTCTTCCTCTATGAAGGTGCAGAGTCCTCCTTTCTCAGCAGTGAGGAGGTCCAGGCCTTGGAGAGTCCCTGCTGCCAAAGAATGTATTTGGGATTGTAGAGTAAGGATAGGTTTTGTTAGTTCTTGCAAACTGTCTGAGAAATCCTTTGAGATGAGAGTGTGTGGTATTAGGATAATACATGTTACACTGTAAAGTTTTAGCAAACTTTACTTTTGTTGAAAACCTTGTAAGTTTGGGCTTTCCATTGTTCTGTGCTATTAAAAAGACCTTATTCAGTCCATATTAACTTAGAATTGCTATAGATGGCTCCTTCCTGATTCCGTAAGTACTTTAAGGTTTGACTGAGTGCAAAGAGCTCACAGGTTTGAGCAGACCAGTTTTTAGGCAATTTTCCTAACTCTACTTCTGCAAGAGTTTCCTTGTCACTTACTGAATGCCCATTGTGTCTTTTTCCTTAATCTTCTGGGAGGAATCGTCTATCTTCCTGTCCTGAAGGGGGTTCCTCCTAGGCCTGGTCAGACCTTTGTATGGTAATTAGTTAAGATTTAGATCCCCTGTTAGGAAACCTGCTGGGTTAAGGATTTTTGATAGGAAGGCTATGGGTTGTCCGTGGCCTCAGTGCTTTGGGGCTATGCCCTTGTTTATGCTGAGAACAAGGTGGTATTGGAGTGCAGTTATAGGGTTATGGAGAAGACCGTCATTATGAATTATAGGTTTTAAATTTACCCTGGCTTTTAAAGGAACAGGGTACCCTGTTTTTGATTTACTACTTCCATATCTCTTTCTTTCTCTTTGAATTCTTCTTTGTCTCTCTCTTTCTGACTCCCTCTTTTTCTGTCTCTTGCTCTCTCTCTTTGACTTTCTGTCTCTCTCTTTCTCTCTCTCTCTCTGACTCCCTCTTTTTCTCTGTCTCTTCCTCTCTTTCCCTCTGATGTTCTTTCTCTTCTCTCTTTCCTTTCTGCTGATCTTTCCCTGCCTCTGACAGATGCTTATCCTGCAGTTCTCCCCTCTCCTTCCCCTTTTTGATGGTTTTGGCAGTGTAAGATGGCCACCTCCTTGGGTTTTTGCGCTGCGTACAATAATTCAATGATATCCTTGTGATATTTAATAGGGGTTCCCCAGAGGTTAGGAATTCCCTTTCTTTCCATAGTGCAGCATGGGCATGTAGGATTAGATAAGCATACTTGTTATCTGTATACCCCTTTACTGTTTTTCCCTTTCCCAGTTCTAAGGCTCAGCTAAGTGCCACTAGTTCTGCTAACTGGGTGCTGGTCTCTGGGGGAAGAGGCTTACTTTCAAGTATGGTTACATCACTAACTATGGTATAACATGCCCTTTGTATCCCAGTCTCCACAAATGGACTTCCATCGGTATACAGGTTAAGGTCAGGATTAGCTAAGGGGGCTTCTAAGAGATCCTCTTGGGTGGCATAAGTCTGGACTGTAATTTGTTGTCAGTCATGCTCGACTGGTTCCCCATTCTCTGGGGGAAAAGTGGCAGGGCTGAGGGCCTCACATGTCTGTATTTGAAGCACCAGTCCCTCAAGGAGTAGTGCCTGGTATCTAAGCAGGTGGTTGTCTGAAAGCCATAAACTTCCTTTGGCACCTAATATGCCGTTTACATCATGAGTAGTCCAGACAGTGAGATCCTTTCCTTGTAGCCTCTGACACTAAGATGGCCACTGCTGCAAGTACCTGTAAACAGTGAGGCTAGCCTTTTTCTACTATATCAGTTTCCTTACTGAGGTATACCACTGGTTGTGGGGTTGTCCCATGAGTCTGAGTAAGGACCCCAAGAGCTATTCCTGTTCTCTCTGTGATGTATAAAGAGAAGTTTTGTCCTGTGGCAAGGCTTATGGCTGGAGCTTGAGTTTGTTCCTTCCAACACCCAGACTACAGGCTTGATTCCTTCCTCAAGCAGGGGACAACAAATCAGTAACTTGTTCCCCATATTCATGTAGACAATAGCTCCAGCTTTGGCTAATATGTCCCTCCCTAATAAGCGTATGGGATGTGCAGGCATAACAAGAAAGGCATGAGAAAAGAGCAACGTCTCCCAAATACAACTGAGGAGGTGGGAGAAATACCTGGTTTTACAGGCCATCCCAGGATTCCTTGGATGGTAACGGACATTGAGGACAGCTGCCCAGGACAGGGGATTAACACTGAAAAAGCTGTTCCAGTGCCAGGAGGAAGTAAATTTCCTGGCCTTCAAAGTTTAAACATACCCAGGGCTCAGTGAGGGTGATGACATGAGCTGGCGCTCACCCCAGGCATCCTCAATCTTGTTGTTGGATTATCTGGCTGGGGGCTTCTGGCCCAGAGAAGCTTTGCCCTCTGGGGCAGTGTGCCTTCCAGTGATTGCCTCAGCATAGCAGACATGGATGAGGGGGTCGTTGTTGTTTCTCATTGAACAATCTTTTTAAGGTGTCCTTGAAAACCACACTGGTAACAAGCCCCACCAGGTGATTAGCCTGCTCCATTTTCTGTCCTCTCTGAACCACCAAGGTTTGTTTGTCTGAGGACCATGACTAAGGCTGCAGCCTTTTTCTGATCTTTCTTTTCCTTTTGGGCCTGTTCCTCTTGGTACCTGTTTAGAACACTGAGATTGCCAGGTTTAATAATGCCTCCAGATTTTGTTCAGGTCCCAGGGCTCACTTTTGGAGCTTTCTCCTGATATCTGTGGCTGATTGGGTAATAAACTTATTTTTTAAGATCAATTGACCCTCGAGTGAGTCAGGTGACAGGGGGGTATGTTTTCTTAAGGCCTCCTGTACCCGCTCAAGGAAGGCAGAAGGATTTTCTTCTTTTCCCTGAGTTATGGTGGACATCATTGAATAATTCATGGGCTTTTTCCTACTTCTCCTTAGTCCTTCTAGAACACAGGTAAACAGAAGTTTATGACTCCAGTCCTGATGATCTGAGTCAAGGTCCCAGTGGGGATCCATACTGGGGAAAACTTGCTGACCAGTAGGGAATTTGTCCCTTTCTTCAGCTGTCATTCTATTATTTACTTGACTAAGATACCAAGTATCTCCAAACTCTCAGGCTGCAGCTAAAGCCACATTCTTTTCATTAAAGGCCAGGTTTTGATCTAACAATAGCATGACATCTGTCCAAGTGAGATCAAAGGTTTGCCCTAGACCCTGTAGGACATCTATGTACCTATCAAGATCATCTGAAGGGTTCCCCAGGTCTGCCTTGATCTGCTTTAAGTCAGAGAGGGAGAAGGGGACACGTACCGAGGTTGGGCCAAATTCCCCTCCCCCTACAGCTTGAAGCAGACATAACTGATAGCACGGGGGTGTTTATGGTCCTTTGGGGATTTCTTTGCTTGTTTCCTTCTGGGTAGGGGAGATTAGAGGAGGTTTACCATTAATAGGAAGGGGAGTTATAGAGAGGCTAGGATATGGGGGTAAGTTAAGAGGTCCTCTTGTGGGATATAAATTGCAAGCTTTGCATAGTTGTGGTCTCTTCTTCAGTGAAAAGAAAGCTTGGACATAAGGTATTTTCCTCCATTTGCCTTCCCTCTTACAGAAAAGGTCAAGCTTCAGGATAGTATTGTAATTTATACTTCACTCAGGTGGCCATTTTTCCCCATCAGAGAGAGAATACTGGGGCCAGGCCATGGTGCAGAAAAAAATGAGCCACCTCTTTTTCAGGGTTTGTGGGTCAAATTGGTGCCAATGGCTTAGGATGCATTTCAAGGGTGAGCCTGTTGATACCTGAGTGTTTCCCATCTGAAAGACAAAAGTGCCCATGGTTTTGGTATGTTTGTTTCTCCCCCTGCCCAAGAACCCACAATGGTCCCTGGATACTGCTGATTGGAATAGTTGCACTCACCGATGCAGCAGCAGAAACACCTCTTGCCAATGAACCCGCAATGGTCCCTGGGCCCTGCTGATTGGAATAGTTGCACACACCAACGCAGCAGTGGAAACACCTCTTGCCCAAGAACCCACAACAGTCCCTATGCCCTGCTGATCGGAATAGTTGTGCTCACTGGCACAGAGGCAGAAACACTAGTTTTCCTCCTAGACCACAAGGAGGATCGAGGAAGGTTGGATTCAGTGACCCTTACCGACACATTCTCAAAAAACTTTTAGAGTCCTAAGCATTCTCCTGTTAGTATTGGGACTTTACCCCTGTCCTGTGAAGATGTTATGCCCCAAAAATGAAGTGGAGGGCCATAACCTGAGGGAGGGAAGGGATCTCCAGAATTGGAAGAGTGATGCCTTTTCCCCTCACTTTTATGAATAGGAAGGATACCATTTCTGAAGCTCCCCATATCCTAGGTTCAGGAATAGCTTTCATTAGGCCTGCTAGTCTGAGAATGGATACTAAAATTCCAGATAGTCCCCCGCCCCAACGGGGCTTTTGGCAAAAATTATGTCTTTCTGATTGGTGAGCCCAGTGCCTAAAGAAGGTAACAGAGTCCTGAAGTTTATACTGGAAATCATTCTTATAAGATAAACTAGAAAAGCACCAGAGACAGGGAGTGGTTTTTAGAAGCAGTACTAGCCTCAGACAAGAGAGGCAAAAGGAAGTTTGTCTGACAAGCATTAGGACCCGGGAGGCAAGGGTCAGGATAGGTAGGAGAGATGGGTGAGTCTCACTTGGCTGACATGACTTTGAGAGTTCCGCTCATGGCTGCAGGGTCAACTAACTTCTTGTTGGGACCCTGCAGCTGAATAGCTTTCCTCTCTGTCAACCCTCAGCTCAGCCCAGAAGTACAGGAAAAGTGGAAGCTGGTTCCAGGCAAACCAATGCTCTCAACTCCGAAGAGTCAGTGGTTGTTAGAAAACCCTTTCCCAGAAAGCCTGACACCCCTGTCTTTAGTCTGGCAGTCATGCTAGTTGCTTTTAACTGGCCGACAGGTGCCTGGTATTTAGCCCCCAAATTCTAAGGAAAAATAAGACAGAATAGCAAGCAAAAGGGGCCCGATGGTACTCACCGGTTGTTGACAGGTGATTGTCCCTTCATGGTTGCCAAAATGTGTCCAGAATTGGTTCCTTCAGGTGGATTCCTGGTATCACTGACATCAAAAACAAAGCCACGCACCCTCGTGGTGAGTGTTACAGTTCTCAAAGATGGTGTGTCTGGAGTTTGTTCCATCAGATGTTCGGATGTGTCCAGAGTTTTTTCCTTCTGGTGGATTTGTGGTCTTGCTGACTTCGGGAATGAAGCTGCAGACCGTCATCATGAGTGTTACAGCTCATAAAGTTAGTGTGAACCCAAAGAGTGAGCAGCAGCAAGACTTATTGTGAAGAGAGAAAGAACAAAGCTTCCACAGCATGGAAAGGGACCTGAGCAGGTTGCCGCTGCTGGCTTGGGTGGCCAGCTTTTCTTCCCTTACTTGGCCCCACACATGTTCTGCTGATTGGTCCATTTTACAGAGTGCTGATTGGTGTGTTTACAAACCTTTAGCTAGACACAGAGTGCTGAATGGTGTGTTTTTACAGAATGCTGATTTTTGTGTTTACAAACCTTTAGCTAGACAGAAAAGTTCTCCAAATCCCCACTAGACCCAGGAAGTCCAGCTGGCTTCACCTCTCAATTTAAGATTGACTCTTAGGGTAAAGCACTATTTCCTATATTTCTTCTTTCCTCTAAATCACTTATTTGACTTTTTTTTTTTTTTTTTTTTTTTTTTTTGCTATTGAGTTGCATGAGCTCCTTAAATTTTCATGGTGTTATTTACAACATATGCATATTCATAAGAATATGAAAATATAAGGAGTGGTTTGTTGAATATGTGGCTGTGAAAGTCACAAATATAAGGGACAGACTATGCGTAAATTACAAGCGTGTGAGTGTTGATGGGGAGAGTTCTGGGTTATATGTTATGAGATGTTGAGTAACATTAACCAGTGAGATATTTTAAGATAGCATAGAAGGCCATATACCTAATTTTGGTTATGGGATGATCCTCTCTAAAGACATGGAGTGTGACTTTCTTTTGATTTATGTGCTTAGGCATAATTGATTTGAAAATATTGACCTATCATTGTTTACAAAAGTGAGTTTTGTGTTAGTTAAACCATAGAAACCGTTTTGCTAGTATTGCGTATGATACTGGGGAATGATGCCCCAATACAGTACGTTTTCATAGATTGCTTTAAAATAATTCAAGTGCAGTCTTTTTATTTTCCCTCAAGTATAATTCTGTGATGAATAAAATGACAATCTTAGCTAGAGAAACTTTCTTTGTTCTATTTAAAATAAGAACATGGGAGTTTCAGCTTGTGAGAACTTTAAAGTCAGGTATCTATAAAAGAGTGGATAACCTAACACTATTATTTAACATGGGAATTGAATAATATATTTAAGAAACTGATGATATTGGTATAGAAGAAATTTTATGTGAATATACGGTAAAGTTTATAAAATTCCGGACACCTGGGTGTTCTCACCATGGCATTTTTGAGATATCACTTTTCTCACATCTAGGTTTAAAATGAAATTATATAACATGTTATACAAGATAAGATGACATTTGGGTGGAATAGCGACATGATGAAAGCTTCTTTATAAAGTTTTTTTTTTTTTTTTTGACAAGAGGAGGCAAGAGTTGTTAATACTTCTCTTCATTTGACACACACATAAATAGGTGAAGCAGATGAATTCATACATGCAATTATGTAACAGAGACTTAACAAACATTTCAGAGCTGAGCTCATCTTTTTTTCTGAATTGAGTTTGTGAAATGGTTGTTTAATGCTTTAGAAATGCTTAGAAATGCTTGTGCAGAGAGGTTTTAATATGTGGGCAAAGGTATTTCACTGAAAATGAATTGCAGTTGTAAATCACCTGGATTTAGCTAGTAGCATAATGAGTACAATGCTTGCATGGGACTCCTGTTGGCTTGCTTTCTGAAAAAAGAAGTGATGCTAGCCATCTTGTTTGTTCTCACCTGACTCACACAGAGCATCTCTGGGATAGCTGTGTAAATACTCATTTATGCCACTTCTCTGAGCATGTCTTCAATATTTCATTTTTGTTAACCATGAAGTGTGAATTGCCTGGTGTCCTTGAGATGAAGATTTTATGACTAACACGTGGGACTTTCTACTGTGGGGTGATCACTGGCAAACTCATAACCAAAACTAATATCAGACCCTATTCCAAGCTAAAGCTTTGGCCAATGAAATGACAGATTGTGAAGAATGCAGACATTATACTCTTGGCTGATTTCTCCTTTCCTGTTTCAAGCAACCTCTCTGAAAGTGGAGGGACTCATGACAATTCTCATGTTGCAGGGAAGAATCATTTTGCTTCTCTTGCAAGAAGTGTTTCTGATTCCAAAGCCAGTTATCAGAGTGTTTCATCCCTCATTGTTGGTGCCATATGCCAGAGACAGACAACTACAGTCAGTACTGTGTGCTTTCATGTTTATCATCTCCTGGAAGGAAGGATGTGCTCTGGGGACTGAAGAAGACAGAGGGGGCTTTGTCAGCAATTTTGGCCTTGAACGTTAAAGAACTCATTCACTTTTAAAGCCCTAATACATTTGCAGCACTATAAATAAGAACCTGTTTTCCCAATGTATACAGTGATTCTGAGGTGGCCTCAATACTACTTTTTAATGTGAAAGAACAATGATTAAATTTGAGTATACTGAAGGTCGTAAACATTATGAAATCACTGTCCTTACTCTCTTGACATAGAAGTTAGTTCCATGATGTACTTATCATCGAGTTAAAGAGATGCCTTTTTCTGAAATTCTGAAATGTGTCCAAGTGGTCCAAAATTATATCATCTTTTCTAGGCCCATAGTTTTACCAGTGGAAAGTAGTTGGGTTACCGGCCGTGTATCTTTATGGGTCTGCAGCAACATCAGTTGTTGCCTCCTCAGAAGAAAGAATTCAACTGAGGGGCATAAAGCAGAAAAAGGGACCAAGGCAAGTTTTGGAGCAGAGAAGTTTATTTAAAAAGGCTTTAAGACACGAAAAAAAGGAAAGTATGCTTGGAAAAGACTCAAGTGGGCAACTTGAAGAACAAGTGTGCTGTTTAACCTTTGATATGATTTGTCTGTGTCCCCACCCAAATCTCATCTTGAATTGTGGCTCCCACAATTCCCATGGGTTGTGGGAGAGTGTGGGTAGCAAGCCACCTAGTTTCAGAGGCAAGAGACAGAGGGCGTGAGCTGTTCTATTATAATAAACTGTATAAAACAACAAGAGTTATACTAGACATAGATCATAGATATGATCGTATATGGATATCATTAATCGTTAGTTTGTAACAATTACTCTTTATTCCAATACTGTATTAATCCTTGCTCTATAATCATAAGCTATGAAAAAACAGGCCATGCAGAGATAGGAGCTGAGGGGACATAGTGAGATATGACCAGAAGACAAGAGTGTGAGCCCTCTGTTGTGCCTGGACAGGACTTCTAAGTGGCTCCTTGGTCTAGCGGTACCACCAGCATCTGGGAAGATGCCCTTTTCTAAGTGGACCATGGTCTAGTGGTAGCATCAGTGCCAAGGAAAACCACCTGCTACTTAGCAGATTGGGAAAGGGAGTCTCCCTTTCCCTCGGGATGTTTAGATAAGACTCTACTCCTCCACCTCTTGTGGAATGCCTGACATCTGTTAGGCCTGCCCACAGTTATCCAGAGGTCTAACCATCTCCCTGTGATGCTGTGTTTCAGTGCTCATTCTCCTAGTCTGCTTTCATGTTCTACCCTGTACACCTGGCTCTGCCTTTTAGATAGCAGTAGCAAAATTAGTGAAAGTACTAAAATCTCTGATATGCAAATAATGGCTTAGGCTGTCCTCTCTCCCTGCCTCGGTTGCCAGGCAGGGAAGGGCTCCCTGTCCAGTGGACACGTGACCCACGTGACCTTACCTATCATTGGCAATGACTCACCCTCTTTACCCTGCCCCTTTTGCTTTGTATCCAATAAATAACAGCACAACCAGATATTTGGGGCCACTATCAGTCTCCGCGTCTTGTTTGTAGTGGTCAAACGGGCCCAGTTTTCTTTTATCTCTTTGTCTTGTGTCTTTATTTCTAGAATCTCTTATCTCCTCACAGAAGAAGAAAAGCTCACTGACCCTGTGGGGTTGGACCTTATGGGAGAAACCCAGTGGAAGTAATTAAATCATGGCAGCTGGTCTTTCCCATGCTGTTCTCATGGTAGTGAATAAGACTAAAGAGATCTGATGGTTTTGTAAAGGAGAGTTTCCCTTCACAAGTTCTCTTCTCTTCTCTGACACCATGTGAGATGTGCCTTTCTCCTTCTGCTGTGATTGTGAGGCCACCCCAGCCACTTGGAACTGTGAGTCCATTAAACCTCTTTTCAAAAAAAAAATTTAAAAATTTGATCATGTCATTTTCATGTTAGCTGGTTATTTTGCACATTATTTGGTGCAGTTTCTTCATAGTGTCAGTGGTCTTTATAAATTTGGTATGTTTTTGCAGTGGCTGGTATCAGGTTTTTCTTTCCCCTAGTGAAGCTTTTTATTTTTTCTAGAGATGGTCTTTCACGACATTGCCCACATGGTTTCAAACTTCTGACCTCAGGTATTCTGCCTGTCTCTGCCTCCCAAAGTGCTGGGATTACAGGTATGAGCCACCACACCTGGCCAATGTCACTTTTTAATGATTTTATTTCTTTCTCTTGCCTGATTGCTCTGGATAGGACTTCCAGTACTATGTTGAATAGGACTAGTGACAGAGCATCCATAACATTTTCTGGTTTTCAAGAATAATGCTTCCAGTTTTAGCCCATTTAGTATGATGTGTTGTCATAGATAGATCTCATTATATTGAAGTACATTCCTTCAATGCGTGGTAGTGCATGCCAGTTTGTTGATTTGAGGGTTTTTAACCCAAAGGGAGACTGGATGTTTTCAAAAGACTTTTCTGAGTTTATTGAGATGATCATGTGGTTTCTGGTTTTGGTTCTGTGTATGTATCCCACATTCTCTTTACTTATCCATCTTCTTAGGGTAATACTGTCCTTTGGAGATGAGTATTTCAATCATCTTTCTTTCTACTTTAAATATTTGTACTAGAGGATCTTCAAGCCATCTTCCTGAAGACATTGACTTATAATTCACTGAGAACATGAAACCTATTCAGAAGAAGGTTTGATCTCTAATTTATCCCTGAAAGAATTATCTGTATTTGGGCTTTGCCTGTTTCATATTTTAACAGATCAAATGTGCCTACTTTTATCAAAGACTTTCTTTACTATCTGGTCATGGATTTATTTCCTGGTAGACTTCTTCAATCTTCACTGCAGAAATGATATCATGTTCCTATTAACCATGAGTTTTTCTCTCTGTATGTCCCTAATGAGAAAACAAGCACACTCTCTTGACTCCAATATTAGAACACAGAAGTTTGTGCAGTTTGATTTCTTATGCTCAATACCATCTTGCTTTTCTTTGTCTTCACAGAGGAAACAATATATCAAGAAAACTGTCTGTGTGTACTAACTCAGCATTTCTACTCTCATTCTTTCCTTAACAATGTTGAGTCATTCTCTGTCCTTTTTCAGCTTATACTGTTTCATTGCATTAATTGAAACTTTCCACATATATCTGTCTGTTCTGGTACATTTATTTTATATAACATGAAAATAATCCATCTCTTTCTGGGTGGGTTTGTAGAATTCTCCATTAAATCCAACTCTTCTTGCTGTCATTTCTAAGGTTGCATCTCTGTATAATTAATTTTTGTATTCTGCCCATGTCTATTATTATAGTAGTTATTCCAATTCTTCTCAAATCTGACTTGATATTTCCTATTTCCCTAGAAAACAATTCACAAGGGAAATACCATTGTTGTTTATTCAGAATGATCCTTTGAATAAGGACCCTCTTCAGTATTCAATAATCAACCCTCTTAGAAGAGGCTCACTTAGCTGGGCATGGTTGCTCACAGCTGTAATTCCACCCTATGGGGGGCCGAAGCTGGTGGATTACCTGAGTTCAGAAATTTGAGACCATCATGACCAACATGTCGAAAACTCATCTCTACAAATAATACAAAAAAATTAGTCAGGCATGGTGGTGCACTACTGTAATCTCAGCTACTTAGGAGGCTGAGGCAAGAGAATTGTTTGAACTTGAGAGGCAGAGGTTGTGGTGAGCTGAGATCATGCCACTGCACTCCAGCCTGGGTGACAGAGTGAGACTCTGTCAAAAAAAAAAAAAAAAAAAGGTCCACTTAATGAGGAGGCATCAATTGTTCCACTTTACATTAAAAAAAAGTCCAGGAAGCTTGGCAGGACTTGGAGAATCAATTGTAGTCAATCCATGAAGGCAGTGAGTTCAGGCACCTCTGTGATATGTCCCAAATCCACCTAGCTGCCCACTCTCCACACCCTAGTCTCTACCATTTAGGCTATGCTCAGATGGACACCACTGGAGCAGAAAATTATGGTGACATACAAAGAGAGCAACCATAAATATTTACTGGGTGAAGGATGGAAGAAGCTTGGGAAGTGAATAATGTCAATCACATGACCTACAGCTGTGACACCTTTATGATAGCATCTGCAAATAGGAAATCCTGAGGTATTTTTATAGGAATAAACTATGTATTAAAAATTATATGGCACTACCTAGCATTTGATAAGCAAATGGTAATAAAGAGTATTACCTTTGAATATCCTTTGTAAGTTCTCTCCCTAAATGTTTCTATTTTGATTGTCCAGTAAAAAGCTCAGGATTTTCAATTATCTCAGTTGCTATCAATTTACCTAACCACTAGGCTTCCTTAAATGTGCCTTTCCAAGGTTCTTAGAACTAATATTTTAATTGTGTGATTATGATCCTCTTCATAAATAAATATGATTTTGGAGGGCATTGTTCATGTGTTCATCATTATAGTTATAAGCATGCTTATCTAATCCTACATGCCCATCCTGCAATATGGAAAGAAAGGGAATTCTTAACCTCTGGGGGGAACCCCCTTTAAATAACACAAGGAAATCATGGAGTTATTGCACGCAGTCTGAAAGCCCAAGGATGTGGCCATCTTACACTGCCAAAGCCACCAAAAAGGTGAAGTAGGAAAGGCAGAAGGGAACCATCCGGCAGATGATGAGGCCAAAATTGCTTCCAGTTGGAACCTCCCATTGGAAATACCTACAGAAGGACCCTTGATATGGAACAATCCTGTCCAAGAGATTAAGCCCCAGTATTCCACGAATGAAACAGAATGGAGACTTTCACAGGGGCATGGTTTTCTCCCCTCAGGGTGGTTAATGACAGAAGAGAGAAAGGTACGAATACTCAAAGCCAGCCAATGAAAAATACTAAGACCCTTCACCAAACTTTTCATATCCATATTGAGAACACTCATCAAATGGCCAAATCCCTATTTACAGGCCCAAATCTCCTCTGGACCATCCGACAAGTAGTAGTCATAGCCTCTGAGGTGTGACAAAGGAGTAATCCCTTGGTCTATCATAAGGCCCCTTTGGGGCAAAAAAGAATACATCACTATCCCAGAAAGAACTGAAAGTTAGACTTCACCCATTTGCCTATATCTAGGGGATTTCAATGCTTGCTGGTCTGTGTTGTTGCCTTTATAAATTGGATAGAAGCTTTCCCCTGCAAGACAGAGAAGGCTCAGGAAGTGGTTAAAGTCCTAATTCATTACATAATTCCTAGGTTTAGGCTTCACCAAAGCTTACAGAGTGAGAATGGCCCGGCTTCTAAAGCCACAATAACTCAGGGAATTTCCAGGACACTAGGGATAGAGTATCATCTTCACAGCACCTGGATGCCAAAACCCTCAGGGAAGGTGGAAAAGGCAAATGAAACACTCAAGAGGCACTTAAGGAAATGAATACAAGAAACTTTTCTCCCATGGGCTACTTTCTTGCCCATGGTCTTCTTGAGAATACAAAATACTCCTGACAAAATGAGGCTCAGTCCATATGAAATGCTATATGGACCATCTTTTCTCACAAAGACCTCCTGCTTGATCAGAAAATGGCCAACTTTGTCAAATATATAACTTCTTTGGCAAAATACCAACAAAATGTTGGAAACCTACCTGAAGGATGTCACAGAGAAAAGGGAATGGAGTTGTTTCAACTGCAACATCTAGTGTTGGTCAAATCTCTCCTGTCTACCTCCCCATTTATGGATTCTTTGTGGGAAGGACCATGCTCAGTAATCCTCTCTACCACCACTGCAGTTAAGGTAGCAGGAGTGAAATCCTAGATTCACCACACCTGAGTTAAACTTTGGACACTCCCTGAGTAATCTGTGGGACCAACAACTCGAGAGTCCCAAGATAAGCCAGACCAGCCTTGATACACCTGTGAGCCATTGGAGGACTTGCATCTCCTATTTTGGAAGAAAACATCACAGACCAAAAAGGCTCCTACAGCTGATCCTGAGGAAAAACCACTTCCTACTTTAAAAAATAAGTGAAAACCTGCATAATCTTTAACACCTCTCCTTGCCCCTTTAATGGAACCATTTTACTCTTTCATCACATTATTAAGAAGCATACTAACCATAATTTTTGCAATATGACTATATACTGTAGCTCCTGCCAGGACAAAAATCCTAATCACAACAACCTTTTTTCTATCATCCTTCCTTCTGACAGCAACTTACTCCTACGTTTAACTAAGACTGAGTAAAATAATCTCATCTTCCAGAGCACCCTCTTTACCTTCCTACTTACTCTTTGCCTATCTATTCTTCTTTCTTCCTTGCATACCCCATACAGCCGCCCCTCCCTTTTCACTAGCTTCTAATTACATCTACAAGACTCTCGTCTTAACTCTCTCCCTGCTAAATCAGTCCAATCCTTCCCTGGTAAATGACTGTTGGCTTTGCATTTCTCTATCAACCACTGCTTACGTTACCACTCCCGTTCCTGCAAAAAACTGGGTCTCTACTAACTTAACCTACCACCCTTGTTATGAAGGAAGATATCCTTTCTGACTTCTAAATATGCAATTATTAGCTGACTTTCCTATCTCTGATATATCCAAGAATATCTTAACAGGATGCACAATTCAGCTTCTACTTTCTTACATTTCTAACTTCACCTATTACACAAGCAATGAAAAGCCCATATATGCCTCTGTAAACACGAATACCATCTTAATTTTCCAAGTCCCTTTATGCACCCAATGCAACCTCTTATCAGGCCTGCCCCTGTGGCACCTACTTCCCCATTAGTGTAATTACAAGCTACAACTTCAAGCCCAACTGGTCATAGAAACTTCCAAGTCACCCAAAAAGCTCCATTCAAATGGCTTGTTCACTTCTCAGGACCTCCAAAAATCATTATCTCCTTTTTGCTTAACAAACAGTCTGGGTTTTGTAATGGCAGGCATACTCTCTGCATGACCATTCAACTGTGGACCACCTGCAGCAGTGTCCCCATGACTTATGATTGCCTTCTCATCCCCTCTTTCAATCACTCTCTCAAATGGTTCCTAGTAGATACAAAATGGTTTGTTCTCCAATGGGAAAATAGAACACAGGGAGCCACTCAGTTTGCTCCCAGCACTCCTTTCCAGCTGCTCACCATAGCTACCTTGGCAAGTAGTCTAGGAGTATGGGAAAATGAAAAAAACAAACTCACACACCTTTAAAACATACACAACCTGTCTACCCAGCCAAGGCATATTCTTCTTATGTGGAACTTCAACCTATATCTGCCTCCCCACCAACTAGACATGAACCTGCATCTTAGTCTTCCTAAGTCCCAGTGTTGACATTGCCCCAGGAAATCACACCCTATCAGTGATTTCACAGTGATGCACCTCAAAGCTCAAGTCCATCAGTGCAGGCCATACAATTAATACCCTTACTTACTAGGTTGGAAAGGGCGACTGTTAAAGGAGCCAGAATAGCCAGTTTATCTACTTCATTATCCTACTACCACACACTCTCAAAGGATTTCTCAGACAGTTTGCAAGAAATAACAAAATCTATCCTTACTCTACAATCCCAAATAGACTCTTTGGCAGCAGTGACCCTACAAAACTGCTAAGGCCTAGATCTCCTTACTGCTGAGAAAGGAGGACTTTGCACCTTCTTAGGTGAAGAGTGTTGTTTTTACACTAACCAGTCCAGGATAGTATGAGGCACCAACCAGCATTTACGGGAAAAGATTCTGAAATCAGACACATGCCTTTCAAACTCTTATACCAACCTCTGGAGTTGGGTGACATGACTTATCCCCTTTCTAGGTCCCGTGACAGCCATCCTGCTATTAATCACCTTTGGGCCCTCTATTTTTAACCTCCTTGTCAAATTTGCTTCCTCTAGGATTGAGGCCATCAAGCTACAGATGGTCTTACCAGTGAAACCCCGAATGATCTTAACTAAAAAATTCTGCCAAGGGCCCCTGGACCAAACCACTGGTCCTTTGATTGGCCTACAGAGTTCCCCTCTGGAGGACACTAAAACTGCAGGGCCCCTTCTCTGCCCCTGTCCAGCAGGAAATAGCTAGAGTGGTCATCACCCTATTCTCAACAGCAGTTGGGGTGTCCCATTTAGAGGGGGGATTGAGAGGTGAAGCTGGATGGACTTCTTGGGTCGATGGAGAACCAAGAGAACTTTTCTTTCCTACAAGGAGATTGTAAAATGAAGCAATTGATGCTCTGTAGCTAGCAAGAGGTTTGTAAAATTCACCAGTCAGTGATCTGCAAAAATGCACCAATCAGCACTCTTTGGCTAGCTAGAGGTTTATAAAATGGACCAATTGGCGCTCTGTAAAATGGGCCAATCAGCAGGACATGAGTGGGGACAAATAAAAGAATAAAAGCTGGCAACCCCAGCCAGCAGCATAAACCTGCTTGGTTCCAGTTCCACACTGTGGAAGCCTTTGTTCTTTCACTCTTCACAATAAATCTTGCTGCTGCTAACTCTTTGGGTCTATGCCACCACTAAGAGCTATAATACTCACTGTGAAGTTCTGTGGCTTCATTCTTGAAGTCAGCAATACCACAGACCCACTGGAAGGAACCAACTCCAGACACAAGGAGATCAAGACCATCCTGGCTAACACAGTAAAACCTTATCTCTATTGATAATACTAAAAATTATCTGGGCATGGTGGTGGGTGCCTGTAGTCCCAGCTACTTGGAGGAATAAGGCAGGAGTATGACATGCACCCAGAAGGCAGAGCTTTCAGTGAGCCAAGATCACACCACTGTGCTCCAACCTGGGCCACAGAGTGAGACTCCACCCCACAACTCCCCACAAAAAAATGGGAAAAGCTCCTGCTTTCTGGTATTTCTGTGTCCTAAATCCAGATGACAATAGCTTGCTCATTTTTACTTAATGCTCAGCATAATTAATACAATTATAGCAAGTTGGCTATAATTGGCTAAATCCATACATATTGATGAATGATTAAAACTGTTACATAAAAAATAGTGAACAGGACAATTATTTTCACTAACACATCGTATGATTTTGGAACAGTATACAAATGCTCTCTTTACAAATATAGAAGATCCAGATAAACATGAAGAACTGAAAGAAGTTAAAAAACTGTGCCATAATGAATACTAGCAATATCCCTGGTTTAAGTTGACTCTATTTGCTAAAAAGGTAATGTATGGAAGTAATTCCTTCTCAATAGTTACAGTAATCTGATGACCTTTCTTAATAATAAACTAAGGCCAGGCACAGTGTCTCACATCTGTAATCTCACCACTTTGGGAGGCCAAGGGGGGTGAATCACGAGGTCAGGAAATCGAGACCATCCTGGCTAACACAGTGAAACCCCATCTCAACAAAAAATACAAAAAAAAAAAAAAAAAAAGAATTAGCCAGGAGTGGTGGTGGGCACCTGTAGTCCCAGCTACTTGGGAGGCTGAGGCAGGAGAATGGTGTGAACCCGGGAGCTGGAGCTCGCAGTGAGCCAAGATCCCCCCACTGCGCTCCAGCCTGTGTGACAGAGTGAGACTCCATCTCAAAAATAAATAAATGAATAAACAAATAATAAACTAAAAACTGTTGATCTTAAGGAAGGGTAATTAACGTTTGTTCTATCTGGTGCTAACATAAATTTCTGGGATCTGTGATTTCTTGCCAGTGTAAATTACTCAAAAATGAACTAGTGATCCACATGGACCTAACAAGAAGTTGAACTTAGCCATCATTGAGAAATTATTTTAGACACAATTTAAATAATAAGAGGCAAGTTGCTCAAATGCAAAATGAATGGTTAGTTTGTTCAGTGCAATTTGAAATCCTTTTGAAATGCCAAATAGCCCTTTTAAAAATAAGCATTTACTTGTAAGTAGTTAAGTTGCTGTTAGAGTTTGGGTTTTTTTGGTTTTTGTTTTTATTTTTTGTTTTTGGATTACTGTGCTGAGAAAACAGTTGCACATGAATTCATTAAAGCATTTGGATGCTTTGCTGCCCAAAGCTTAAAGTCTGAGTATCTAGTGGTGTGTCTTCATTGAGTAAAGGTTACTTCAAGGCTTCTATCTTCAACAGTAAATAGCAGCTTACTCTTTTAGGCATATGAACATTACATTTTATTAATATTTTAAGAACAGAGTAACACAATTCAATTATCACTCCCTCCTTCCATTCTTCAAAGATTTTTATTTTGATTATAAAGTGAAGACATTTATTAAGTTGCCCAATGATGATACAGTACTCACCCCGATCTTGTGTGATGATATTGCTATCTTCCACTTATATCCACAGAGTTAGAAATTGGCTAATAAAATATCAGTGGACATTCTGGTATCTCAAACACAAAAACCCTGTCAGCCATTATTTATATGGTATTTCTATTTCAAAGGCATTATTATTTTAAATTCAAAATATTAATAATTACATATATGTATATTTTATATTATTTTATATACAATATTGTATACATATATTATCAAATTATTTAACATCATTCAGTCTTTTCAACTTTCAGGAGTTTGCTTTAACTACCTGTGATTAATACAATGTAAAAATACAATAACCTCAATTATTATTTACAAAGTGCGTAAGACTTTTTCTGGACATAGTAAGAACCATATAGTTCTTAACGGGAAATCTATGTTCACAGTAATTTTTTAACTCTCTGATGCACACACATCATAGAAGTATAGCTCTGAGATGTCCCTTTCCATTAAACCAAATGACCAAGCTTTATGGCATAGGATAAATGTGAGATGCATGATGGTAGCAACTGCTTAGTAAGGAGACATAGGTAATGTTTGGAGAAGACAACAAGGGACATTTCCTAACACTGGTGTGAAATAAATTTGATGGTCAGAAGATAGAAACAGACAGAGAAGAGAGAGATGGCAATGGAGATGGGTGGACACCATGCTGATAGGGGATACTCTTGGTTGGCAATTTTGGAAAGAACTTACAAGAGCTGAGAGTTCACTCTCCACATACCATGCTACATCTCCCTCTCTCCCTCCCACTCTCTATTCCTCCCTCTCTCTCTTCCTTCCTTGCTTCCATTCTCTTTATCTTTCCCTTTTTTGTTCTCCTTCCTTTCTCCCCTCCCTGCCTTTCTTCCTTGCCTTCTTTCTTCTTTCCTCCTTTCCCTTTTCTCTCTTTCTTTGTTCCCCTGCCTCCCCTCCTCCTTCCCTCCATTCCCATTTTTGAGACAGAGTCTTGCATTGCTGCTCAAGCTGGAGTAGACTGGTGCTGTGATGTCTCACTGAACAGCTTCAACCTCCTGAGCTCAAGTTGCTGGGACTACAGGTGTGTACCACCACGCCTGGCTAATTTATCAAATTTTTGGTAGAGACAAGTTCTTGCTTTGTTGCCTAGGCTAGTCCCCAACTCCTGAGCCCTAGTGATTCTCCTGCCTGAGTTTGCAAAATGCTGAGGTAACAGGCATGATCCATGGTGCCTGACACTGCTTCACTTCTCTCTGTTTCTCTCTATCTTTTTCTCTCTCAACTGCCTGTCTTTTCTCTGTTTTCATCACTCAAAACCATGTAAAATTTCTTCCATTTCCATTGTGAAGTCTTTCAGCAGGGGTGCATTTCCTGTTTATCTTTGTATACATTGTTTCTCTTTCTTATGTTTTAAACACTTTCACATATTTCATATGTGCTTCTTTTATTAAGCTGGAAATTTAAATAATCTCTACAAGTCAGTGTTTTCAAACCATTAGATATGACAACTGACTGACTGGCTATTGTGCCACCTCCTCTGGCTTACTGTCCATTCAGTACTGAACACTGTACGTGGACTTTTTCACAACTGGGTGGTAATGAGTCTGATTATCTATCCATTTCATAATGTGGTCATTTAAGAACTGGAAATAAAAAAGTAAACAAATAAACTTGGCTGCCTGAAAAAATAGTTTAGCCTATGTGTATCCTTTTTTAAAAGTGATTCATGGGAAATCATAATGCACAGTTACTATTCTCAACAAATTTATGTTTCTCAAACCCCTACTCATTCAAAACATACTTTAGGGGAATTTTTTTTTCTTTCTGAAAACTAGCTGAGTTTTTTATGGATTGTGTTCTATTATCAGTATCTATCTATCTATCTGTCTATCTATCTATCTATCTATCTATCTATCTATTGTCTATCATTGTCTACCATTCACTTTCTTTCTATTATCTGTCATCTGTCTTTATCTATCATCCCTCATCTACCCAACATCCATCTATCTACTTTCATCATCTCTCAACTTTCTTTCTTTCCTTCCTCCTTTCTTTCTTTCTTTCTTTCTTTCTTTCTTTCTTTCTTTCTTTCTTTCTTTCTTTCTTTCTGTCTTTCCTTTCTTTCTTTCCTTCTTTCTCTCTCTCTTTCTTTACAATCTATCTATATCTGTCTATTCATCTAACATCTTTGTCATCTACCTAATATTTATCTATATCATTCTAATTATGTCTCTTCTAACTATATAACTATGTATTATCTATCAATCTTCTACCTATCATCTTTCTAGCTAGCTATCATCTATCTATCTATCTATCTATCTATCTATCTATCTATCTATCTATCTATCATCTATCATCTTCTATTGTTTGGTTGAGTTAAGAACTGATCATGAATAAATACATTTCATTGGTGATCTCTACTTACAGCCATGAAATAACAGCGTGCTGTAAGTCAGTAAGCCACCCTCTTTGGGAGTTGTTCCACACTCAAAGCTTTTGGATGCAAAAAGGCAAGTTAATTATATTAGCATTTTTCAAGCTTTCCATCTCCTCTAACTGGTGTTTCCAAAAGCTGAATCTGAATAGATTAATCATCATTTCTCATTTGGGCTAATTAGTGCATATAATTAATTAATATTCTTACTTTCTAAATGCTATGAGTTTTTCACCGTCCCTCCCATGTATTATAACACCTGATTGTCATAACCACATTTTAAATTGAGATGAGCAATATCAATGAAAATAATATTTTACACATCACTGTGTCTGATGTGCCTTCTCCAAAATTCTGATCAAAATGCCTGCAAAAATACAAGTGAAAAATCCAAATAACTACAAAATGTAACCATTATTTATGTGTGAAAATTGAGAGATAAATATAAAGCATATATGTATCCTATTAAAAGGTATGTGAAGGATATCTATTTTGTAGTCAGATATGTATGTAAAAACATTGAATGTACAGATGTCAGAGAAAACTCAGTGTGAAACAGAGAGAATATAAATTTCTCTTCAAAACCTTTTAATGGATACATCATAGTTGTACATATTTATAGGATACTTGTGATAATTGATAGAAGCATACAAGGTATAATGACCAAATCTAGGTAAGTGTGATATCAATTACCACCAACATTTATCATTAGTGTGTGTTGCGAACATTTCAAATATACTCTTCTTTCAATTTTGAAATAGACAATAAATGATTAATTATATTCATCATATTGTGCTACCAAGCACCAGATTTTATTCCTTCTACTTAACAGTATTTTTGTACCGTATTAACCAATCCATTTTTCTTCTGTCTCCTCACTACCCTCTTCAGCCACTGGTGACCACTATTCTACTCTCCACCTCCATGAGATCCACTTTTGTAGCTTCCACATATAAGTTAGAACATGAAGAATGTGTGTATCTGTGCCTGGATTATTTTACTTAACATAATGTTCTCTGGTTCCATTCATGTTGTTGCAAATGACAGAATGTCCTTTTTTCAAAGGTGGAATAGTAATCCATTGTGAATATACACTACATTTTATTTATCCATTCATCCACTGAGAGACACTGAGGTTGATTTTGCATCTTAGCTATTGGGAATAGTGCAGAAATATGAGTATAAATAAATTAACCATCATTTCTTAATCTGGCTAATTAGTGCATATGATTAATGATTCATATTCATAGTTTCCAAATGCTATGAGTTTTCCCCAATTTATCACCTGTATTATAACACTTTATTATCACAACCACATTTTCATATTGCGATCGACAATATCAATGAAAATAATATTTCACACATCACTGTCTTTGATATATGCTGCATCATAAGCAGGGGGTGCAGGTATCCCTTTGATATATTGCTTTTCTTTCTTTTGGATAAATATCCAGTGGGTGGATTCCTGGATCATATGGTAGCTCTATTGTTAGTGTTTGGAGGAAGCTCTGTACTGATTTCCATGGAGGCTGTACTAGGGATGCCAAGGAGAAAGGATGAGTGGTTGTTTCCTCTCAAGACTACATAAGTGAATCAATGACTTGGTGATGAGTGATGTATGGTTTCAGAAGGCCAATAATCTTATTTGGAGACCACTATGGTCATAGAACAATTTCTGTTAACTGAGTGCAATAAGGAATATCTTTGAATGGTTATAAAATATACTATCTGACATACTTTGCATCAACCACTCATGAGGTTGGATAATGGGTCTCGCTCAGTTTAGGGATTTGTTATAGACTTAAAGACTTGCAGTGGACACTTTAATACTCTCAGCAGAGGCTCCTCCTGCACCTACATGGCACGATCCTTCCCTTCTCCCCAGGCCTTTCAATTCAATGCCTGTGAGGGTTGTTTAAGAACACTCTCCTAGCTGGGACTGGTGGCTCACACCTGTTGTCCCAGCACTTTGGGAGGCCAAAACAGGTGGATCAACTGAGGTCAGGAATTTGAGACCAGCCTGGCCAACATGGCAAAACCCAATCTCTATTTAAAAATATGAAAAGTAGATGTATTTCTTATATTATATTAGTTGTATTTCTTATATTATTAGGTGTGGTGGTGTGCCTGCACCTCACCTACTTGGGAAGCTGAGGCAGGAGAATCATTTCAACCTCTGAGGTTGAGAGATAGTGCCACTGCACACTAACCTGGGCAACAGAGCAAGACCTTGTCTCAAAAAAAAAAAAAAATCATTCTCCCCATCAAAATTTCTGCGGACAAGTGTCTTCTGAAACTTGATTTCCCAGGGAACCCTAAGATCAATGTAATGTAGATAATTTTATGATTTTTAAATGTGTTTATATATATATATATATATATATATATATATATATATATATATATATATATATAAAATTTTTTTTGAGATGAAGTCTCACTCTGTCACCCATGCGGTAGTGCTGTGGTGGGATCTCAGTTCATTGCAAGCTCCACCTCCTTGGTTCATGCCATTCTTCTGCCTCAGTCTCCCAAGTAGCTGGAACTGCAGGTGCCCACCACCACACGTGGATAATTTTTTTGCATTTTTAGTAGAAATGGGGTTTCACCATGTTAGCCAGGATGGTCTCAATCTCCTGACCTTGTGATCTGCCCACCTCGGCCTCACAAAGTGCTGTGATTACAGGGGTGAGTCACTGCACCCGGTCATATTTTTATATAATTCTTTACGCTGATAGTACTAGTCAGCTTGGGTTGCCATTACAAAGTTCCACAGACCAGGCTGCTTGAATAACAGACATTTATTTTTCTTGAATCCTAAGACCGGTCTAGTGTAAATAACTTTATGATTTTAAAATGCATTTTATTTTCATATAATTATTTATGCTCACAGTACTAGTCAGCTTGGGCTTCCATAACAAAATCCCACAGACTGGGCTCCTTGAACAACAGACATTTATTTTCCCACAGTCCTGGAGGCGGGAAGGTCAAGATCTAGGTGTGGGCAAGGCTAGTTCCTTCTCAGGCCTCTCTCTTTGGCAGGTAGAGACCATCTTCTCTCTGTGACTTTGTATGATCATCCATCTGTGCATGGTGTCTGTGTCCTAATCTCCTCTTTTTTTAAATTTTTATTTGTTGATACAGGATCTTACTCTGTCCCCCAACCTGTAGTGCAGTGACATGATCATGGCTGACTATAGTCTTTGCCTCATGAGCTCCGGTGATCCTCCCACATTAGCCACCCTAGTAGCTGGGACTACAGATATGCATCACTATGTCCAGCTAATTTTTTTGTTTTTTGTATTTTGTGTAGAGACAGGTTTCACCATGTTGTCCAGGCTGGTTTCGAACTCCTGGACTCAAGCAACTCAGCCTCCTCAGCCTCCCCAAAAGCTGGAATTACAGGCATGAGATACTATGCCTGGCCAATCTCCTTTTCTTAAAAGGACAGCAGTTCTATTGGATCAAGTTCCACCCTAGTGACCTTATTTTACCCTAATCACCTTTTCAAAGACACTATTTACAAATATGGCCACATTAGAAGGTCTTAGGGGTTATGACTTCAATATACACATTTTTTTTTTCTGGAAACACAATTCATTCCATAGCACCTAACAGTGACTAAAATGTCTTTTTGAATTTCCAGTTTTCCTACCATATTTTAAGACACTGGGTCCTTCATCTGGAAAAAACAAATTAAAAAGAGCATTGAAATGAGATTTCAAAGTAAGACTTTAAGAAAATAATGCAACTTATACATTTACTATCAATTATCTTCTATATTATATATGTTTATATAATATTTTCACAGATATATGTACACAAATTAGTGTAGATAGACTAAATATACAGATGTTCATTGTTTCATTTCAGTATCTCATCTGCATTTCAAAAAATACATTCATCCAAATGTGCATATTATATGAATTCCAGAATGCATATTTTCACTTACTCACTACTGAGAAGTTGTAAAATAATTTGCAGTTTAATGACATTTGCGTGAAAGACTCCAAACATATGTTGTTTACATTGGACAGGGAAGAAAGAAAATTCATCAGCTTTAATCTCATTTGAACCTAATTGACTTAAACTGTAAGTTTACTAAATTTAATATAAATGGTTCTGAAAATGTTTTCAGGTCTTCATAGATGGTACTAGAAGCGACAAGAAAAGATCAACATTTTTAAACTAAATAGGTCTGGGAAGGATTATTTCAAGATATGACATGCTACTGACTCTCAAATTTCCAGAATTGTCCTTGTAAAGATAAGAACTCTTCATGGATTGGATAGGATGCATAAGATTTTCTTAGCAAATATTTCAGTGAGAACTTTGTTTTCCTCCATGCTGCACATTCTTTTTGTTCAGTTTTATTTAATTTTGAGGCAGGCTCTCATTCTGCCTCCCAGGTTGAAATGCAATGGAGTGATACTGGCTTACTGCAGCCTCGACTTCCTGTGCTCAATCAATCCTACTGCCTCAGCCCCTACAGTAGTCGGGACTACAGGCATGTTCAATCACACCAGGATATATGTGTGTATATATATATCACTCTCAAAATATATATATAAATATATATTTATAATATATAAATATAAATTTATAATATTATATATATTATATAATATAAATTTAAATATGTATATTTATATATAATATATTTAAATATTTATTAAATATTTTTAAAAAATTTTAAAATATTAAATATATTTATATTTAATTATAAACATAATTATAAACATATATAAATTTATAATATATAAAATATATATTTATATATGTATGTGTATGTGTGTGTGTGTATATATATATACACACACACACACACACATATATATATATATATATATATATATATATACACACACATATATATATATGGCAGAGACAGGGTCTCTCTATGTTTCCCTGTTAAATGCTGCATGTTCTGCACATTCTCTTTAACAGTCTTACATTGTGGCTTTTCTTTCTGGCTGAAAATGTATCAGTTTCCCCAGATGCTGACTCTAATATCCTTACATGCATTTTCAGTTTGTGCAATGGCACATCTTTGCAAAACTAGTGTTACTATCAAAAAGACAAGAGACAACAAATGATGATGATGTGGAGAAAACGGAACACTTGTGCACTGTTGGTGAGAATGTAGATTGGTGCAGCAACTATGGAAAATAGGCAAGAATGCAGATTGGTGCAGCCATTACGGAAAACAGTATGGAGGTTGCTAAAGAAATTAAAAGTAGAATGACCATATGATAAGCAATCCATATTCTTGGTATACAGTCAAAGGAGATGAAATTATCTTGTAAAGATATCTGTATTCCTATGTTCACTGCAAAATTATTCACAAGAGCCAAAATCTGCAACCTATCTTTCTATTTTTGATATATCTCCCTTTTCTATCTCCCTAATCTATTTCTTCTATTTATCTATCTATCCTCTATCTCCCTACCTATCTCTATTTGTCTATCAATCTATCAATGTATCTATCTATCTTATCACCTATCTCTCTACCTGTTTTCTATCTGTCTAATCGTCTATTTATATCTTTCTACCTATCATCTGTCTAACTATCTATTATCTATCTATAATCTATCTGTTTATCTAGTTTATCTAGCTACCCTATCTATTTATGTATCAACTATGTGTCTACCTATTTATCCATCTACCTTATCTATCATCTATCTACCTAGCTTATCTATCTACATCTATCAACATACCTACCTATCTACATTTCTAATCTATGTATCCATCTAATCTATTTATCTGTCTGATACCTATAGTGTTTATCTCTCTTCTATCTACCTATCTCTCTCTATCTGTCGTCTATCTCTCTCCATCCTTCATCTATCTCTCTATGTACCTGATCTATCTATTTGAAACTATCTGTGCATCTGTTGATCTATATTGGAATATTATTCAGCATTATAAAAGGAGGCAATCTTCCCATTTGCCATAGCATGAATGGATGAATATGCTAAGGGAAATGAACCAGATGCAAAAAGAAAATATTGCATGACCTCACTCCTATATATAATCTAAAAGAAATAACCAATCAATCAAAAAATAGGGAAACATACAGAAATAGGGAATAAAGCCGTGGATATCAAGGGCAAGGCTCTAGAAGGAACTGTGGAGATTTAGCTCAAAGGTTACAAAGAATCAGATATGTCAAATTAATAAGCCTAGATATGTAATGTACATCATGAGGTCTACAGTTAATAAAATTGCATTTCATTAGATATTTTGTCAAACAAGTAGATTTTAGTTGATCCTGTCACTTAACTGTAACTGTGTAAGATGATAGGTATGTTAGTTTGCTTCACTATAGTAACCAACTTACTATCTATAGGTATCCCAAAACCTCATTATGTGAACCTTAAATATACAAAATAAAATCTATTTAAAATGGAATAGTATTTTTAAAAAACCCCAAAGGCACTGAATATAAGGATCTAAGAGGGTTGAAATGATACAGACAGACACAAGAAGAGCAATAATGTTCTGTGGGTAGCTGTGGAATGTGTGTGTTTCCTCTTCCAGGATTGTGTTTCACACATGCTTGGGGGATCCTTCTCTGTACCTGCACTGTTCTGATTTTCAAATATTTCCCCCTTAACAGGAACCACATATATTTCCTTTAGAGTCATGCATTGAAACAATGTTTCCTGGACAGTCACACTATGTTCACAGCTATAATCCCAGCAGGAGGCTTAGGAGGGAGCATCATTTGAGGCCAGGAGTTCACGACTAACCTGGTCGACATAGCAAGACCCCATAGCTGCAAAAAATAAAAAAGAAACGATGCTTCCTGTATTTTTCATCTGGGTAGACAGGAAAGACAACTAAGAGGAAGGATGTTGATGTTTAACCATATTCTCTGACATGCAGGGCATTAAGGTGGCATGAAATCCATCTTGCCCACCAGAATTAATGTTTTTTATTTTATTGTAAATGCAGAGCATGTCCAATTGTCCATAATTAGCCAAAAGAGGAACCAATGCTAAGTACCACTTTTTCAGTACGCTACTAAGAAAAAATCTAATATATGTAACATGAATTATCCAATTTGTACTTTTTCAGTGCTAAAATTGATCAACTACAGACCACTTACATTATACTTGCTTTGTAAGGAAAAAAAAATAGATTTTTATTGAAGACTACTAAACATGCATAGTTCCTCTGATGAAGCTGAATTTCTATACCTGAAATTAGTCTAATCAAAGAAATATCATCTTGGTATAGCAAATACAAGTGACTTGTCTCCTAATTTCACACATCATCATCTCCCTGTTTGCTAGTGATATGAAATTAAGCTAAGAAATCTGAATGAATTCATGTCAGTATAAATATTAACAATGTATTTTTCTTCAGAAATACATTTCATAAATATCTATTTCTTTGTGTTGAACTATCTAAAGATATTTTAATTTTGTTATGAATATCTTACTTTTGTATCTACTGTAATTGACACATCTTGTATACCCAATAAATAGATAATTATTCATGAAAAAATATGGAGTGCAATGTTGTGGAGGAATAAAAAAGAAAGAATATAGGGCCAAGAATGGTGGCTCATGCCTGTAATCCCAGCACTTTGGGAAGCAGAGGTGGGTGGGTCACCTGAGGTCAGGAGTTTGAGACCGGCCTGACCAGCATGGAGAAACCCCGTCTCTGCTAAAAATACAAATCAACCTGGTGTAGTGGTGCATGCCTGTAATCCCAGCTACCCAAGAGGCTGAGGCAAGGGAATTGCTTGAACCTGGGAGTCAGAGGGTGCGGTGAGCCAAGATCGTGCCATTTCATTCCAGCCTGGGCAACAAGGGTGAAACTCCGTCTCAAAAAAAAAAAAAAAAAAAAAAAAAAAAAAGGGGAAAGAATGTAAACCTAATAAGCAACCACATTTTGGAGCCAAATTTCTAAATATGATTCAGTTTTACATCTATAAGCTTTACTGTACACCCAAATGAGAAATCTATATTTTTGTCTTGTGAGTCAAATGTAGAATCAAAATAACTGAACTGGGGGGTATTTATCATTTTTACATTCAGAAAGTATAGTAATTCATCTTCTAATGAATTTTATGATGTACATCAGATAGATCAATGACTTAGCTCTTTGAATCAGCCAGGCACAGTGGCTTACACCAGTAATCCCAGTACTTTGGGAAGCCAAAGCAGTAGGATCACTTGAGGCCAGGAGTGTGAGACCAGCCTGGACAACGTAATGAGACCCTGTCTCTACTGAAAATTAAAAAAGCAAAATTAGCTCTGTATAGTGACACATTCCTGTAGTCTCAGCTACTTCGGAGTCTGTGGCAGCAGAATCACTTGAGTCTAAGAATTAGACTCTTTGTCAATGAGAAACAAACAATTCCTACTTCTTGGTCACTGAGAAACAACCTTAGAATGTTACTGAATATATAATTTTGGTTTGCTGAAATAACTTTGGTTCCCAGGAACTTTTTAAGACACAAAAACATAAATCTAAGTGCTCACAGGTATTATCTACAGGTTCTTTTCAGGAAAGTACCTCCCAAGGATATTGAAGGATATGCCATTAAAATACTTCCTAAAACTAAACATTTAAGTTAAATATATTTTCATTCAAAGATGTCTTTTCTTGAACTATTAAATATATGAAACAGTGTTTGTTTCTATGATTATGTTCATGGATAAATAAATATTTTTAAACCCTACCATATGCAACTTTATTTTATTACAGGATATGTATATGCAACTGAATCACTATAATTTCTTTTTTATTTTTAAAATGATTGAGATAGGGTCTTACAATGTTGCCCAGGCTTGTCTCAAACTCCTGGGCTCAAGCAATCTGCCTGTCTCATTCTTCCAAAATGCTGAAATTGTAAGCATAAGCCGCTGCACCTAGCCAGGTATTTTAAGTTACTTAAAATTTATTGAAGTGCATGTATGAAAAACTATACATTATTATTATTATTATTATACTGTAAGTTTTAGAGTACATATGCACAATGTGCAGGTTAGTTACATATGCATACATGTGCCATGCTGGTGTGCTGCACCCATTAACTCGTCATTTAGCATTAGGTATATCTCCTAATGCTATCCCTCCCCCCTCCCCCAACCCACAACAGTCCCCAGAGTGTGATGTTCCCCTTCCTGTGTCCATGTGTTCTCATTGTTCAATTCCTACCTATGAGTGAGAACATGTGGTGTTGGGTTTTTTGTTCTTGTGATAGTTTACTGAGAATGATGATTTCCAATTTCATCCATGTCCCTACAAAGGACATTAACTCATCATTTTTTATGGCTGCGTAGTATTCCATGGTATATATGTGCCACATTTCTTTAATCCAGTCTATCATTGTTGGACATTTGGGTTGGTTCCAAGTCTTTGCTATTGTTAATAGTGCCACAATAAACATACGTGTACATGTGTCTTTATAGCAACATGATTTATAGTCCTTTGGGTATATACCCAGTAATGGGATGGCTGAGTCAAATGGTATTTCTAGTTCTAGTTCCCTGAGGAATTGCCACACTGACTTCCAAAATGGTTGAACTAGTGTACAGTCCCACCAACAGTGTCAAAGTGTTCCTATTTCTCCACATCCTCTCCAGCACCTGTTGTTTCTTTACTTTTTAATGATTGCCATTCTAACTGGTGTGAGATGGTATCTCATTGTGGTTTTGATTTGCATTTCTCTGATGGCCAGTGATGATGAGCATTTTTTCATGTGTCTTTTGGCTGCATAAATGTCTTCTTTTGAGAAGTGTCTACACCTTATACAAAAATTAATTCAAGATGGATTAAAGACTTAATCGTTAGACCTAAAACCATAAAAACCCTAGAAGAAAACCTAGGCATTTCCTTTCAGGACATAGGCATGGGTAAGGACTTCATGTCTAAAACACCAAAAGCAATGGCAACAAAATCCAAAATTGACAAATGGGATCTAATTAAACTAAAGAGCTTCTTCACAGCAAAAGAAACTACCATCAGAGTGAGCAGGCAACCTTCAAAATGGGAGAAAATTTTCGCAACCTACTCATCTGACAAAGGACTAATATCCAGAATCTACAATGAACTCAAACAAATTTACAAGACAAAAACAAACAACCCCATCAAAAGTATACATTATTTACAGAGAAACCACATGATTATGCAACACTCTTTAAAAATATCATTTGAGCCGTATATGCTTTTTGAATGATTGTACATAACAGTAATAATTTTGTTTAAATCTTTATGAATATTTAAGTAATGGTAAAAAGAAAAAATACCTTAAATGTTAATTTTTGTTTTCATAATTTTAGTAGATAACGCTGTGTAAACTGATATGCACAGTGTGATTCTTCATTGTTCAGCAATAAAAAATCTTTATCCTTTCGACAGAAATATATCTTATAAAGTATTGCATATGTAATATAATTAATTGCATATATATACACAGACATACACACAGCTGTATATAATTTATTCTTTTAATATTTTCAATGTACTTATGACATACAGAAATGTTGGAGGAAGTTATTGTAACATTTTCTCAATATTTTACCCAAATAAAGTGAGAAAAAATTAGAGAATATTTAAATAGAAGAGTAAGTATTTACTTAATCATTTAATAAGGCAATATTCAAACATCATCTAAAAGCTAATTTCCCAGCAAACTTCATTTTTTACTCCAGGATGATAGGTTTATTCAGACCCTAGTGTTTTAGTGGAAATTATGACCTTTGAAAATGGGTAGATCTCAGCTCAAAAATGGACATACTTATTAGATACGTGGAGTTGGCAATTGCCTAGCAATCTATGAACTTTATTTTTCTGACTTCTAAACTAAATATCTCTATTGGCCAGATGTATTACACAATAAAAGGAATTGCAATACTAAATTGAGAAGAAAATTTTTATTTTTAAGAAATTCAAAATTGATATGATACATATCGTTCTTTGGAGAGACAGAGAGACATCTATGAAAGCAATCTTAGTATGTTTCAGTGTTTCCATTTGGTTCAAAATTAATTGAGGAATTGCCATTGAAAGTAATAAAAGTAATTGAAGGTGATAGAAGTTTTTAACATATATGTAAGTTCTTTTTTATTTACAAGTTTGAAAAATAATTATCTTTTTAAATGACTCTGATAACAAAAGGTCATTCAAAATTAGACTCCAGAAAGAAAGAAGAAAGGTAAATACTAACATTTGAAATGTCAGGTATCTAGTTTTCTCTTTCTATTTCTGTGTTGTTTTTTTTTTCTTTAATTGGACCTTAAAAGAGATTGTCTTGAGATAATTAATAACAAAACAAAAGCAACAAAAAAGGGGCCTTTTCAGGTTCTTTGATTCTAGATATTGAAGATATCTGTCTTCTTGTTTGGTGCTCAAAGGATTATAGGGTTGTGAAGTTTTTATGAATTTATCAGTTGAATTGGACATTGAATTGCATTCTCCAAAGGCCAAACACATAAATAACATGTAGCAGAAGGAGTTATTTATGTGGAACATGAACTTTGACAGAGCCACATACATAAATAACGTGTATCAGAGGTAGTTATTTATGTGGGAGATGAACTTTGACAGAGTCCCACTTGCACTTTAACTAAACAAGCAGTTAATGAGTGGGAAAAAAAAAGTAAAGCTGAAAGGAAACATGCCAATAGACAGTGGAACACTTTTAACTGCAGTGTTTTGTAATTAAATGTCTGGTTGGTTGGAGTAGAGAGCTTACATTTCTGGGAGGTTGACCGTAGCATGGGTTGATGAGTCTTACACCAGAAAATATTTATTTGAAAGGTTAGGAAGAAAAAAATAATTCCCCAGACATGCAAAGGCTACCTTTTAGCAAATTAGTGTCTAAAACACAAGTGGTTCACAGTTCATAAATGTGAAGACAGTACTGTGGATAGATTTATAGATAATTAATTATGGTGTTATCTATTTCTACTGCTTTTTCAAAGGAGTTTCTAAACCACAAAAACATTGGTTTTGCTTATTGTTTGGCCCAGATCCAAGGTCATTTTCTTTATGAAGGTTTTTCCTAAGACCCTGAGAAGCACAGATCATATATAAACATCTACAAAATTACCTGTAAATTGTTTATTCTGTAGGATATTTTACCAGTGAGATGGTAAAAAAAAGATTTGTAGGTCCTATAGTAGCTTGTCTAGAAAAACAAGAGAAAATGGGGAGATATTTATGAAAATATGCAAAATTTCAGGAATGCAGAATGATGAAGTTCTGAAGATCCAATCTATAGCATAGTAACTATAGTTAAAAATGTATACTCAAAATTTGCTAACAGAGAATATATTAAGTGCTCTCATCCCCTTTTTCTCACACACACAGATACACACAGGTAATTATGTCAGGTGGTAGCTGCATTTTCCTTGATCATGGTAAGCATTTCATATTTCACAGTGTATAGGCATATCAAAATATCACGTTGTTCACATTACCTACATACAATTTTTATGTGTGCATTATACTTCAATAAAACTGTAGGGAAATAAAAAAATATGATATTTTTTCAAACATAATTTTGTGAGTACTAACAAATAATTTTAATAAATGTGTGGAGTCTGCTGACTGCAAAATATAAATATTTAGTTGGAAAAATAAAATTTTTATGACTTAAATGACAACTGTTCTGAGGTTTTTACCAACATTAATATAATTATCTGAAGATGCAACTATGACTTAAAAAACCTAAGTCTTTTTATTTCCAGCATAAAATGATTGTCAAAATAGTTTTACATATTTTAGAATTTTTTTGAAAAAATGTTTATTTGAAAATAAGTGTTTTAGAATGTATTAAAAAAAACAAAGTAATTGAAAAAAAATATTTTTTCAAAGGTGGCTGAAGGAAGAGATCCAGTTTGCAGCCCCTAGTGAGATCAAACAAAAAGGACTGGGATTTCTGCATCTCCAAGTGAGATACCCAGCTCATCTCATTTGGACTAGTTAGACAGTGGGAGCAGCCCACAAAGGACAAGCTGAAGCAGAGTGGGGCACCACCTCACGTGGAAAGCACAAGGGGTTGGGGAAGTGCCTACCCTGGCCAGGGGAAGCTGTAAGGGACTGTGCTGTGAGGAATGGTGCATTCCAGCCCAGATACTACACTTTCCCCATGGTCTTTGCAACCTGCAGACCAGGAGATTCCCTAGGTTGCCCACACCACTGGGATCCTGGGTTTCAAGCACAAAACTGAGCGGCCATTTGGACAGACACCAAGCTAGCTGCAGGAGTTTTTTGTTTTTTGTTTTTTCTTTCCTAACCCAGTGCCACCTGAAACACCAGCAAGACAGAACTGTTTTGTAAACAGGGATGAAGCCTTAAGGCCAAGTGATCTAGCTAAGTGGATCCCGCCCCCATGGAAGCAAGAAAGCTAAGATCCACTGGTTTGAAATTCTTGCTACCAGCACAGCAGTCTGAAGTCAACCTGGGATACTTGAGCTTGGTGGTGGGATAGATGTCCACCCTTACTGAGGCTTGTGTAGGTGGTTTTCCTCTCACAGCATAAGAAAAACCACAGGTAAGTTCAAACTGGGCAGAGCCCACCGCAGTTTGGCAAATCCACTGTAAACAGACTGCCTCTCTAGAGTCCTCCTCTCTGGGCAGGGCATCTCTGAAAGGAAGGCAGCAGCCCCAGTCAGGGGATTATAGATAAAACTGCCATCTCCTTAGGACAGAGCAGCACCTGGGAGAAGGGGTGGCTGTGGGCACAGCTTCAACAGACTTAAACATTCCTGTCTGCTGGTTTTGAAGAGAGCATCAGATGTCCCAGCACAGTGCTTGAGCTCTGCTAAGGTACAGACTGCCTCCTCAAGTGGGTCCCTGACACCTGTGCCTCCTGACTGGGAGACACCTCCCAGCAGGGGTCAACATATGCCTCATACAGGAGACCTCTGGCTGGCATCTGCCAGGTGCCCCTCTGGGATGTAGCTTCCAGAGGAAGGACAGGCAGCAATCTTTGATATTCTGCAGCCTCCACTAGTGATACTCAGGGTAACAGGATATGGAGTGGACCTCCAGCAAACTCCAGCAGACCTGCAGCACAAGTGCCTGACTTCTAGTAAGAAAACTAATGAACAGAAGGGAATAGAAACAACATCAACAAATAGGATGTCCACACTAAACCACATCCAAAGGTTACCAACATCAAAGACTAAAGGTAGATAAATCTAGGAAGATGAGGAAAAACAGCACAAAAAAGCTAAAAATTCCAAAAACCAGAACATCTCTTTTCCTTCAAAGGATCACAACTTCTCACCAGCAAAGGAACAAAACTGGATGGAGAATGACTATGATGAACTGACAGAAATAGACTTTAGAAGGTGGGTAGTAATAAACTCTTCTGAGCCAAGGGAGCATGTTCTAACCCATGACAAGGAAGCTAAGAACCTTGAAAACCAGTTAGAGAAACTGCTAACTAGTGAAACCTGTTTACAGAAAAACATAAATGACCTGATGGGGCTGACAAACACAGCATGAGAACTTCGTGAAGCATACACAAGTATCGACAGCCACATTGATCAAGCAGAAGAAAGGATATCAGCAATTGAAGATCAGCTTAATGAAATAAAGTGTGAAGACAAGATTACAGAAAAAAGAATGAAAATGAACAAACAAAGCCTCCAAGAAATATGAGACTATGTGAAAAGACCAAATCTAGGTTTGATGGGTGTACTTGAAAGTGACAGGGAGAATGGAACCAAGTTAGAAAACTGTCTTCAGGATATTATCTAGGACAACTTCCCCAACCTAACAAGACAGGCCAACATTCAAATTCAGGGAATAAAGAGAACACAACAAAGATACTCCTCAAGAAAAGCAAACCCCAAACACGTAACTGTCAGATTCACCAACATTGAAATTAAAGAAAAAATGTTAAGGGCAACCAGAGACAAAGGTCGGGTTACCCTCAAAGGGAAGTCCCTAAGACTAACAGTAGATGTTTCTGCATAAACATTATAAGCCATAAGAGAGTGGGGGCCAATATTCAACATTTTTAAAGAAAAAAAATTACAACCCAGGAATTCATATTCAGCCAAACTAGGCTACATAAGAGAAGAAGAAATAAAATCCTTTACAGACAAGCAAGTGTTGAGAGATTTTGCCATCATCAGCCCTGCCTTAAAAATGCTCATCATCACTGGCCATCAGAGAAATGCAAATTGAAACCACAATGAAATACCATCTCACACCAGTTAGAATGACGATCATTAAAAAGTAAGAAAACAACAGGTGCTGGAGAGGATGTGGAGAAATAGGAACACTTTTACACTGTTGGTGAGACTGTACACTAGTTCAACCATTGTGGAAGTCAGTGTGGCTGATTCCTCAGGGATCTAGAACTAGAAATACTATTCAATCCAGCCATCCCATTACTGGGTATATACCCAAAGGATTATAAATCATGTTGCTATAAAGACACATGCACACGTATGTTTATTGCGGCACTATTCATAATAGCAAAGACTTGGAACCAACCCAAATGTCCAACAATGATAGACTGGATTAAGAAAATGTGACACTTATACATCATGGAATACAATGCAGCCATAAAAAATGATGGGTTCATGTCCTTTCTAGGGACATGGATGAAACTGGAAACCATCATTCTCAGCAAACTTTTGCAAGGACAAAAAACCAAACACCACATGTTCTCACTCATAGGCGTGAATTGAACAATGAGAACACATGGACACAGGAAGGGGAACATCACACACTGGGGACTGTTGTGGAGTGGGGGGAGGGGGGAGGGATAGCATTAGGAGATATACCTAATGCTAAATGATGAGTTAATGGGTGCAGCACACCAACATGGCACATGTATACATATGTAACAAACTGCACGTTGTGCACAGGTACCCTAAAACTTAAAGTATAATAATAACAAAATTCAAAAAAAGAGCTCTGGAAGGAAGCACTAACCATGGAAAGGAAAAACTGGTAATAGACACTGCAAAAACATATCAAATTGTAAGGACCACCGACACTGTGAAGAGACTGCATCAACTAATGGGTAAAATAACCAGCAGCATGATAATGACAGGATCAAATTCACACATAATAATATTAACCTTAAATGTATACAGGCAAAATGCCACAAATAAAAGACACAGACAAGCAAATTGGATAAATAGTGAAGACTCATCAGTGTGCTATATTCGGGAGACCCATATCATGTGCAAAGACACACATAGGATCAAAATAAAGGATGGAGGAATTATTTACCCAGCAAATGGAAAGAAAAAAATAGCAAAGTGTGCTATCCTAGTCTCTGGTAAAACAGACTTTAAACCAACAAAGTTCAAAAAAGACAAAGAAGGGCATTACATAATGGTAAAGTTATCAATGCAACAAGAACAGTTAACTATCCTAAATATGTATGTACCCAATGCAGGAGCTCCCAGATTCATAAAGTAAGCTCTTAGAGACCTATAAGGAGATGTAGACTACCACATAATAATAGGGGGAGACCTTAACACCTCACTATCAATATTAGATCAATGAGACAGAAAATTAACAAGGATATTCAGGACTTGAACTCAGCTCTGGACCAAGTGGACCTAGTAGACATCTACAGAACTCTCCACTGCAAATCAACAGAATATACATTCTTCTCAGCACCACACCACACTTATTCTAAAATTAACCACATAATTTGAAGTAAAACACTCCTCAGCAAATGCAAAAGAATGCAAATTATAACAGTCTGTCAGACCACAGTGCAATCAAATTAGAACTCACAATTAAGAAATTCACTCAAAACCACACAAGTACATGGAAACTGAACAACCTGCTCCTGAATGACTACTGGGTAAATAACAAAATTAAGTCAGAAATAAGTTCTGTGAAACCAATGAGAACAGGACACAACCTATCAGAATCTCTGAAACACAGCTAACACAACATTTAGAAGAAAATGTAGAAATGAAAGTGTTTTATACAGGAGAAAGAAGGAAAGATCTAAAAATTGACATGCTAACATCACAATTAAAGGAACTAGAGAAGCAAGAGCAAACAAAAGTTAACAGAAGACAGGAAGTAAATAACATCAGAACAGAGCTGAAAAAGATAGAGACTGGAAATCTCTTCAAAAAAATCAATGAATCCAGGAGCTGTTTTTTTAAATAAATTAACAAAATAGATAGACTGCTAGCCAGACTAATAAAGAAGAAGAGAGAGAAGAATCAAATAGACACAATAAAAAAATGATAAGGGGATATCACCATTGAAGGTAGTTTGTATTTCTGTGATCCCACAGAAAAACAAACCACCACCAGAGAATACTATGAACATCTCTATGCAAATACATCAGAAAATCTAGAAGAAATGGACAAATTCCTGGCTACATATACCCTCCCAAGTCTAAACCAAGAAGAAGTCAAATCCCTAAATAGACCAATAACAAGCTCTGAAGTTGAGGCAGTAATTAATACCCTACCAACCAAAAAAAGCCCAGGACCAGACAGATTCACATCTGGATTCTGCCAGAGATACAAAAATGAGGTGGTATCACCCCTTCTGAAACAATTCCAAACAATAGAGAAAGGGGAACTCCTCCCTAACTCATTTTATGATGCTGTCAACACCCTGATACCAAAACCTCACATGAACATCGATGCAAAAATCCTCAATAAAATACTGGCGAAGCGAATCCAGCAGCACATCAAAAAGCTTATCCACCACAATCAAGTCGGCTTCATCCCTGGGATGCAGGTCTGGTTCAAAGTACACAAATCAATAAACATAGTTCATCACATACACATTACCCACAACAAAAGCCACATGGTTATTTCAATAGATGCAGAAAAGGCCTTCAATAAAATTCAGCACCTTTTCTTGCTAAAAACTGTCAATAAACTAGGTATTGATAAAGCGTATCTCAAAATATTAAGAGCTATTTATCACAAACCCATAGCCAATATCATGCTGAATGTTCAAAAGCTGGAAGCATTCCCTTTGAAAGCCGCCACAAGACAAGGATGCCCTCTCTCACCACGCCTATTCAACACAGTGTTGGATGCTCTGTCCAGGGAAATAAGGCAAGAGAAAGAAATAAAGCGTATTCAAATACAAAGAGAGGAAGTCATATTGTCTCTGTTTGCAGATGACATGATTGTATACTTAGAAAACCCCATCGTCTCAACCTAAAATCTCCTTAAGCTGATAAGCAATTTCAGCAAAGTCTCAGGATATGAAATCAATGTGCAAAATTCACAAGCATATCTATACACCAATAATAGACAAACCATGAGTAAACTCCCATTCACAATCGCTAAACACACACACACACACACACACAAAACCTAGGGATACAATTTACAACAGATGTGAAGGACCTCTTCAAGGAGAACTACAAATCACTGCTCAAGGAAATAAGAGGGGACACAAACAAATGGAAAAACATTCCATACTCACGGATAGGAAGAATCAGTATCATGAAAATGGCGTTACTGCCCAAAGTAATTACAGATTCAACACTCTACCCATCAAGCTCTCATTGAATTTCTTCACAGAATTAGAAAAAAAAAACTACTTTAAATACCATATGAAACCTGAAAAGAACCCATATAGCCAAGACAATCTTAAGCAAAAAGAACAAAATTGGAGGCATCATGCTACATGACTTCAAACTATACTAAAAGGTACAGTAACCAAAACAGTATGATACTGGCACAAAAACAGATATATAGACCAGTGGAACAGAACAGAGCCTTCAGAAATAAATTCACACATCTGCAACCATGTGATCTTTGACAAACCTGGCAAAAGCAAGCAATGGGGAAATGCTTCCCTATTTAATAAATGGCGTCAGGAAAACTGGCTAACCATATGCAGAAAACTGAAACTGAACCCCTTCCTTACACCTTATACAAAAATTAACTCATGATGGATTAAAGACTTAAATGTAAGACCTAAAATAATAAAAACCCTAGAAGAAAACCTAGGCAATACCTAGGACAAAGGCATGGGCAAAGACTTAATGACTAAAACACCAAAAAACAATGGCAACAAAAGAAAAAAATGACAAGTCGGATCTAATTAAACTAAGGAGCTGCTGCACAGTGAAAGAAAATATCATCAGACTGAACAGGCAACCTACATTTCTTTTACCTAGAATTCTTGCTAAGCTCTCTTACTAAATCTAAGTTATATCATTTTCTTCTTGCAGATAATTACATCTTCTGCAACTAATGGAAGTTTTAACTGTTCCTTTTTAATATTTAGTCAACTAGTTTATTTTTCTTTCTTTACACTATTAATCAAGATTGCTAAAATTGTAATATAAAGTGATGATTTTTTCTATGTGTGTATTATGAAATGTGAGTATCCATGAAATATGTCTGGTGACACATATACAAAATTCCAATATGGCATATATCCTTCACATAAAACCCACACCCATGAATGTTTATGCCTACATATGAATAAAATGTAGCAGAATAAAGTTAAGGAGAATGCTTGGAATCATAATTGGTTGGACCTTGATAATCAAAAGAGAATACTCAGAAGCCATAAAAGAAAAAAAAAGTGATTTATAAAACTACATAAAACCTAATTAAAAATTTCTCCATGCCAAAAGACTCCAAATTAAACTGAAAACCAAATATCACATCCTATTAAGAGTAAGCAAGCATTTTTCTGTAAAAGGTCAAGTAGTGCTGTTAATATTTCAGAATTTCAAAGTCTGATAGTCTCTACAGCCACTAATCACTGTCATTATCACTTGAAAATAGCCATAAACACTAGGTAGCACTGTATACTAAGAAAACTTTGTTTACTAAAGAGGGATCTAGTTGGTGACTCCTAACTTAGAATAAAATGATTGCAATTTTTATAATGGTGAAGGACCAAATAACAATATTATTTTACAAAATTTAGAATTTTATCTGACAAAATCTGCCAATAAAAATTGTCAGAAGATATGGCTGAAGCAAATATCCTTACTTTTGTTGTATAAATACTCCATTATTTAAATATGCATAGGAATTCACAGACAGTATTTTTTTTTCAGTTTCCCAGTAGGGTGGGAGTCAAGAAACATCAGCCTAGAACATTTATTATAGTCTTTATTTTTTTCCTTTTTCTAATATTTGCTATTGGTTATGTTTTTGTTTAAATTACCCAGTTAAACCTGCCTAGACTACTAGAACCTAAAATGTTTAATTTTAGAGGAGATAATTTTAGCATTGAAATTAAAACATAGCCCTTCTATCATGAAAACAATTTTACAATTTATTTGGTGTTCATTTTTCAAATGTGGAGTAAATGCAAATTATCCTTTTACAGACACCAAGTGGAGAGAAAATTTCCATCAGTGTGTTGGCTACACATTGCAAGTGAGATGAAGAACCCCACATTTCTGCTGAAGACCTCAGAAGGCAAATTTTAAGCCATGGATTTTCTGTCAGTTTAGTTCTTTGATACAAAATTCATTTCTCTCCATATTTTCCTTTAACCTAAAATTTTCTAACACCATGAATTTGCCATTTGGCTACTATGTAAATAAACTGTTCAGCAGGTGACTAAAAAGCCACATCATTTACATATGCTAGTTCTCTATACATATGAGGAGTTAAGCCTTCTTACGAGCAATTATGAGAAATTAAAAAAAAAGGACTGAATTGACAGATATCATCAAAATCCTTTTTCCTCCACACTGTATTTTAGTCTTTTGATATATATTCCATTAGGATGTTTAGAGCTTTGTCATTTTACTTCGTTCCTTAGTGAAATACAGTTAAAAATATACAAATAAAGAATAAAAGAAAAAAGAAAAAGGAGGCTTATTATTCACTAAATTACATGGGCAGACACTGAAAAATATAGGTTATCATCTAAGTTCTTTTGCAAAGCTACCAGTGTAGTAATTATTTTAATTATTTAATGAAAAGGTACAATTTTTATTACTATTTTAGAGGCACGGTCTCACTCTGTCCCCCAAGCTGCAGCATACAGCGTAATCACAGCTCACTGCAGCATTGACATCTTGGGCTCAAGTAATCCTTTCACCTCAACCTCCTGAGAAGGAAGGAAGGAAGGAAGGAAGGAAGGAAGGAAGGAAGGAAGGAAGGAAGGAAGGAAGGAAAGAAGGAAAGAAGGATGGAAGGAAGGAAATGCCCCTCAACTGGGCTTTGTCTGATTTTCTTTTCTCATGACTGGACCTGAATTATGGGTTTTGAGAAGAGTCCCACAGAGGTAAAGGAAGGAAGGAAGGAAGCAAGGAACGAAGGAAGGAAGGAAGAAAGGAATGGAGTCAGGGAGGGATGAAGGGAAGGAGGGAAGGAGGGAGGTTGGTTACTGGAGGCATCATTACATTAGCTGGAATTTGTTTTCTTTTCTTTGTTGCATCATTAAAATAAAACCACAAATGCAACAGTGTCCAGTAAGTAGAAATGTGCTTTCAGTACTGTTATCCATAGGAAACAGAAGTGATTGATGGCATCTTCCTTTCATCCCAAAGAAAGAATATAGTTTTCACAGTTTAGGTTACAGTCAATCAGGACTACATCTTAAACTTATTCAATTCAAGCTGGCAGATTTCTGGGATTATAGGATCTTTTAATTTGTTTGCCTGTCCTGATTCTGGTTATAGTTAGAACACCTATAAATAACTAGTTTTTAAAAGTGCAAATGCATACTCCAGCTTTAAAGATACCTTCCCTGCTAGTAGACTATTGAAGACAGAGTTTATTTGATCATCTTTGGAATGTATGTTTCCATCCTACTAATTCCTGTATTTTTGACATGTCTAATAAAACTGTGATGCATAAAACATTGCTGAATAGCAGACAGTTGTAAATAACTTACTTTAGTACTGACAGGGAAGCAAATGAACTTTGGAAAGTGATATCAAGCTGAGCTTAAGTAGGAAGGCTGAAAAATAAACTCCAGCAACATGGGATTGGTTCACTCTTGAAGAGGGAATCTGTGATGAAGATATAGAGATAGAGGTTCAGAGAGGAGCTCATTACATGACAGATTAAGACGTCTTAAGGTGACCCTATATACAGCTACCCTGACAGGTGATGCCTTACAACCTCAAGAAAAGTAAGTTTTAAGACCAGCAGAGTGGGAAGATAGAATAGACAGATGCTGCCTGCCTCCCAAACAAAATAAGTTTGTAGGTTCTCTTATCACACCACATTTGACTTTGTGGTTTAATGACCAACATCTTTTTCTAACAGTGAGAATAAGTTGGAGTCCTTAAAAATAAAAATATAGCCAAGTGGCACAGGAAATCTCCAATGGACATGTGCAATAAAAGAGAGGTATTTCATATCGCTTCACAGGACCCTAATCTGTAGAATTAAATGTTTGCAGTAGGCAATCTTCAGAGTGCTATACCATGTTTTGTGTCTAAGTTACAGGGACTGTAGAGTCCAGTATGAAGGCTTCCCCTTTAAGAAACAAACAAACAAACAAAACTAAACTAAAAAGGAGGCACCTACTTAAAAACATGCCATTTAATCTGAAAATTCTGTAAATGCTTACCAGTGGCCTTCAGTGAGCACCCTCACATCTCTAGTAGAACAGGGAGACTGGGCCTTATCCCTCACAGACAGGGACTATGTTATCACTCATGACAAGAAGTTCATGGGAGTTTTCCCATGCACAATGACAGTTGAACAAAATCTTGGCTTTTTTTCAGATCTTCCCTGTTGTTGATATCCTTACAGTTGTGAAAGCTAGTAATCAGATATTTGGTGAAATGCCCCTCAACTGGGCTTTGTCTGATATTATTTTCCCATAACGGGACCTGAATTATGGGTTTTGAGAAAAGGCCCACAGAGGTAAAATGCTGTATTCATGATAGGAAGAGTGCACCCTTTCAGTGAGACTTGTCACTGTTGATGTTAATTTTGGACTCCAGGCTGAGATAGTACTTTTTCACGTTTTTCTATTTTAAAGATGTTCTGTTTTCCTCTTCCCATACAGTACTCCTTGGAAGGAAGTCACTATGGACAAAGCACACATGAGAATTTGGGACTTATTAAGAGAGACAATCAAAATAAATGATTTGCAATTTTTCTGCATGGTTAAGTTCTCCATGCTTCCTTTACAGTTTAATGAGTCTTCCCTGAATGATATAATTCTGTAAATCCATCCAGGACAAAAAAGAAAAAACCTAATAAAAACCGTCTCCCTTTATTTAAGACAACCTGAAAGGGATTAACACAAATTAAGCTGTATGTTTTGTCGATAATAGATGGTTACTTTTTAATAGCAGAGAGAATTCCAATATATCCAACTGCTAGCTGCTTGTCCCAAATGTGATACAGAGGCAGCTTTGAGGGGGGGTCTCCAGATAGCAACAATAAAGGGAACTTGTGCCTATAGCATGACAAATATACATGTTGATCTTTCCAGGTTGATATCTTAGATTCACGTTTTGTCTGTAGTTCATAATATTCAGTTATCTCTGGACAAATTGTTTCTACCTTTTTCAGTCTCAGTGTCTTCTTATGGATAATAATAGTGACTTTCTTCAATAGTTACATGAAAATTGGAAGAAGTCATGTATGTTTGTGTGGTGCTTTGTGTAATACCCGTTGTTTGCTATTTCCCTATTGTGTTTTTACTGCAATATATGTCTTAGCGAGGCATAGTGGATAAACATTTTGTGAGGCTGAGGTGGGGAGACTGCTTGAGGTGAAGAATTCAAGAGCAAACTGGGCAGCACACTAAGACTCCAACTCTACAAAAATAGGAAAAATAAAATAAAATTAGCTGGGTGTGGTGGCACATGCTGGTATTCCCAGCTACTCAGGAGGCAGGGATAGAAGGATCACATAAGCCCAAGAGGTCAAGGCGAGACTGAGCTATAATCACACTCCTGTTCTCCAGCCTGTGCAACATAGCAAGACTGCAATCTCTAAAAATATATATTTAGATGTATAGACATTTATAAAATAATTATTTTAATAATATGAAGAGCTTCAAATTTGTTCAGGAAGGTGTTTAGGCAGCTTAATCTCTGGGTATGCCCTGATTCTGTGATACTAAAAACAAGCAAAATCAGAGGTGTTGGTGGATATTTCCTGGATCCTAAGACAAACAGAATTCAAATGCAGGCTGCTGCATTATATTATACAGTCCACATGACTTCAGGTTTTGGATTTCGATGGCCCGTCATAGTTCTTTGATATTTGTTTATGCTACAAATAATGAATGAATATCAGATGAAAACTGTGTAGGTAAGTACAAAATTGATAAGGAGTGATTTTTTAAGTATGAGAATTCCATTTGTATAATGCAAAAATGAATGTTTGATTTATGAATATGTGTATCTCTTGAGGAAGGAATGTAGCAACCCTTTTTCCTAATTCTCATTTCACATAATAAAGATTTTATAGGAAATAACAGAACTAAAAATTTTACTTCTTAAAGAAATAATACAAAATTAAGAACATTAACAAGATGAAAAAATTATCAAAATTTGGCTACATTTACTACTTAGAAGTCTACTGACTATAAAAGCAGTTCCTAAGTCACGCTTTTAAAAAAGCATGTAGGCAAATTTAATCTTCTTGAAAACATTTGGTATGGTAAAAGATAGATCAGATATGATATAGTCACGGATAGAAATTGTCTAACATATTTTATGGTTTATTTTTAATATAGTCCAACTATCTGGCCCAATAAACCTATTAAAATTATATCAAGATACGTTAACTCTATTTTTCTCCTCTATGACACATAGATTAAGGGAAACTCTTAAATACCTCACATAACCATATAAATATTATAGGATTGTTTTCTGCTTTAATAATAATGTTTTCAGTTTGCAATAATTTTTTCCAAAAGGAAGGCTGTCTATTGGACTGATGATCATTACTTCATGAGTTTAAAAATAATAATTTTGTTCAGTTCATACTATCGACAGAGAAGGACCTCGTGACAAAGAAAAAACAAAACAATAATGATGGCTACCTAGTGTGGCCAATAATTAGTGCAGAGATGTTTTGTATAAAGATTTTATGAACTGTGAAAGAAGCTGCATAATTCTTAGAGATTGAAAATATGTGTGTTAATTCTTTCTCATGAGACTATCTCTAGTTTGCTGATACTAAAATGGTCATTAGGGAGGAATAGTCTATTAGTTTAGAAAATACAGACTCTTACACTGTATCACAAAATAGATAAAATGACTGGTGTCTTTCCTGCAGGAGGAGAGCTCATGTGGACAGTGTGTATATGAAGCAAACAGAAGACAACCAAACAATGCATATTTTATTATATCCTCTGATGCAGGAGGGCATGGGAGGTTGAGGGAAGATGACCAATGTATCCAAATTCAATGGTAGAGAAGCTCTGGGTTTTATCTGTCTTGAATGTCCCTTGTCTTCCAAGGTGTGATGGTTAATTTTAAGTGGCAACTTCAACTGAATTAAAGGTTACCCAGATAGCTGGTGAAGCATTATTTCTAGGAGTGTCTTTAAGGGGGTTTCCAGAAGAGACTGGCATTTGACTCTGTAGCCTGAGCTAAGACTATACACTGTCATCAAATGGGAGCAGGCACCATCCAATCTGTTGACATTCCTGGATAGAACAAAAAAGGCAGAGGGAAGACAAATTTGCTCTTTCTCTTCTGGATTGGAGACAAACTTCTTCTCTTGCCCTTGGACATCAGAACTCCAGGTTTCTCTGGCCTTCATGTCTGGAACTTCAACCAGCACCCTACATCCCCATCCAATTATGAAACCAAGAATTATACATCAGATTTCCTGGTCTGAGGCTTTTGCCTGCAGAACTGTCTTCCCTGGATCTCCAGCTTGCAGACTGGCCGTTGTGGGACTTTTCAGCCTCTATAATCCTGTGATCCAATTCTTCTCATAAATCTTCCTCATACCTCTTCCTCTCACAGAGAGAAAGAGAGAAAGAAGAAAAATTCCATACCTATGAGAGAGAGAGAAGAAGGAGAAGGGAAGGAGAAAGAGGAAGACAGAGAGAGGAGGGAAACAATGACAGATAGAGAGGAGAGAGAGAAGAGTATATGAGATACGAAAGAAACAGAAGTGAAAAAGAAGAGAAAGGGTAATGGAGAGACCGAGGGAGAGAGAAAAAGAAGAGAGAGAGAAGAGAGGAAATCAGGGGACAGAGGAGAAGAGGGAGGGTGGTAGAGAAAAGACAGTAAGAGAGAGGGAGACAGGAGACAGAGAGACAGAGACAGGAGAAAAAGACGAGAATAGAGGGTAAATTGAGATTGAGACTGAGCCTGGGCTTCTATTTTTCTCCTGCCCATCTTTGGTAATGACATGACCTTGAAAATCATTGATCTACCTCATCTATTAAGAGTCAAAGAGACATCTCCAGGAAAGTAGATGGTGCTGATGAGGGCTTAGAGAGGATGGATTTGTGTGTGTGTGTGTGTGTGTGTGTGTGTGTGTACAGGTATTCAGTTGCTGTTAGTGCAAAAAGCCCAGTAAGGATTGGCTGAGATTAGATGCCAGTCATAGAAATCCATTTAAGAAAATCAGTGGGTGTGTTTATATCTTAGCCTGTTGCCCACACTTGTCCCAGCATATACTCCAGGGTGAAAAAGCTCACAGAAATTTGGCAATGAATTGTCCATTTTTCAAATTGTCTTTGGTCCTCATTGCTATACCATGGCTCTGCTAAGAAAACAGAACTGAATGGATGTTTTATTTTGTACAGTTATCAAATCTACTTCTCCTAGAGTATGCTGAAGTGTTTATGTTCCTTCAAAATTAAGAGCAGTAGTAACAAATCGGTTTGTCCTTTCATTTTTAGAACATCAGTATATGATGGCTTCATTTGCCACCTGATTTTAGTCATCCTGCTTTAAAAAGTCTGTGGAAATTAATGACACTTATTGAGTTAAGTATAAGTTTTCTTATATAGTTTACTAAGTTCTCTGGGTATTAGAATATATTGGGCACCTTTGTCAACTCAAAATTGAGGAATATATACACTGGCTTTGAAAAAGTAGATTTCTTCTGGAGTGCAATTGCATGATCTCAGCTCACTGCAACCCTCTAAAAAAAAGAAAAAAAAAGAAAAAATAGATTTCTTATTTACTGAATTAATGTGAACATTCAAATGCTTGGTAAAAGCTAGTAGTTTTCTAGTTAAGTTAATATCAGATCACATAAAATATCTCAGAAAATAGACATCTATCTTCAGTTATGGAGAAGAGCAATAATGACAAACATAATTTATTTTAAATTTTTATTTCTTAAAGTAGAAGCATATATACTCTCAATCTCAGTCTTACATATATTTGAATCAGACCACAAAGAAATAAAATCAATTAAATATGGTTTTATGCATCATTTGTTTAGTAATTTAAACTTTATTCTCTATAAAAGATAAGCTATAAAGAAGTTTCAAGAATGAAAACTCAGGAGTTGTAAACACTACTAAAAGAAATACTTTCAAGTTATAATTGTTTTATAATGCCTCTCAAATTTCTATCACCAGTTGCATGAATCCCCTTATAATTACTTTTATTAGACTGAGTTTGAAAAATCAGGATATAAAAATTATTGTCCTGATTGTTCAAGATCAAGTATTCTATTCACAATCCAACCCAAACTAATTACTCTTTATGGATCAACATGATGTTCCTCCAATTACAAAATAAAAGTAATGAATAAAATATACATTATCATTTTCCAAATTCTACGGTATGGCAAGGCAGAGATATACTTGCTTGCTTTAGGAAACAGGTCTTTCCAATACTAAGGGAAACTTGAGTTAGACATTAAAATGCAATGAAGACTGTTATCTGTGCCTTTGATGTGTGAAGATGTGAATTCAAACGCTTAATTGGTCTAACATAAATAACCCTAATGAATTAGAATTAAATAACTATCGATGAGCTGTACTCATCGATAAGACCTATCCATTCTACAGTAGCGGGCTTCCCCTATCATCACAATTCAACATTCACTCTTCCGTGAAGCAAAGTGTAGTATTTCTGAACCACAGAATTCACCATTCCTATCGATTTAGGATGACGTCTGTTAGAGTTTTGCCATCTAAACAGAAGCTGCTGTAGGTACTTTAAAAAAGAAAAGTCTCTCTCCAAGGAAATATAATCCTATCCCTCAGAAGAGAAGAGAGAAGTGTACCCTGAAACCAAAGGCAGATTTTAAAAAAATCTCTATGGGGCCAGGAGCAGTGTCTCACCCCTGTAATCCCAGCACTTTGGGAGGCCGAGGCGGGCAGATCACAAGATCAGGAGATCGAGACCATCCTGGTTAACATGGTGAAAAGCTGTCTCTACTAAAAATACAAAAAATTAGCCGGGCATGGTGGTATGCCCCTGTAGTTCCAGCTACTTTGGAGGCTGAGGCACAAGAATCGCTGAACCCAGGAGGTGGAGGATACAGTGAATCAAGATCGTGCCACTGCTCTCCATCCTGGGTGACAGAGCAAGTCTGTTTCAAAACAAACAAATAAACAAACATCTCAGTGGAAGCTTCTAGCAATACCAAACTTGTGGATTCATAGAGACCCACCCTCTGCTCATACATCTGACTTCAGAAGCCCTACAGAAAGAAAAATCCATCCTCTCTTCTACCATGAAAATCTCTCACCTAAACTGTATCTGATGAAGGCAGTTCCTATCATACCATTTTTTTATATGGTATTGGGTAGCATATGGGAAGGAGAAATAAATTGACTATAGAAAATCCAGCACAAAGGCTGTATGGTTATCTATTTAATATTAGAGCAACATCTGTTGGTGTCTCAGCAATGCAACTTTGGGCATTTGAATGTTCTAAGGTGAGATGTTCTTCCCAAGGTTGGATGTAAATATCCTGTAGACACCTTGAATAATGTATTATGCAACTGAGGAGGGCTTTCACCTTCTGCAGGGCCCTGCAACAAGTGCCAACATGTGAATAGGGCTGTACCTTGTGTGCAGGTGAAATCATATCATAAATTAAAATAAAGCATGAAAATGGAGAAGAAAAAAAGACAGAGCATCAAAAGAAACAAGAGAGAGAAGGGATGTCATCCTGCCTGCTGCTAATACCCACACTTTCTAAAATATATTGAGAGATGAAGAAAGACTTGGAGAACTTTTGTGTCTAGCTAAAGGATTATAAATGCACAATCAGTGCTCTGTGTCTACTTAAAGGATTGTATATGCACCAGTCAGCACTCTTATAAAATCGCACCAATCAGCATTCTAGCTAACAGATTGTAAACGCACCAATCAGCACTTTGTAAAATGGACCAATCAGCACTCTGTAAAATGACCAATCAGTACTCTGTAAAATGGACCACTTAGCAGGTTGTGGGAGGGGCCAAATAAGAGAATAAAAGCTGGCCATGGAGCCAGCAGCAGGCAACTCACTGGGGTCCCCTTCCATGCTGTGGAAGCTTTGTTATTTTGCTCTTCACAATAAATCTTGCTGCCGCTCACTCTTTGGGTCCGTACTCCCTTTATGAGCTGTAATGCTCATAGTGAGGGTCTGTGGCTTCACTCCTGAAGTCAGTGTGACGACAACCCCACTAGGAGGAACAAACAACTCCAGATGCTGCACCAACTTTAAGAGCTGTAATACTCACTGCGAAGGTCTACAGCTTCACTCTTGAAGTCAGCAAGACCAGAACCACCTGGAAGAAACTCAGACACATCTGAACATCTGAAGGAACAAACTCTGGACACATCATCTTTAAGAACTGTAGTACTCACCGCGAGGATCTGTGGCTTCATTCTTGAAGTCAGCAAGACCAAGAATACACTGGAAGAAACCAATTCCAGACACAATGTGACACATATCTGTTATTTTAACTCTGGGTGCTAGAGTCAAAATCCTGCATCACCCAGAATCAGTGCTCACCAAACATCTGAGCCATGACATGAATTTCAAGAGCTACTATGTAGTTCATGCTGATGCAGAGATGAAGTGAGGTGTTTAGTCTAATGAACTTACTATTGCCTTCAAAATATTAACTTGAAAAATTAAGTCTGCTATAAAGAAGCTTAGTTTTCAGAAAACTCTTGAACACTGCTCACATAATACATGTTATCACAACTTTGTAAATATATTTTTACAGTATTTTTAAAAGTCACGTTTTTATACTTCACAGGAGATACTACATCTTTTTCTAATTGAATACTATTGCATACCCTTTGTAGAAATGTTGGAGAGTGTGGGATAGAGTAATTAAGAAGGTAAAATATTATTGAAATCTTTATTCAGAATAATACATTTAGTGTATTTTACTGTCTGTTGTATCTGTGTAACAATATATATGGAATAGTTTTACCTCATTACTTTCCAAATGTTAATAAGAAAGCAAAAATTGTGTTTGTTTGTTTATAAGTAGGTTTCATAACAGATGCCCTTATCATATTAAATAATATTAATTATATTTAATGGTTTGTACATGTTTTATCTTGTTTAAAATGAACTTTGGCCAAGGATGGTGGCCCCTATCTGTAATCCCAGCACTTTAGGAGGTCAAGATAGGAAAATCACTTGTATCCAGAAGTGTGAGACCAGACTGGGCAACATAGTGAGAACTTGTCTCTCAAAAAAAAAAAACAAAAAAAAAAAAAAAGAGAGAGAAATTTGCCAGGTGTGGTGGTGTGCACCTTTACTCCCAGCTACCTGGTAAGCTGAGGTAGGAGGACTGCTTGAGCCATGAGGTTGAGGTTGCAGTGAGGTGTGATCACACCACTGAACTCCAGCCTGGACAACAGAGCAAGACCCAGTCTCAAAAAATATGTACAAAATAAAATAAAATAAACCTTTCTTTTTAAAGATTATACACCTATCATTCACAGATTATTCTAAAGATCTTCATTCATTGTATTTATGTTATGAATTCATTGACATTTATTTTAACATATTGTATATTATATCATTTTGATGTGGAAGGCCAATGGAATCAATAGTATTTATAATACAGTCTGTATATGGAGTGTCCAATAGACCTAAAAAATGATGGAAAATTTTTATTTTGCACTATTTAATATAGTGTCTATTGGACATATGTGTTCATTGAGTATTTTTTAATGTGACTAATATACTGATTTTTAAATATTGACTTAATTAATTTAAATGTAAATCAAAATAGACACATTTGGTTCATAGCTACATATTGGTTACGGCCTATGTAAACACTCTGAATAAAAGTAGAGATTATAATATTTCATAGAAGAAAGATCCAATTGCATTTTACCTATAAGAAATGTACTTCAACTATAAAGACTCAAAATAAAAGGATGAAAAAGTTATGCCATATAAACACTAATCAGAAAGGTGGGATTCTGATACTAATATGAGACAAAACCAATTTGAGTAAAGGCAAAAAATATTTCCAGATACATTAACACATTCCAAAATGATAAGTTGGTCAATGTGTCAAGAAAATGGAATAAGTACAATAGTTATACACCTAATAGTAGAAGATCAAAATGCATAAAAGTAACATGGATGCAAATAGAAACAGAAACACTTGCCACCACCATTATATATTTTAATAACACTTTCCCTATTATTAGAAGCAGTGTTTTTTAATAGGAAAAAAGGTTGAAAAATATACCAACCATCTGGACATTTTGAGAAATGTTCCAATGTTTAAATTATTGATGAAAGAAAATATAGATAGAAACTAAAAGGATTTCCAAAGGGAAACTGCATAAGAACCTAGAAACAACCAGCCTAATGTCCTTGTGGTAAGAAAACTCTTATATCTCATGAAAGGTAAGGTTGAAAACCCCAAGTTGTAGCTAGTTAGCAGTTACCTGAATTATGCCTTTGGGGGATAATCACATGCAATTACAACTATTTTAGATTGAATACACATGTAAACTAAAAAGTAGTGACAGAAACTTATTACATTTAATTTTTAAAAACTTACTGCATTTTTGTTTGTTTGGTTGGTTTTTTTCTGAGATGGGCTCTCACTCTGTTGCCCAGGCTGGAGGGCAGTGGAATGTCCTCAGCTAACTACAGACTCCCCCTCCTGGGTTCAAGCGATTCTCATGCCTCTGACTCTCAAAGAGCTGGATTATGGATGCCCACCCCAATGACTGGCTAATTTTGTATTTTTAGTAAAGGTGGGGGTTCACCGTGTTTCCCAGGCTGGTGTCAATCTACTGGCCTCAAGTGATCTGCCCACCTTGGCCTCCCAAAGTGCTGGGATTATAGGCATTAGACACTCCATATGGCCAGAGTGAAATTTAATTATGGAATTTTGGAAGTCTCAGTAAGAAATGTGTCTAACACCATGGAAATTGTCAAAATACCTGGCAATTTTTTTTAAAGATATATGTATTCCATTTCCTGATCATATTGCCTGTGGAATAATACTAACATTTCTGAATAAATTAGCTAATTGAACACATTCTTTGATTTTTAACAACATGTATGTCCTTATCAGGAATAAATGGTTTAAGAAATCTGGGCAGGGAAAGTTATGAATAAAATTATAGAAAGAATAAAAAACAACCTACAAAATGACTTAAATCCAAGTTTACTTGGCAACTATACCCATATTGTAACCACCTGTTAACTTCTTCCTATCCTCTGCAGAAACAAAAATCACAGCATTGCAGTAAAGAAAGAATTTAACCAGGTCAGTTGCTCATGCCTGTAATCCCAGCACTTTGGGACACTGCACTGGGTGAATCACTTGAGGTCAAGAGTCTCTACTAAAAATAAAAGAAAATAAAAAACATTAGCTAGACATGGTGGCAGACACCTGTAATGTCAGCTACTTGGGAGGCTGAGGTGGGACAGTTATTCAAATCCAGGATGCAAAGGCTGAAGTGAGGTGAGATCACACCACTGCACTCCAGCATGAGTGACAGGGCAAGACTCCATTTCAAAAAAAAATAAAAGATTTTAATTGAAGGAAGGGCCAGCCATTCTGCCATGCCATGTAGGAGATGGAGTTATTATTCAAATCGATCTCACCAAAGGTTTTTTTTTAGGGGTTTTTCAAAGGCAGTTTGGGTGATGGGGTGGAGGTAGAAAGGAAGAGGGTACGTAGTGCTGATTCATTGGGTTATAGATGAAATCATAATGGGACAAAGTGATCCTCTTGAGTTGAGTCACTTCTGTGTAGGGCCACAGGAGTGGCCTTGTCCAGGTTGGTCCACATGGGTCCAGGTGGAGCCAGGTGTCAGCCAAGAAAAAAAAAAAAAAACCTGAAAAGAGATCTCAAAAGGTCAATGGTATGTTCTACATTAGTGATATTACCTGCAGGACCTCCAGAATAACGACGGACAATCCTTTATGTCTATACATTAGCAGAAATCAGGCTCCTTTCCTCCCTGTAGCCCAAAAGTGTGTTTCTCACTACCTTTACAAAGGGAGTTGAGCTTTGGAAAAGGCCTATTATTTAAACTGGAAACTAAAAGTCTTCCAAAGTTAGCCCAGGAATAATGAAGGTAGCTTGTAAGCTAAAGGTAAGTAAAGGGTATGTTAGATCACGTTTGTTTCAGTGTCATAATTTTCTCTTTGATAAACATTTTCCAAAAGGCTTTCAAAGTAATGACAGTTGCAGGTGGTGGGAGTCTAAACTTGGCTGAATCTCTGAGTAAAACTGGATTCTACATGTAAAAAGGTCACTTATTGTTTCAGGTACTTAGGCAGGCATAAACAGGGCAGGAAAGGGCTCTCCACAGCAGACTAAGAATGTCAGATGATGGTTTCACAATTATCTATTTGCCTCTCTAAAAATGATAACTGGAAGCCTGAGCCAGTGAAAAGCTATATGCTGATGGGCCACAACTGTTGCAGTAAAGTGTTAGTGGAATGCACACACCAGGGAGAAGCAATTTCCTGGGAATGTGCATTAACAGACAAAATGGAGTACGATCTTCTTGGGCACATTTCCAGAAAGGGGAAGAAAGCCTCAAATTGGTCATGCGTACAACTTACTGAACACATAGTGCATGCTCACTTGCCAAGGATAAGGTCGTGGGGGTGGGGAAAGTGTGCCTGCAGGCAGCACAACCTAAAGGAAGAATTATGGGGAAGAGGCCAGCCTATAAAGTCCTAGGATCAGGGTTGTATTAGTTCTTTTTCATATTGCTGATAAAGACATATCCAACACTGGGTAATGTATTTATTTATTTAAAAAAAGAAGTTTAATAGACTCATAGTTCCAAGTGGCTGTAGTGGCCTCATAATGATGGTAGAAGGAGAAAGGCATATCTCACATGGTGCCAGACAAGAGAAGTGAACGTGTGCAGGGAAACTAACCTTTATAAAATAATCAGATCTCATGAGTCTTATTCACTACCATGAGAGCAGCATGGGAAAGACCGACTCCCATGAATTAATTACTTCCACTGGGGCCCTCCCACAACCCATGGGAATTGTGGGAGCCACAATTCAAGATGAGATTTGGGTGGGGACACAGACAAATCATATCAAAGGTTAAACAGCACACTTGTTCTTCAAGTTGCCCACTTGAGTCTTTTCCAAGCATACTTTCCTTTTTTTCGTGTCTTAAAGCCTTTTTAAATAAACTTCTCTGCTCCAAAACTTGCCTTGGTCCCTTTTTCTGCTTTATGCCCCTCAGTTGAATTCTTTCTTCTGAGGAGGCAACAACTGATGTTGCTGCAGACCCATAAAGATACACGGCCGGTAACCCAACTACTTTCCACTGGTAAAACTATGGGCCTAGAAAAGATGATATAATTTTGGACCACTTGGACACATTTCAGAATTTCAGAAAAAGGCATCTCTTTAACTCGATGATAAGTACATCATGGAACTAACTTCTATGTCAAGAGAGTAAGGACAGTGATTTCATAATGTTTACGACCTTCAGTATACTCAAATTTAATCATTGTTCTTTCACATTAAAAAGTAGTATTGAGGCCACCTCAGAATCACTGTATACATTGGGAAAACAGGTTCTTATTTATAGTGCTGCAAATGTATTAGGGCTTTAAAAGTGAATGAGTTCTTTAACGTTCAAGGCCAAAATTGCTGACAAAGCCCCCTCTGTCTTCTTCAGTCCCCAGAGCACATCCTTCCTTCCAGGAGATGATAAACATGAAAGCACACAGTACTGACTGTAGTTGTCTGTCTCTGGCATATGGCACCAACAATGAGGGATGAAACACTCTGATAACTGGCTTTGGAATCAGAAACACTTCTTGCAAGAGAAGCAAAATGATTCTTCCCTGCAACATGAGAATTGTCATGAGTCCCTCCACTTTCAGAGAGGTTGCTTGAAACAGGAAAGGAGAAATCAGCCAAGAGTATAATGTCTGCATTCTTCACAATCTGTCATTTCATTGGCCAAAGCTTTAGCTTGGAATAGGGTCTGATATTAGTTTTGGTTATGAGTTTGCCAGTGATCACCCCACAGTAGAAAGTCCCACGTGTTAGTCATAAAATCTTCATCTCAAGGACACCAGGCAATTCACACTTCATGGTTAACAAAAATGAAATATTGAAGACATGCTCAGAGAAGTGGCATAAATGAGTATTTACACAGCTATCCCAGAGATGCTCTGTGTGAGTCAGGTGAGAACAAACAAGATGGCTAGCATCACTTCTTTTTTCAGAAAGCAAGCCAACAGGAGTCCCATGCAAGCATTGTACTCATTATGCTACTAGCTAAATCCAGGTGATTTACAACTGCAATTCATTTTCAGTGAAATACCTTTGCCCACATATTAAAACCTCTCTGCACAAGCATTTCTAAGCATTTCTAAAGCATTAAACAACCATTTCACAAACTCAATTCAGAAAAAAAGATGAGCTCAGCTCTGAAATGTTTGTTAAGTCTCTGTTACATAATTGCATGTATGAATTCATCTGCTTCACCTATTTATGTGTGTGTCAAATGAAGAGAAGTATTAACAACTCTTGCCTCCTCTTGTCAAAAAAAAAAAAAAAAACTTTATAAAGAAGCTTTCATCATGTCGCTATTCCACCCAAATGTCATCTTATCTTGTATAACATGTTATATAATTTCATTTTAAACCTAGATGTGAGAAAAGTGATATCTCAAAAATGCCATGGTGAGAACACCCAGGTGTCCGGAATTTTATAAACTTTACCGTATATTCACATAAAATTTCTTCTATACCAATATCATCAGTTTCTTAAATATATTATTCAATTCCCATGTTAAATAATAGTGTTAGGTTATCCACTCTTTTATAGATACCTGACTTTAAAGTTCTCACAAGCTGAAACTCCCATGTTCTTATTTTAAATAGAACAAAGAAAGTTTCTCTAGCTAAGATTGTCATTTTATTCATCACAGAATTATACTTGAGGGAAAATAAAAAGACTGCACTTGAATTATTTTAAAGCAATCTATGAAAACGTACTGTATTGGGGCATCATTCCCCAGTATCATACGCAATACTAGCAAAACGGTTTCTATGGTTTAACTAACACAAAACTCACTTTTGTAAACAATGATAGGTCAATATTTTCAAATCAATTATGCCTAAGCACATAAATCAAAAGAAAGTCACACTCCATGTCTTTAGAGAGGATCATCCCATAACCAAAATTAGGTATATGGCCTTCTATGCTATCTTAAAATATCTCACTGGTTAATGTTACTCAACATCTCATAACATATAACCCAGAACTCTCCCCATCAACACTCACACGCTTGTAATTTACGCATAGTCTGTCCCTTATATTTGTGACTTTCACAGCCACATATTCAACAAACCACTCCTTATATTTTCATATTCTTATGAATATGCATATGTTGTAAATAACACCATGAAAATTTAAGGAGCTCATGCAACTCAATAGCAAAAAAAAAAAAAAAAAAAAAAAAAAAAGTCAAATAAGTGATTTAGAGGAAAGAAGAAATATAGGAAATAGTGCTTTACCCTAAGAGTCAATCTTAAATTGAGAGGTGAAGCCAGCTGGACTTCCTGGGTCTAGTGGGGATTTGGAGAACTTTTCTGTCTAGCTAAAGGTTTGTAAACACAAAAATCAGCATTCTGTAAAAACACACCATTCAGCACTCTGTGTCTAGCTAAAGGTTTGTAAACACACCAATCAGCACTCTGTAAAATGGACCAATCAGCAGAACATGTGTGGGGCCAAGTAAGGGAAGAAAAGCTGGCCACCCAAGCCAGCAGCGGCAACCTGCTCAGGTCCCTTTCCATGCTGTGGAAGCTTTGTTCTTTCTCTCTTCACAATAAGTCTTGCTGCTGCTCACTCTTTGGGTTCACACTAACTTTATGAGCTGTAACACTCATGATGACGGTCTGCAGCTTCATTCCCGAAGTCAGCAAGACCACAAATCCACCAGAAGGAAAAAACTCTGGACACATCCGAACATCTGATGGAACAAACTCCAGACACACCATCTTTGAGAACTGTAACACTCACCACGAGGGTGCGTGGCTTTGTTTTTGATGTCAGTGATACCAGGAATCCACCTGAAGGAACCAATTCTGGACACATTTTGGCAACCATGAAGGGACAATCACCTGTCAACAACCGGTGAGTACCATCGGGCCCCTTTTGCTTGCTATTCTGTCTTATTTTTCCTTAGAATTTGGGGGCTAAATACCAGGCACCTGTCGGCCAGTTAAAAGCAACTAGCATGACTGCCAGACTAAAGACAGGGGTGTCAGGCTTTCTGGGAAAGGGTTTTCTAACAACCACTGACTCTTCGGAGTTGAGAGCATTGGTTTGCCTGGAACCAGCTTCCACTTTTCCTGTACTTCTGGGCTGAGCTGAGGGTTGACAGAGAGGAAAGCTATTCAGCTGCAGGGTCCCAACAAGAAGTTAGTTGACCCTGCAGCCATGAGCGGAACTCTCAAAGTCATGTCAGCCAAGTGAGACTCACCCATCTCTCCTACCTATCCTGACCCTTGCCTCCCGGGTCCTAATGCTTGTCAGACAAACTTCCTTTTGCCTCTCTTGTCTGAGGCTAGTACTGCTTCTAAAAACCACTCCCTGTCTCTGGTGCTTTTCTAGTTTATCTTATAAGAATGATTTCCAGTATAAACTTCAGGACTCTGTTACCTTCTTTAGGCACTGGGCTCACCAATCAGAAAGACATAATTTTTGCCAAAAGCCCCGTTGGGGCGGGGGACTATCTGGAATTTTAGTATCCATTCTCAGACTAGCAGGCCTAATGAAAGCTATTCCTGAACCTAGGATATGGGGAGCTTCAGAAATGGTATCCTTCCTATTCATAAAAGTGAGGGGAAAAGGCATCACTCTTCCAATTCTGGAGATCCCTTCCCTCCCTCAGGTTATGGCCCTCCACTTCATTTTTGGGGCATAACATCTTCACAGGACAGGGGTAAAGTCCCAATACTAACAGGAGAATGCTTAGGACTCTAAAAGTTTTTTGAGAATGTGTCGGTAAGGGTCACTGAATCCAACCTTCCTCGATCCTCCTTGTGGTCTAGGAGGAAAACTAGTGTTTCTGCCTCTGTGCCAGTGAGCACAACTATTCCGATCAGCAGGGCATAGGGACTGTTGTGGGTTCTTGGGCAAGAGGTGTTTCCACTGCTGCGTTGGTGTGTGCAACTATTCCAATCAGCAGGGCCCAGGGACCATTGCGGGTTCATTGGCAAGAGGTGTTTCTGCTGCTGCATCGGTGAGTGCAACTATTCCAATCAGCAGTATCCAGGGACCATTGTGGGTTCTTGGGCAGGGGGAGAAACAAACATACCAAAACCATGGGCACTTTTGTCTTTCAGATGGGAAACACTCAGGTATCAACAGGCTCACCCTTGAAATGCATCCTAAGCCATTGGCACCAATTTGACCCACAAACCCTGAAAAAGAGGTGGCTCATTTTTTTCTGCACCATGGCCTGGCCCCAGTATTCTCTCTCTGATGGGGAAAAATGGCCACCTGAGTGAAGTATAAATTACAATACTATCCTGAAGCTTGACCTTTTCTGTAAGAGGGAAGGCAAATGGAGGAAAATACCTTATGTCCAAGCTTTCTTTTCACTGAAGAAGAGACCACAACTATGCAAAGCTTGCAATTTATATCCCACAAGAGGACCTCTTAACTTACCCCCATATCCTAGCCTCTCTATAACTCCCCTTCCTATTAATGGTAAACCTCCTCTAATCTCCCCTACCCAGAAGGAAACAAGCAAAGAAATCCCCAAAGGACCATAAACACCCCCGTGCTATCAGTTATGTCTGCTTCAAGCTGTAGGGGGAGGGGAATTTGGCCCAACCTCGGTACGTGTCCCCTTCTCCCTCTCTGACTTAAAGCAGATCAAGGCAGACCTGGGGAACCCTTCAGATGATCTTGATAGGTACATAGATGTCCTACAGGGTCTAGGGCAAACCTTTGATCTCACTTGGACAGATGTCATGCTATTGTTAGATCAAAACCTGGCCTTTAATGAAAAGAATGTGGCTTTAGCTGCAGCCTGAGAGTTTGGAGATACTTGGTATCTTAGTCAAGTAAATAATAGAATGACAGCTGAAGAAAGGGACAAATTCCCTACTGGTCAGCAAGTTTTCCCCAGTATGGATCCCCACTGGGACCTTGACTCAGATCATCAGGACTGGAGTCATAAACTTCTGTTTACCTGTGTTCTAGAAGGACTAAGGAGAAGTAGGAAAAAGCCCATGAATTATTCAATGATGTCCACCATAACTCAGGGAAAAGAAGAAAATCCTTCTGCCTTCCTTGAGCGGGTACAGGAGGCCTTAAGAAAACATACCCCCCTGTCACCTGACTCACTCGAGGGTCAATTGATCTTAAAAAATAAGTTTATTACCCAATCAGCCACAGATATCAGGAGAAAGCTCCAAAAGTGAGCCCTGGGACCTGAACAAAATCTGGAGGCATTATTAAACCTGGCAATCTCAGTGTTCTAAACAGGTACCAAGAGGAACAGGCCCAAAAGGAAAAGAAAGATCAGAAAAAGGCTGCAGCCTTAGTCATGGTCCTCAGACAAACAAACCTTGGTGGTTCAGAGAGGACAGAAAATGGAGCAGGCTAATCACCTGGTGGGGCTTGTTACCAGTGTGGTTTTCAAGGACACCTTAAAAAGATTGTTCAATGAGAAACAACAACGACCCCCTCATCCATGTCTGCTATGCTGAGGCAATCACTGGAAGGCACACTGCCCCAGAGGGCAAAGCTTCTCTGGGCCAGAAGCCCCCAGCCAGATAATCCAACAACAAGATTGAGGATGCCTGGGGTGAGCGCCAGCTCATGTCATCACCCTCACTGAGCCCTGGGTATGTTTAAACTTTGAAGGCCAGGAAATTTACTTCCTCCTGGCACTGGAACAGCTTTTTCAGTGTTAATCCCCTGTCCTGGGCAGCTGTCCTCAATGTCCGTTACCATCCAAGGAATCCTGGGATGGCCTGTAAAACCAGGTATTTCTCCCACCTCCTCAGTTGTATTTGGGAGACGTTGCTCTTTTCTCATGCCTTTCTTGTTATGCCTGCACATCCCATACGCTTATTAGGGAGGGACATATTAGCCAAAGCTGGAGCTATTGTCTACATGAATATGGGGAACAAGTTACTGATTTGTTGTCCCCTGCTTGAGGAAGGAATCAAGCCTGTAGTCTGGGTGTTGGAAGGAACAAACTCAAGCTCCAGCCATAAGCCTTGCCACAGGACAAAACTTCTCTTTATACATCACAGAGAGAACAGGAATAGCTCTTGGGGTCCTTACTCAGACTCATGGGACAACCCCACAACCAGTGGTATACCTCAGTAAGGAAACTGATATAGTAGAAAAAGGCTAGCCTCACTGTTTACAGGTACTTGCAGCAGTGGCCATCTTAGTGTCAGAGGCTACAAGGAAAGGATCTCACTGTCTGGACTACTCATGATGTAAACGGCATATTAGGTGCCAAAGGAAGTTTATGGCTTTCAGACAACCACCTGCTTAGATACCAGGCACTACTCCTTGAGGGACTGGTGCTTCAAATACAGACATGTGAGGCCCTCAGCCCTGCCACTTTTCCCCCAGAGAATGGGGAACCAGTCGAGCATGACTGACAACAAATTACAGTCCAGACTTATGCCACCCAAGAGGATCTCTTAGAAGCCCCCTTAGCTAATCCTGACCTTAACCTGTATACCGATGGAAGTCCATTTGTGGAGACTGGGATACAAAGGGCATGTTATACCATAGTTAGTGATGTAACCATACTTGAAAGTAAGCCTCTTCCCCCAGAGACCAGCACCCAGTTAGCAGAACTAGTGGCACTTAGCTGAGCCTTAGAACTGGGAAAGGGAAAAACAGTAAAGGGGTATACAGATAACAAGTATGCTTATCTAATCCTACATGCCCATGCTGCACTATGGAAAGAAAGGGAATTCCTAACCTCTGGGGGAACCCCTATTAAATATCACAAGGATATCATTGAATTATTGTACGCAGCGCAAAAACCCAAGGAGGTGGCCATCTTACACTGCCAAAACCATCAAAAAGGGGAAGGAGAGGGGAGAACTGCAGGATAAGCATCTGTCAGAGGCAGGGAAAGATCAGCAGAAAGGAAAGAGAGAAGAGAAAGAACATCAGAGGGAAAGAGAGGAAGAGACAGAGAAAAAGAGGGAGTCAGAGAGAGAGAGAGAAAGAGAGAGACAGAAAGTCAAAGAGAGAGAGCAAGAGACAGAAAAAGAGGGAGTCAGAAAGAGAGAGACAAAGAAGAATTCAAAGAGAAAGAAAGAGATATGGAAGTAGTAAATCAAAAACAGGGTACCCTGTTCCTTTAAAAGCCAGGGTAAATTTAAAACCTATAATTCATAATGACGGTCTTCTCCATAACCCTATAACTGCACTCCAATACCACCTTGTTCTCAGCATAAACAAGGGCATAGCCCCAAAGCACTGAGGCCACGGACAACCCATAGCCTTCCTATCAAAAATCCTTAACCCAGCAGGTTTCCTAACAGGGGATCTAAATCTTAACTAATTACCATACAAAGGTCTGACCAGGCCTAGGAGGAACCCCCTTCAGGACAGGAAGATAGACGATTCCTCCCAGAAGATTAAGGAAAAAGACACAATGGGCATTCAGTAAGTGACAAGGAAACTCTTGCAGAAGTAGAGTTAGGAAAATTGCCTAAAAACTGGTCTGCTCAAACCTGTGAGCTCTTTGCACTCAGTCAAACCTTAAAGTACTTACGGAATCAGGAAGGAGCCATCTATAGCAATTCTAAGTTAATATGGACTGAATAAGGTCTTTTTAATAGCACAGAACAATGGAAAGCCCAAACTTACAAGGTTTTCAACAAAAGTAAAGTTTGCTAAAACTTTACAGTGTAACATGTATTATCCTAATACCACACACTCTCATCTCAAAGGATTTCTCAGACAGTTTGCAAGAACTAACAAAACCTATCCTTACTCTACAATCCCAAATACATTCTTTGGCAGCAGGGACTCTCCAAGGCCTGGACCTCCTCACTGCTGAGAAAGGAGGACTCTGCACCTTCATAGAGGAAGAGTGTTGTTTTTACACTAACCAGTCAGCGATAGTATGAGTTGCCACCCGGTGTTTACAGGAAAAGGCTTCTGAAATCAGATACCGCCTTTCAAACTCTTATACCAACTCTGGAGTTGGGCAACATGGCTTCCCCGCTTTTGAGGTCCCACAGCAGCCATCTTGCTACTACTCACCTTTGGGCCCTGTATTTTTAACCTCCTTGTCAAATTTGTTTCCTCTAGGATCAAGGCCATCAAGCTACAGATGGTTTTACAAATAGAACCCCAAACAAGCTAAACTAACAACTTCTACTGAGGACCCCTGGACCAACCCATTGGTCCTTTCACTGGCCTGAAGAGCTCCCCTCTGGAGGACACCACAACTGGAGGGGCCCTTCTTCACCCCTATCCAGCAGGAAGTAGCTGGAGAGGTCATCACCCAATTCCCAACAGCAGTTGGGCTGTCCTGTTTATAGGGGGGATTGAGAGGTGAAGCCCGCTGGACTTCCTGGGTCGGGTGGGGACTTGGAGAACATTTCTGTCTAGCTAAAGGTTTTTAAATGCACCAATGAGTGCTCTGTGTCTAGCAAAAAGTTTGCAAATGCACCAATCATTACTCTGTAAAGATGCACCAATCAGCACTCTGTGTCTAGCTAAAGGTTTGTAAATGCACCAATCAACACTCTGTAAAAAGGCACCAATCAGCTCTCTGGGTCTAGCTAAAGGTTTGTAAACACACCAATCAGCACTCTGTAAAAACACACCAATCAGTATTCTGTGTCTGCGTAAAGGTTTGTAAAAGCACCAATCAGCACACTGTAAAAACACACCAATCAGTGCTCTGTGTCTGGCTAAAGGATTGTAAGTGCACCAATCAGTACTCTGTAAAAACTGATCAATCAGCCCTCTGTAAAATGGACAAATCAGCGCTCTGTAAAATGGACCAATCAGCAGGACATGGGCAGGGCAAAATAAGGGAATAAAAGCTGGCCACCCAAGCCAGCAGCGGCAACCCACTTGGGTCCCCTTCCACACTGTGGAAGCTTTGTTCTTTTGCTCTTCACAATAAATCTTGCTGCTGCTCACTGTTTGGGTCCTCACTACTTTTATGAGCTATAACACTTACCACGAGGGTCTGTGGCTTCAATCCTGAAGTCAGCGAGACCACAAACCCACCATAAGGAAGAAACTCCAGACACATTTGAACATCTGAAGGAACAACCTCCGGACACACCATCTTTAAGAACTGTTAACACTCACCACAAGGATCTGCGGCTTCATTCCTGAAGTCAGCAAGACCGAGAACCCACTAGAAGGAACCAATTTTGGACACAAAATGATACCAACAGTAATTTGGATTAGTCATATCTGCTGGAATATAAGTGATGCATTAATCTTTCTTGGGGATGACAGTTCTAGGCCATCCAGTTTCAGAAATATGGCTCAGCAATGGAGCCCAGTGGTGTTTCATGAGGAATAAGAATCCCAAAGTTTGACCCATAGCCCATAGAATGCCCTCAACCCAAGACTGTACTCTTTGATGTAGTTGTCAGAAGCGTAAGGCCTTAGAGAAACAAAACATGAGATATTTCCTACATGAACGAACACCTTCTTCTCTTGGAGAGCAGGCAAAATAAACAAATTCAGGTGATAGGTGCATCCCTAATTTGAATACCTAAAACATGAAATGCTACAGGATCTTAAACATTTTGTGCATGGACATGACACCACATGTGGAAAATTGCATCTCTGACCTCATGTGATAGGTGACAGTAAAAACACAGGTGCAGAACACACAGTTTATTCAGTGTCACTAAAGGAAGAAAGATACCCTCACTCTCCACCCCTGCAGCTCCCATCAGCTGCAGTATATCTTTTCCAGGCATGCCACACTACTCCCATGTATGCATACCCACAAAGAGCAATAAAAGGACAGGAGGCACAGGCGCGGTGGCTCACACCTGTAATATCAGCCCTTTGGGAGGCTGAGACAGGTGGATTGCCTGAGGTTAGGAGATCAACACCAGCCCGGACAACATGGTGAAACCACGTCTCTGCTAAATATACAAAAATTATGCAGGTGTGCCTGGGCACGGTGGCTCACGCCTGTAATCCCAGCACTTTGGGAGGCCGAGGCAAGCAGATCATGGTGAAACCCTGTCTCTACTGAGAATACAAAAAATTAGCCCGGTGTGATGGTGGGCGCCTGTAGTCCCAGCTACTCGGGAGGCTCAGGCAGGAGAATGGCGTGAACCCGGGAGGCGGAGCCCGCAATGAGCCGAGACCGTGCCACTGCACTTCAGCCTGGGCGAAAGAGTAAGAGTCCGTCTCAAAAAAAACATATCTATCCAGGTGCAGTGGCAGGTGTCTGTAATCCCAACTACTCAAGAGGCTGAGGCAAGAAAATCTCTTGAACTCGGGAGGTGGAAGTTACAGTGATCTGAGATAGCAACACTCTATCCTGGCAACAGAGACTCCATCTCAAAAAAAAAAAAAAAAAAAAAAAAAGATAATGGACATTTGTTCAGCTGTGTGAACCAACGTCAGATTCCCGAAGTTGTCCCACAGGACGCCCTACATGCATTACTCTCTGTGGTTTTTTTCCATGCTTATTTTTGCTCTGTGGTGTAAACATATTGTTAAAAATGTCCAAAGCCTGCCCTATGGGTAACAGTGATAAGAAAAACACGACGTGTTTATGTGTATCTATACCACCGAAAATCAAGCACTAGGAGAAACTGGACAGCATCTTACAGAAGAGTACAATGTTGGAGTGATCACCACATACAGTTTCTTCTCATTAAAAAAATACAGTTGTCCTTTAACCAAAACACAGCATCACAGGTGGACTCTGGACACCTTGCCATTGTCTGTTGCTTCTGTTGTTTAACATCGGATACAGGTGTTCTGGCGGTGCTTGACAGAGCAGGAGCACCGTCATCTCACACAAACACCACGATTTTAAGTTCCAGCTCCCTTTCTAGCTTCATGCATTCCAAGCAAATCACTTCTCTTCAAACTACAAGCAGAAAGAGCAATAAAACACAGATAAGACAGCTCAGGCACAGAGGAGGTAGCAGGGAAAGTCTCTTGGGTAACTGCCAAACTTCACCCTCATACAATGGACCCCAGTAAAACAGTGGGCCTTAATGAGCACATTCTTTTCCCTTCAGGTGCACGAAGTTAGGGAAGCTAAAAGCAGTCTTGGGTCGTATGCCTGCAGCTGCAGAAAGATACACATGGGAACAGACACAGAAAGGGTGGCTCTGACCTAACTCAGCTAGCCTTCCCGGTGAGGTTTATTAAAAATAAACCTGCCCCTGTTGACTCTAAAGACATCCTTCTGTTTCTCTCTTCTTTCTTTAATTCGTACAGTGCTACTGTGCAGCTTATTTACTCTGAACACATTAATATTCCACTGTATTAATGCTATGTTACATTTTTACTGCTAAGTACTTATTTGTGCATAAATGTAAGAAAGGTATTGCTTGTATCAGCAGTCCTCAATTTTTTGAACCCCAGGACCGGTTTTTTTTTTTTTTTTTTTTTTTTTGAGACGGAGTCTCGCTCTGTCGCCCAGGCTGGAGTGCAGTGGCGGGATCTCGGCTCACTGCAAGCTCCGCCTCCCGGGTTCACGCCATTCTCCTGCCTCAGCCTCCCAAGTAGCTGGGACTACAGGCGCCCGCCACTACGCCCGGCTAATTTTTTGTATTTTTAGTAGAGACGGGGTTTCACCGTTTTAGCCGGGATGGTCTCGATCTCCTGACCTCGTGATCCGCCCGCCTCGGCCTCCCAAAGTGCTGGGATTACAGGCGTGAGCCACCGCGCCCGGCCAGGACCGGTTTTATGAAGACAATTTTTCGATGGATGGAGGGGACAGGGCATGGTTTGGGCATGAAGCTGTTCCACCTCAGATCATCCGGCATTAGGTTCTCACATGAAGCGTGCAACTTAGATCCCTCGCATGTGCAGTTCACAATAGGGTTTGGAAGACTCTTGTCCACGTGGTTCGCTGAGATAATGACATCTTTGCTCTCTGATGGTTCAGCATACATAAACGTTGTTTCACATACAAAATTAGTTTTAAACATTATATAAGATTACCTTCATTCTGTGTGTATTAGATGTATATGAAACATTAATAAACGTTGTGCTCAGACTTGAGTCCCATTCCTAAAATATCTCATAGTGAATATGCAGATACTCCAAAAATTTTAAAAATTCAATATCTGAAAGGCTTCTGGTCTCTAACATTTTAGATAAGGGGTGCTTAACCTGTAACTTGCAATATTTCTCTTCTGCTCTTTCTTTCTCTCCTCTGCCATCCAACCCATTGTAATTAATCCTTCAAATCTACTTCCACTGTAATGTTCAATCTTATTTCCCATCTGCCACACAAACTCACTTGGAAGTTTCATAATATATTGCCACATTCCTGTACCTATGCTTGTTCTTTATGAATATCACCCTCTATTACTTTGTGAAACTTTAATTCATTAAAACAAACTGGAGGATTGCTAAATGAGTTATCAATGTTACTTTCCAGATTGTGAGCAAAGGATTTCAAAAGTAAGAATTAACCATAATGGGAAATTGGCAACCCTTAAAACTTTATTTAATGAGTTCCTAGGACATTTTGGGATAGAGACTAGATTCTGTAAATATTAGGTAGAAATTTGAGGAGATACACACACACACACACACACACACACACACACACAAATTTAATGTATACATGATACATATATCATTAATAATATATATGAGATATAAGGTATGGATAATTTGATATAAAATGAAATACTATTTCTTTCCATATATATTTCCATCCTACTTTATATATAAATATATATGCACTTTATATAATATATACTTTATATATATATAGTAACATGGAAATATTAACGTAGAATGGGAGACTTGCGGACATCTAGGTTGTTTATAAGAGTTTACATTTCTAGGACACCAATGATTTTATGTTGAAAAGCTTTATCTCTTAGGGACTGAAAAACACTTCTACTACATGTAAATGGGAGGACAAATATGTCTTGGATATATTTGTATTTGTTTTTACAAAGTGGGATTTTACTAAATGCATTGCTCTGAGACTTTTTTGTTTGGAAAATGATCATATTTTAAATCCTTCATGTTTTTGTTTTGTTTAATTTTTATTCATTTTTTAAAATTTATATATACATATATACATAAACACACACACACGTATATATACACATGACATGTGAAATATGTGGTTTATTTAGCCTTTAAATGATTGCATTATTTTAGAAAAAGAAAAGAAAAAGAAACACTAAAATTGTTTTCCAAAAGGATAATATGACATATTGCTCCTCATAAGAGGGCATTAGCTGCAGGGGTCTGGCCGCAGACCCTGACCCAAACGATGGGTGAAGGAAACATACATTGACACATGGAAATTCTGCTTTGCCAGTCCAGCTGAGTGTCTGATGGCATACATACCAAGAGAGGTTTGTCACTGCAGCCGGCCCTGAACAGCTCAAACTTCAGGCATTTATTTTGTATGCAATTAACAACAGAAACTCTGAGTCAACAAACTTGTGGATAATTAAAATGATTAGAGAGTAGTTCTACAAATGATTAAAGCTCAGGTACCGGGGTCTAAAGTAAATACCATTAGGGGGCAATATCCTTGGTCAACCTCCCCCCAGGGGGCCATCTGGCTTAAAGGTTAGTTAATGGAGGTAGGATAAACAGACTTAACTGCGGAAGCTTCTATTTTCCATGGTATTTACTCTATGATCTAATGCTCTAAGGTGAGAACCGGCTGCCTTCGGCCCGTTCAATTATTACAAACTATGTGACCTTTCAGACTTCCAGAAAGGTTTGTGACTATTCCATATAACTTTCCCTAATATTTCCCAGTAATATTTCTGCCACCATCCTCAGTGAAGCCCAACATTAGTAAGATACCCTTTTTAGTATTGTTTGAGCCCATCAATAAAAACAGCAGAGTTTATTTAATAGCATCACTCACAGAAGTAAGTTTTAAAAACCAGTCAGTAGTTAAGGAGTCACATTTTTTATTTTAATATTTTCCAAGGTGGCCTGTGCCCTAGTTTTCAATTAAAATGAAGCTTTAGTTGAAGCATTCATTATTTATTAGATTTTATTCCTCACTATAAATCACTGTAATAATGGAGAAACAGAGAACAGAAGATTCTCATTATGGACTTTCACAGGACACATTTAAACTCTTTTACCTCTATATTATTTAAAATCTGTTGCCCAAAGTAGTTTTGAAATGCAATCCACCTATTACGGCAACTACACCAACTGACATTAAATTTGTTCAGTTCCTCCTTAAAGTGGTAAAAGAGAACAATGACTCATCGGGCATTTTTAGAATGTTCATTAGGGGTTTTCCAGCCAGGAAGCACAGATTCCCCATGGCTAGGTATGAGAAGACAGAAAATTGAGCCAATTAATTACCACATAACATAATGATATAATTAATCCTTCAAATTTGCAACAAGCACTGCAACAGGGGAGAATTCGCCCTTGTTCTACATTTGGTCACTGGGATTCATTGGATACAAATTTAGATTGGACTAGTTATGGGAAAGCTATAAAAGGAGAAAAGGGAGAATTTTCTTTCCCTTGGTTATGTCAAGTTGTCAGTCAAATGAGCCGAATGTGAGCAATGCTGAAGAAATTATAGGAGACTCCCTGTGCAATTGCTCAACCACAGCTGTATTGGCATTTGGAGCTGGATGGTCCTCGGCTGGGTAGAGGCTATCTTGTGTATGCTAGGATGGTTAGCACATCCCTGGCCTTACTCCTTGCATATCAATAGTACCGTTCCCCAGTCTGGGCAACCAAAATGTGTCCAAATGTCTCCTAAGGGGCCAAATAACCCTAATGGAGAACTAGTCAATAGAAAGATGGAACATACAGCTTGAAATCTATAGGAGAAGAGACAATGTATACATTCAGGATATTTGTAGGGTATACATAGTCTATTATTCTATCTATACTGGATACTGTGCAGATCCATTGTCTTCGTAATTAATAAAGTATTTTCTGATGTAGTTAATAAGCAAGTCATTATTTGCTTTTATATTCAAAGCTCTAGAGTAACATCACGTCTCCCCTCCCTCCCTCCTTTCTTTCCTTTTCTTTTCTTTTCTTTCTTTCTCTTTCTTTCTTTCTCCTTCTTTCTTTCTTTTTCTTGCTCTTTCTTTCTTTCTCTCTTTCTTTCTTTTTCTATCCTTCCTTCCTTCCTTCTTTCCTTTTTTTCTTTCTTTCTGTTTCTTTCTCTCTCTCCCCTTTCCCTCCCCCTCCCCTCTCCTCCCCTCCCCTCCCCTCCTCACCTCTCCCTTTCCCTTACTTTCAAGACGTGGTCTTGCTCTGTCACCCAGGCTGGAGTGCAGTGGTGTGATCATAGCTCACTGAAGCCTCAACCTCCCGGGCTCAAGCAATTCTCCTGCCTCAGCCTCCCGAGTACTGGAACTAGGGGCATGCACCGCCCCACTCATCTAATCTTTGAAAATCCTTTGTAGACATTGGTCCTTGCTATGTTTCCTAGGCAGGTCTTGAACTCTTGGGTCTAAACCATTCTCCAGCCTCGGCTTCTCAAAGTGCTGGGATTACAGGCATGAGCCACCACACCTTGCCAAGAGTAACATCATTCCTAAAGTGAGCCTTACTCAAGACCTAATTTTCCTTTTCTAATTAGTGGCATATTCCAGAAAAAAAAAAATTGTCAAGAGATTGTCATTTTCTGTCTACATACACACACACACACACACACACACACACACACACACACACACACATATACATGTACATATATATATACATGTATACAATTCACAACATACATACATATATATATACACACGTATACAATTAACGATATGTGTACAATTAGTTTACAATTAACAACAGAACTCTGAGTCAACACACTTGTGGATAATTGACATGATTAGAGAGCAGTTCTACGAATGATTAAAGCTCATAGATATTTATAATGTCTCATTTTGTCACCTAGGCTGGAGTGCCATGGCATGATGTCGGCTCACTGCAACTTCCTCCCCCCAGCTCAAGCGATACTTCTGCCTCAGCCTCCCAAATCGCTATGATTACAAGTGCACACCATAACACTTCCCCGCTATTTTTTCTATTTGTATTAGAGACAGGGCCAGTCTGGTCTCAAACTCCTGATCTCAAGTGATCTGCCCACCTCAGCCTCCCAAATTGCGGAGATTACAGGCATGAGCCACCATGCCCGGCCTCTACTTCAAATATGTTTATTTTTAACTTATGTATACAGATGGAATTTTAACATTTAGAGGTAAAATATGGGTGTTTTTGCCACAATGACTAACGTGCGATAAAAGTCTTGTTAACTTCTAAAATGATACCCTGTATGGATTACACATATTATTATGGAATAATAAACTTTATCCCCACAATATATATGTTGAAGTCCTAACTCCCAATGTGGTTGGATTTGGAGATATGGTCTTTAAAGAGGTGATTAGGATAAAATGAGATCCCCAGGGTGGGTCCTAATCCCATAGGATGGGACGTGGGATCTTATGAGACTAGGAGATGAGGACATAGACACTCACAGATGGACAATCATGTGAGGAAACAGGGCGAAGACCTGTTCTCTAAGTTCCCTCCCCTTACCCACCTCACCCCTCTATAGGCCCGTGTGTGTTGTTCTCCTTCCTGTGTCCATGTTTTCTCATCGTTCAACTCTCACTTAAGAATGATGGCCGGGCGCCGTGGCTCACGCCTGTAATCCCAGCACTGGGAGGCGGAGACGAACGAATCACTAGGTCAGGAGATGGAGACCATCCTGGCTAACACGGTCAAACCCCGTCTCTACTAAAAATACACAAAAAAATTAGCCGGGCGTAGTGGTGGGCGCCTGTAGTCCCAGCTACTCGGGAGGCTGAGGCAGGAGAATGGCGTGAACCCGGGAGGCGGAGCTTGCAGTGAGCGGAGATCCCGCCACCGCACTCCAGCCTGGGCGACAGAGTGAGACTCCATCTCCAAAAAACAAAACAAAACAAAAAACAAAACAAACAAACAAACAAAAACGAGAGAATGAGAACACGTCGTTTTTGGTTTTTCTTTCCTGTGTTAGTTTTCTGAGGACGATGGCTTTCAGCTTCATTCATGTCCCTGAAAATGACACAATCTTATTCTTTTTATGGCTGCATAGTAGTCCACGTTTATGTGTACCGTATTTTATTTATCCAGGGTATCATTGATGGGCATTTGGGTTGGTTCCATGTCTTTGCTATTGTAAATAGACCTGCAATAAACAAAAGTGTGCATGGGTCTTTATAGTAGAATGATTTACATTCCTTTGTGTATACACTCAGTAATTGGACTGCTGGATCAAAGGATATTTGTGGCACTAAATCCTTGAGGAATCACCATACTGTGATTCAACACAATGGTTGAAATAATTTCTATTCCCATCAACAATGTAAAGGTGTTTCTATTTCTCACAGTCTCATCAACATCTATTGTTTCCTGCCTTTTTAATAATCACCATTCTGACTGGTATGAGATGGTATCTCATTGTGGTTTTCATTTGCATTTATCTGATGATCAATAATATTGAGCTTTTTTTCATGTTTTTTGGCTACATAAATGTTTTCTTTGAGAAGTGTCTGTTCGTATCCTTTGCCTACTCTTTGATGACTTTTTCTTTCTTGTAAATTTGTTTAATTTCTTTGTAAATTCTGGATATTAGACCTTTGTCAGATGGGTAGATTACAAAAATTTTCTCCCATTCTGTAGGTTGATTGTTTACTCTGATGATAATTTATTTTGCTGTGCAGAAGCTCTTCCAGTATAATTAGTTCCCATTTATCAATTTTGGCTGATTGCAATTGCTTTTGGCATTTTTATCATGCCTATGTTCCTCAATGGTATTGCCTAGGTTTTCTTCTAGGGATTTTATGATTTTAGGTCTTATGTTTAAGGCTTTAATCCATTTTGAGTTAATTTTCATTTATTGTGTAAGGAAGGGGTCCAGTTTCAGTTTTCTGCATATGACTAGACTGTTTTCCCAGCACCTTTAACTGAACAGGAGACCGTTACCCCATTGCTTGTTTCTGCGGGTTTGTCAAATATCAGATGGTTGTAGATGTGTGGTGTTATTTCTGAGGTGTATGTTCTGCCTCATTGGTCTATATGTCTGTTTTGGTACCAGTATCATGCTCTTTTGGTTACTACAGCTGTGTAGTAAAGTTTGAAGTCAGGTAGCATGATGCCTCCAGCTTTGCTCTTTTTGCTTACGATTGTCTTGGCTATATGGGGTCTTCTTTGACTCCATGTGAAATTTAAAAGAGTTTTTCCTAATTTTGGGAAGAATGTCAATGGTAGTTTGATGGGAATAGCATTGAATCCACAAATTATTTTGGGCAATGTGGCCATTTTTATGATACCAATTCATCCTATCCATGAAGATGGAATGTTTTTTATTTGTTTGCATCCTCTCTTACTTCCTTGAGCAGTGGTTTGTAGTTCTTCTTGAAGAGAGAAGTACACATCCCTTGTTAGCCGTTTTCCTAGGTATTTTACTCTCTTTGTAGCAATTGTAAATCGGAGTTCACTCAGGATTTGGCTCTCAGTTTGTCTTTTGTTGCTGTATAACAATGCTTGTAATTTTTGCACATTGATTTTGTATCCTGATACTTTGCTGAAGTTGCTTATCAGTTTAAGGAGTTTGGGGGGCTGAGAGGATGGGGTTTTCTAAATATACAATCACGTCATCTGCAAGCAGAGACAGTTTGACTTCCTCTCTTTGTATTTGAATACCTTTTATTTCTTTCCCTAGTCTGATTGCCCTGGCCAGAACTTCCAATACTATTTTGAACAGGAATGGTTAGAGAGGGTATCCTTGTCTTGCACCGGATTTTAAAGGGAACACTTCCAGCTTTTGCTCATTCATATGATATTGGCTGTGGCTTTGTCATAAATAGCTCTTATTATTTTGGAATGTGTCCATTAGTACCTAGTGTTTTGAAGGTTTTTAACACGAAGGGATGTGGAATTTTATCAAAGTCATTTTCTGCATGTACTGAGATAATCATTTGTTTTTTGTTGTTGGTTTTGCTTCTGTGATGGAGATTACTTTTATTGATTTGCGTATGTTGAACCAGCCTTGCATTTCAGAGCTGAAGCCAACTTGATCATGGTGGATAAGGTTTTTGATGTGCTGCTGGATTTGGGTTGCCAGTATTTTACTGAGGATTTTTGCATCAATGTTCATCAGGGATAATGTCCTGAAGTTTTCTTTCTTTGTTGTGTCTCTTCCCAGTTTTGTATCAGGATGATGCTGGCTTCATAAAATGAGTTTGAGAGGAGTCCCTCCTTTTCAATTGCTGGAATAGTTTCAGAAGGAATGATACTGTCTCCTCTTTGTATTTCTGGTTGAATTCAACTGCAAAGCCATTTGGTGCTGGGCTTTTTCGGGTTGGTAGGCTATTAATTACTGCCTCAATTTCAGAAATTGTTATTGGTCTATTCAGGGACTGGAATTCTTCCTGATTTAGTCTTGGGAGGGTGTATGTGTCCAGGAATTTATCCATTTCTTCTAGATTTTCCAGTTTATTTGCATAGACGTGTTTATAGTGTTTTCTGATGATAGTTTGTATTTCTGTGGCATCAGTGGTGATATCCCCTTTATCATTTTTTATTGTGTCTATTTGATTCTTCTCTCTTTCCTTCTTTATTTGTGTAGCTAGTGATCTATTTTGTCAATTTTTTTCAAAAAAAATAGCTCCTGTATTTATTGACGTTTTTGGAGGATTTTTTTCTTTTCTCTGTCTCCTTCAATTCTTCTCTGATCTTAGGTTTTTCTTGTTTTCTGCTAGCTTTTTGATTAGTTTTTTTTTTTTTTTTTTCTGCTGTAACTCTTTTAATTGTGATGTTAGGGTATTAATCTGAGATATTTCAAGGTTTCTGATGCGGGCATTTAGTGCTATAAATTTCGCTGTTAACACTGCCTTAGCTGTGTCTTCGAGATTCTGGTACATTGTCTCTGTGTTCTTGTTCATTTCAAAGAACTTCTTGATTTCTGCCTTAATTTGATTATTTGCCCTGGAGTAATTTGGGAGCAGAGTTTTCAGTTTTCATGTAATTGGGTCGTTTTGAGTGAGTTTCTTAATTCTGAGTTCTAATTTGATTGCCCTGTGGTCTGAGAGACTGCTATAATTTCCGTTCTTTAGCATTTGCTGAGGAGTGTTTTACTTCCAATTATGTGCAAGATTTTATAATCCGTGCCATGCGGCACTGAGAAGAATATATATTCTGTTGATTTGGGGCAGAGAGTTCTGTAGATGTCTACTAGGTCCACTTGATCCAGAGCCGATTTCAAGTCCTGAATATCCTTGTTAATTTTCTATCTCGTTGATCTGTCAAATACTGAAAAATATTGAATGCTTCATGAATTTGCATGTCATCTTTGTGCTGGGATCATACTAATTTTTCCTGTATCATTCCAACTTTAGTATATATGCTGCTAAAGCAAGCACTACCTTCCATTTATAAGCAATCGAAATAAGACACAATATTCAGAAACACTGATTTTGTGTATTTAACAAAAATCATTACAGGACTGATATTCTCCAGGGAGAAACCAACCAAACCAAACAAACATCAAGTAAATCCTACATTGACTCCAGCGTTTTGCCTGGAGGTGATGAAGGATAATATTAATTCAAAACAGTGATAATTTAAGGGTGGAAAATTGAATCTTTACATCATCCACTAAAAATAGTATTGCTGCATACCTAATAGCTTCCCAGACTAGTAGCTGCAAACAACACAGCAAACCATCTCACAGTTTCTACAGCTTGAAGAACCTGAACTCAGTTTGACTGGGTTTTCTGCCTCATGATTTCTTATAGACTACAGCCAAATTTTAACTCAGGTGTATGATTTCACAGGAAGGCTCATTAATTCTGGGTTCATTTTTTCAGGGCTGTAGCACTCAGGGCCTCCGTTTCTACCTGATTTTTGACAGGAGGCCACTTTGTTGGCCTCTCCAATATGGTATCTTTCATTTGTTTTATTAAAGCATGCAAGCTGGGAAGGTGATAGGCAATGTTCTATTGAAATTGGAAGCACATATAAGCCAGAAAGAGGCAGATAGCTACATCAGGTTTTTGTTTTGTTTTGTTTTAATTTTGGCTTTTGTTTGTTTGTTTGTTTTTTGCTTATGTTTGTTTGTTTGTTGGCTTTTTGAGATGCTGTCTCTGTCTCCCAGGCTGGAGTACAGTGGTGCAATCTTAGCTCACTACAAACTCCATCTCCCAGGTTTAAATGACTCTCCTGCCTCAGCCTCCCGAGTAGCTGGGATTATAGGCATGCGCCACCATGCCTGGCTAATTTTTTCTATTTTAAGTAGAGATGGGTTTTCATCATGTGGGGCAGGCTGGCCTGGAACTCCTGAACTCAATTGATACACCTGCCTAGGCCTCCCAGAGTGCTAGGATTACAGGCATGAGCCACCATGGCCAGCCATCTACACCATGTTTTGCTTTCTGAAAAATTCAGTGCTGTTAGAATAATCTTCTCAATAATTGGCAGGATATCAATTTGAGGGACTCAGGTAGTCCCACCTAGTGCTATGCACAAAAAGAAAAACAAAACAACGGAAACAAAAGCATATGATTCCAAGTATTGATTATGTCAATCTAGCTGTGCAACAGAAAATAAAGTTTTTAGAAGGTATTTGTAGGAGTTCTTTTTGGCATTAGAGTAAGTAGGAGTTTTTCAAAGAAGATGCAAATGTGTTTCATCATAATTTAATCAAGGAATTAGTAAGTGGTACTTACTTAAACTCCAAATATTCTGTTCTGCAAAAGGTGCCATGACAAGAATAGAAGTTTATGCCCAGCAGAGCATATGCATCTATAATCCCAGCTACTCTGGAGGCTGAGGTGAGAGACATGAGCCCAAGAGTTCGAGACCAGCCTGGGCAACATAATGAGATCCTGCCTCAAAATAAATAAATAAATAAATAAACTTTATAGATGTGATGAATATATTCCACAAGGGTTTGTGTTTTCGTCCAAAATATATAATGGATTCCAAATGAAAATGTGTGAATAATTTACTAGCTTTTTAAAAAAGCATATCTGATTTCCCAATAAACTTAATAAAAATGTCTAGCAACAAGGGAAGGGATATGAACCACCATGATATGGCAGTAAATACTCACTTGAACAAAACAAAACAAAACAAAACTGACAAAACAGGTCAGAATGTGTATCTCCTGAACTAGCACATAAAACTTTATGCTGGCTGGGCACAGTGGCTCATACCTGTAATCACAGCACTTTGGGAGGCTTAGGTGGGAGGATCACTTGAAGCCAGGAATTCCATACCAGCTTGGACAGCATAGTGAGAACCAGACACTACAAAAACTAAAAAACTAGCTGTGCATGTGGTGAGCACTTGTATTGCCAACGACTTTGGAAGCTGAGTTGGGAGGATCACTTGAGCCCAGTTGCTCTATACTGCAGCGAGCTATGACCACACCTCTGTACTCCAGCCTAGGTGACAGAGCAAGATCCTGCCTATAAAAGCAAAAGCAAAACCAAAACCAAAATATCTTAAAGCTGAATGAATAAATTCCCTAGCACCTGGAATTTTCACTCCAATATATGTGCCCAAGAAAATATTGTACACAGTAAACCTACTGGCACACATACAATACATTTCATGATAGCATTTTGTTAATAATCCCTACATGGAAACAATCAAGGTAACAATCAACAAAAGATCCATAAAGAGATTTGGGGAAAGCTACAGAGCAAGAAGAATGAATGTGCCAGTGCCAAGTGAGACGGAATTATAAATTTGGTGAACATAATGTTGAATAAAACACTTAGGCAGAGTTGCAAAAGAACATAGTATATATTTCCATCATTCTATGCCTGGATTTGCATAGTGCTTTTCCAGCATCCTGATGTGGTGGCAGTTCGCTGAGCTGTATTCATATGATTTGTGCCCTTCTCTCTCTGCATATTGTAATTGAATAAAGTGAGTGTATTTAAAAACGAAACAAGGCTGCATCAATATTCCCAGGGACTTGTCAGGCTGGATGAAACTAGAATTACATGATGATGAAACCATCCAAAGAAATAACTATCTAGTCGGTATTTCTGCTGGAATATCTACTTCAGTCAGAACTTGGGACATGTCAGAGAGAAGTTCTTCAGAAATGCCATGATAAAACAACTGTGAATTATTTAGAAAGCAAGCTTACAATTGTAAAACTATACCTTTACTTCCATGAAACTCTTCTTTTGACCCCCACCAAGCAAACAAACAGGTTTGTGAGGCATTATACATCATTCCATTTCCTTTCACTTCACAATGATTCAATCTTTTCTAAAATATTGTGATTTTGTTACCAAAAACAATGGGAAAAAATGATAAGTAACTGTAAAACTCTTTTTGAAATTTTTGCAGATTTCTTTAGAAGAACTTACAATGGATCTTCTGAATATATTCTATTCCTCTAAATTTTACTCAAATAAGGAAAACGTTACCATTTTATTTTACAATACCTGTTGAAAGCATTTAGAATAAAGTCATATGTTCACCTCTAAATATTTTCATTTATATTCAGAGTTGTCATTTTAAATTACAACTAGAATATTTATCTGTGTTATAATTTAACACAAAGATTACAAGCATCAAACAGAAACACTTTGAGAAGGATTAATCATTATGAAAGTAATGATGAGAAAAAATATATATATTTTTAGGAAGAGATCATGAGTAGGCTTATTCTAGTTAAAAACATAGTATAACTTTATGTTTCATGAATTTTTATATACATTTTCATAGCTGTGGAAAGGAACTGAAGTAAAGTATATTCACACACTGCAACGTATTGCTGAAAATAATGTTTTTCTTGTATTAGGGACAGCCATAGTAATTTAGGAATTAAAAATTGTATATGAGAAGGATGAAAGCAAGAACATGAACAACTGTAGGAAAAGCCTGCTGAGCATGAGACAGAAAATTGAATTTAAGCTAAGGAAGAGTAATTTTAATACCATTAAAAGGTAAGCAGGTCTTCTAGACATTTCTGAGGTGGATACTTCCAAATTGTGAAGAACTGATTAAAGGACACTCTCCAAAGAGGAGGAGAAAACAAATTATTCAAAGTATTTGCAATGCAAATGCACCTTTTGTTAAATTAAAGCAAGGATTACGTAGTGTTTATTAGATCAAATGAAGAGATAACATGATTATGCAAAATTTATCATGAACACAGGTCATGAACATAGGTCTAAAGATTGTAAGTTGAAACGGTTGCAGTTTGACTAATCAAATCAACCTTAGACATGCTGTGGCTACAAATGGCAGTGATTCTGAGCTGTTTGTATAATTTTATCTTTAAAGATTATTTTCAAGAGCCTTTTTCATATTGACAATATAGTAATCCAGGAAGAGGTATGCATTGTATCTGGAAGGGGTCTGTATCAGTATCAGTGGATACAATTATTAAAATTGATGCAATTGTTATAATTGATCCCACTGTTACAACTGATACAATTTTAACAAAATGTTAAATAGCAGCCAGAAAAGATTTGCAAAAAAATTACAACAATTGAATCACACTTATTATTTTGATAAGAAACAGCCTTTCAGCCCAAATAAAAGGAGGTTATATAAGTAACACATGAATCTGACTCTGACCCACAATATCTAAGTGAATTGACAAAGTTTTATTCTGTTACTTGGTAGGTTGTGGTGTTTTTCATGACTTTAAGTGCCCCATTTCACCCTATTGCTAGGAAACCTTAACTGTATTTTGATTGCCTGCAGGAAAACTAACTGAAAGCTTAGGTATATGAAACATGCAAGATACACATTTTTCCATAGACTGTACCAGTGAAATTTATTCAGGGAATAAAAGAGCACTTGGATACAAAAATGTACTTTTGGATTTGTTTTTTAAGTAGTTTGGGTTTGGTGTAGAGCAAACTCTAATGAAATCTATGTATAATGTCAAATTTCAAAATGTTATTATGGATTAACATTTTAGGAAGTGCAGGCTCATGGAGGAAATGATGTTCAGACAATGGCCATAGGTTCAGAAAAAAGAAAATTAAAGAAGGACCCCTAGAGAAATTACTGAGGCTACAGTAGATAGCAAAGTTTACAGATGGTGATGCAGGAGGAGATAAAGCTATTCAATTCTGATTTATGACATCAAATCTTCAAAAAAATTTTGGAGAAAAATTGTGCCTTGAAATGTTTAGTCTCAATAAAAAATAATTTATTGAGCAAACCAATCTGTGACAGCATTATTTGCCTCAAGAAATATATAGTCTATCTAAGGAAGAGTATAGAACAAATACATACATTTTTTAAATTTCAGATTTTATGTTGGATGCAGGGGTACATCTACAGGTTTGTTACAAGGGTATATTGTGTGATGCTGGGGTTTGGGGTCTGACTGATCCCATTACCCATGTAGAGAGTGTGCCTGTATTATGTATACCCAGGTATATATAATATATATATACACAAATATTAAATATTATAAGAAAGATAAATAACACATTACTAATATAAAAGATGTATACATTACCAGTAGGCAGAAACTAAATAGGGGGAAAATATTTAGATTAAATATTGAACATGGGTATTAAATTCACAGGCAGAATTGTGAAAGACTAGTGCAGAGTGATGTCAGTAAGTTAAGCTTGAGGTCAATATTTTTTAAAGAAAAGAACCACATGCAATTTCACTGGTTGCACTCTGTGGATTCCTAAAAATATTTAAGCAGGAACTGATCTAAGATTAAGTTTACTTACATGGAATTGGAATGAAACTGGCCATATAGGTGATAGGGAATGTATTTCAAAGCTTGCATGTCAGAATAGAAGTCTGTTCTTCTAAGAGTGTTCACTTTTGATGATATATGGCAAAGGTATGACATTTTATCTGAGAGGAAATGTAGCCTGTGAAAATTTTAATGGAACTTTTGGCAGTCGAAATTATCCTACTTCCTGCTGGCCCTATGAGTAAGTTAAAAAAAATACCATTAAATCTCAGTTTTGTTTTTTTTGGTAGGAAATAATCACTCCTACACAGATCATGAATTAGTTGGACACAGCAAACACACAGGTTATTTTTCACTTTACTCATTTGGTTTCTATTAAACACAATGTTGTCTCAATTTATTTCAATCCAGAACCAAGAAAAATGGCAAAAAAAAAATACTTATTTTAACTCTAGTAACAAAAGGGACTGAGTTATTCTGTTAAGTAAGAAGAAATTATTGAAGAGTTTGGACCTCCTCTTCTGTATATGCAATTACAAATCAACAAAGGATTAAACACTTTTTTAGTTATTATGTTTTTAGAGCTGGTGTCTTATTCTGCTGCCCTGGCTGGAGTGCAGTGGTGTGATCTTAGTTCAGCAAAGCCTTGACCTCCTGGGCTCAAGCAATCTTTCTGACTCAAGATTTGACACTTTACTATAATATATTTCAATCATAAGTTAATTTGAAATTGATTTCCAATAAAGACAAAATGAAAGATGAGTAATTAGGACATATAGCCCTGGCCTTAATCCCTGGATATCAATAGTACTGTTCCCCAGTTTGGGCAACTGAAAAGTGTTCAAATATCTCCTAAGCGGCCAAATAATCCCAGTAGGGAACCAGTCAATGGAAAGATGGAGCATGGAGCTTGAAATCTATAGGAGAAATGACAATGTATACATCCAGGATATTTGTTGGATGTGCATAGTCTATTATTCTGTCTATACTGCATATTGTGCAGATCCATTTGTAGTAATAATTAATAAAGTATTTTCTGATGTAGTTAGTAAGCAAGTCCTCATTATTTGCTTTTATATATTCAAAGCTCTAAAGTAACATCACATCTCTCCTTCCTTCTTTCCTTCCCTCCCTCCCTCCTTTCTTTCTCTTTTTCTTTCTTTCTTTCTTCCTCTTTCTTTTCTTTTTCTTTCTTTCTTTCTTTCTTTCTTTCTTTCTTTCTTTCTTTCTTTCTTTCTCTTTCTTTCTTTCTTTCTCTGTTTCTTTCTTCTTTCTTTCTTTCTTTCTTTCTTTCTTTCTTTCTTTCTTTCCTTTCTTTCTTTCTTTCTTTCCCTTTCTTTCTTTCTTTCTTTCTTTCTTTCTTTCTTTCTTTCTTTCTTTCTTTCTATTTCTTTCTTTCTTTCTCTCTCTCTCTCTCCCCCCCTTTCCTCCTCCTCCCTTCCACTACTTACCCCTCGCTTTCCCTTACTTTCAAGACATGGTCTTGCTCTGTCACCCAGGCTGGAGTGCAGTAGTATGATGATAGCTCACTGAAGCCTCAACCTCCTGGGCTCAAGCAATTCACCTGCCTCAGCCTCCCAAGTACTGGAACTACAGGCATGCACCACCCCACTCACCTAAACTTTGAAAATCCTTTATAGACATTGGTGCTTTCTGTGTTTCCTAGGCAGGTCTTGAACTCTTGGCCTTAAACCATTCTCTAGCCTCCGCCTCCCAAAGTGCTGGGATTACAGGCGTGAGCCACCACACCTTGCCAAGAGTAACATCATTCCTAAAGTGAGCCTTACTCAAGACCCAATTTTCCTTTTCTAATTAGTGGCATATTCCAGAAAAAAAAATGGTCAAGAGATTGCCGTTTTCTGACTTCTTATTTATTTATGTATTTATTTAGACAGAGTCTCATTTTGTCACCTAGGCTGGAGTACAATGGAGCAATCTTGGCTCACTTCAACTTCTACCTCCACAGCTCCAGCAATTCCTCTGCCTCAGTCTTTCAAATAGCTGGGATTACAAGCTCACACCATAACGCTCCCCCAGCTTTTTGTTTTTTGTTTTTGGTTTTTTTTTTTGTATTTGTAGTAGAGGGTCAGGCTGTTCTCAAACTCCTGATCTTGAGTCATCTGCCCACCTCATCCTCCCAAAGTGCTGGGATTACAGACATGAGCCACCACAACTTGCCAAGAGTAACATCATTTCTAAAGTGAGCCTTACTCAAGACCTAATTTTCCTTTTGTGATTGGTGGCATATTGCAGAGAAAAAAATGGTCAAGAGATTGTCATTTTCTGTCTCTCTCTCTCTATATATATGTGTGTGTGTATATATAGATACACACACACATATATATACGTGTGTGTATCTATATATACACACACACATAAATATATACTATATATACTGTCTAAATATATACATATATTTATATATATATATATACACACATATATACACACACATATTTAGACCTATAGACTATATATGTGTGTGTATATGTGTATATACGCACACATATACATGTATGTATTTTTTTTTTTTTTTAGACAGAGTCTCATTTTGTCGCCTGGGCTGGAGTGCAATGGCGAGATCTCGGCTCACTTCAACCTCCCCCTCCCTGGCTCAAGCAATTCTTCTGCCTCAGCCTCCCAAATAGCTGGGATTACAAGTGCCCACCATAATACTTCCCCAGCTATTTTTTGTATTTGCAGTACTGACAGGGCCAGGCTGTTCTCAAACTCCTGATCTCAAGTGATCTGCCCACCTCATCCTCCCAAATTGCTGGGATTATAGGCATGAGCCACCACGCCTGGCCCCTACTTCAAATATTTCTAAATTATGTATTAAGATGCAATTTTAATATATGGAGGTAAAATATTGATGTTTTTATCACAATGACTAATGTGTGAGAAAAGTCTTGTTAATTTCTATACTGGTACCCTATATGGATTACATATATTTTTATGGCACACATTTTACACCATTCCCAAAATATATATGTTGAAGTCCTAACTCCCAATGTGACTGGATTTGGAGATGGAATCTTTAAAGAGGTGATTAGGATAAAATGAAGTCCCAAGGGTGAGTCCTAATCCCATAGGACAGGACTGGGAATCTTATCAGAATAGGAGATGAGGACACAGACACACACAGAGGGACAACCATGTGAAGGCCTGGGGAGAAGTTGGCATCTACAAGCCAAAGAGAGAGACCTTAGCAGAAACCAGCCTTGTCTACATCTTGATCTCACACTTACAGCCAGCAGAATATCCTTTGTTTAAACCAGCCAGTCTGTGTTATTTTGTTATGCCACTCTAGCAAACTAACATTTGTATGTTTTGCATTACAAAAGCTCTTGGATAAACAATCTTGGCACTTAAGTGTAAAATTTATAATAAAATGGAATAAAAGTATATTTTTTTTCTGAGATATTGATATATATCTTGTCTACCTTTGAGTTTTATCAAATGGATAAAGCCTAGGAATAAAAAAATGTAATTGTTGACATTATGTTAAATTTCAGTTTATCTGAGGTAATTCATGATCCCAGTAGAAACTGCAAATATTTTTTCTTTATTTCTTCACTTGCATAAACATAATATTTCTTCAGATTATCACTGCATTTTCTAAAGTTGTTGCCATTTCTTTAATACCTTTTATTAATCATGTTCAGACTTTGTTCCTGTCTTTAGTTAGCTGTTTTTAAATCTAGCTGACACAATGCCAGACACTCCTATTTCAACACTGTAATAGAAAAATACTTCAGCTAAATATTAAAATAAAACCTCCATTGACTTAAGCTCTTTTTGTGTTTATGATTTCTGCCCATGAATGATTTAGAAAACAAATGTCTATATGTGTTACGGATTTAATTTTTACATATCACCTCTTTGCCACAGTAAGTCAATAGGGAGTTCTTTTCATGTAAATTAGTGCCAATTTAGACTTCTCAAGATGAGAACCACTACATTTCAGGAAAAAATAGGAAATTTAGAAGAGAGTTAACATACTGTTTATTATACAATATTTATTTTATAAGCAAAATTAAAAATCATTTTCCAAAATATCGATGTAGTGTTATATATATCATAAAGTACATAAAAGAACACATTATCAGAACTGTGACATAGAAGGGAAACTGTAGTTTATAAGTCATAATACTAGAAACTTTCTGTTTTGGAAACAGGATGTAAGAGACGAAACTAGTAGTTATAAAAATGAAATGCCTTGTGAATACTTATAGAAGTTTCCAGTCAGGAATATTTTATATTGACTGGGCATGGTAGCTTACACCTCTAATCCCGATACATTAGGAGGTTAAGGAAGGGGGATTACTTGAGGCCAAGAGTTTGAGGGTGCAGTGAGCTAGGATCACGTCACTGTACTCCAGCTGGGATGACAGCATGTGGCCCTGATTCTAAAAATCAAGCAAACAAACAAACAAACAGAAAAGACTATCTTATACTCATTAAACAGATGAAATTATACTAAAGTTAATATAATTGATCAAGATGTGTAATCTATTATTTCTTTATTATTATTATTATACTTTGAGTTGTGGGGTACATGTGCAGAACGTGCAGGTTTATTACGTAGGTATACATATGCCATGGTGGTTTGCTTCACCCATCAATCCATCATCTACATTAGGTATTTCTCTGAATGCTGTCCTTCCCCTAGTCCCCCAACTCCAGACAGGCTTTGATGTGTGATGTTCCCCTCTATGTGTTCTCATTGTTCAGCTCTCATTTACGAGTGAGAACATCTGGTGTTTGGTTTTCTGTCTTGTGTTAGTTTGCTGAGAATGATGGATTTCAGCATCATCCGTGTCCCTGCAAAGGACATGAACTCATCCTTTTTCATGGCTGCATAGTATTCCATGGTGTATATTGCCACATTTTCTTTATCCAGTCTATCATTGACAGGCATTTGTGTTGGCTCCACATCTTTCCTTTTGTGAACAGTGCAGCAATAAACATACATGTGCATGTCTCTATAGAGTGATTTAAAATCCTTTGGGTATATATCCAGTAATGGGATTGCTGGGTTCAATGGTATTTCTGGTTCTAGATACTTGAGGAATTGTCACACTGTCTTCCACAATGATTGAATAATCTACACTCCAACCAACAGTGTAAACACATTCCTATTTCTCCACACCCTCCCCAGCATCTGTTGTTTCCTGACTTTTTAACGATTGCCATTCTAACTGGTGTGAGATGGTTTTGACTTGGATTTTTCTAATGACCCATGATGATGAGCTGTTTTTCATGTTTGTTGGCTGCATAAATGTCTTCTTTTGATAAATGTCTGTTCATATCCTTCACCCGTTTTTTGATGGGTTACTTTTTTTCTTGTAAATCTGTTTAAGTTCTTTGTATATTCTGAATATTGGCCCTTTGTCAGATGGATAGATTGCAAAAATTGTCTCCCAATCTGTAGGTTGCTTCTTCACTCTGATGATAGTTTATTTTGCTGTGCAGAAGCTCTTTGGTTTAATCAGACTGTATGTGTCAATTTTGGCTTTTGTTGCCATTACTTTCAGTGTTTTAGTCATGAAGACCTTGCCCATGCCAATGTTCTCAATGGTTTTGCCTAGGTTTTCTTCTAGCGTTTCTATGGTTTTAGGTGTTATGTTTAAGTCTTTAATCCATCTTGAATTAATTTTTGTATAAGGTGTAAGGAAGGGATCCAGTTTCAGCTTGCTGCATATGTCTAGCCAGGTTTCCCAGCACCACTTGTTAAATAGAGAATCCTTTCCCATTGCTTGTTTTTTTCAGGTTTGTCAAAGAATAATCTGTTATTTCTAATACAGAGTACTGCATGGCATATGAACTATAACCAATAAGTTGGCAATTGAGATAAATATGTAAAGAAGATTTATTTCATAAAATGATTTGGATACACAAAACAGAATCTCTACTGTATATGTTCACTAAGTATAGAAATATTTTATGTGAGTTTGCAATGGAATCAGTAAAAATTAACTACCCTCTTTGAATAGACAGAGAATGAATATTTACAGGGAACCTCGTATTAAAATTAATCCAGAATTTAAATGCGAAGAAGATAATCTTTAATGTTTTCTTGAGGTTAATGCTTAGTTTTAATTAAGATCATTAAACATTTTTGCAAATTTCAAATTTTCTAGTTGGTTATTGTGTCAGCCCATCCTCAGGTAGGATGATATGCTGGAGAACTTATGGTACCCAGAAAATCTATCATGTTAATGGTTATGGATGATTACAGTGAAAGGTTACAGGTTAGAATCAACAAAGGAAAAGGGGCATATGGCTGAGTTCAGGAAACAAGGCACAAGTTGTCCCCTTTGATTTGACTTATAAGAAACAATGTGTAACATCAACAATGTATGACATCAACAATGTATTACAATACTTACGAAGCATTGTTGACTAGAGAGGCTCACCTGAGACTTGATGTCCAGGGTTTTTATTGGGGTTTAGTTATTTAGACATGGAGACCTAAAGTTAGCATTTGATTAAGAACTATTAATGAAACATCAATGATAAGAATTTACCATTGAGTGCTGTTCTTTCGCCTTAATACTTATTGAGTACACCTGGGATCTTATCCCTTGCTAACATGTTAAATACAAATGTGTTTCAGGCATAAAATGGGTGGCTTATCAACAATAAAAATTTGTTTCTTATAATTCAGGAGTCTGGAAAGTGCAAGAGTAATGCTGATTGAATTTCTGGTGAGGGCCAATTTTCTGTACATAGATGGTGACTTCCGGTTGTTTCTTCTTTTATAAGGATACAAATCTTCATGAGGGTTCTGTCCTCATGATTTAATCACTTTCCAAACACCTCATCTCATAATGCCATCAATTTGATGATTAAGTCTTCAACAAAAAAAATTCAGAAGGTACACACATTTAGAACCTAGCAATATATAATTGGAAATTTGCATAAATACTAGTGCTATCTTGTGATGAAATGCAGATCTAGACACACTCAGTAATTTACCTTAATGTTACATCCAGCTACTAAAATGAGAGACCAAGGGACTAACATCAAATCCACCACATTTAAATAATGCTATTAGAGAGATAAGAGAAAAACACAGAGATATATATGCAAGTGGATAAATCTGAAACTTTTGCCTGAACCTAGACAATAAGACTGTCACGGTGCTGTGGTTTATATTGAGTCACAACTGAATAATAGATAGGGTCAGTGTTTGGAGTTCAAAGGAGAAGAAGGATTTTGTCCCAAGTTTGTCAGGAGTGGGAAACAATTATGGATTCTTGCTAGACTAATAAAAGAGAACTGGGTCTCCTGCCTGACCCACTCTTTTCCATCCAGATGCTGATATTATACTAAAATCACCTCAGATGATCCTTACGAAGGCAGTGTGAAGTTGAATGGATGAGTAGAGTGACTGCAGAGCATAGATTCTGCCACAACTGTTTATGTCTCTCCACCCTACCCTGTGCCCAGGATTGAGTTTTGTATAATAATAGGATCCATTGACTTGAGGCTTCCATGTGGGCTAAACTAAGATTTCAAAAGATGGCAGGGGATTGAGATTAGAGATTTCCATCATGGCCTTCCTGCTTGCAGAACCAGCTTAGGCATGCAGTGTCTCTCAACCTAAAATGACTGGTGATCCCAATGTGACCTTTTCTATCTACCCCATTTCTTTCAGGTTTCTAGAAGCTGATTTCCTCTCAGTCACTGATGTGTTTGCATGACTTGCAAGCAATGTCATGACAACCCTTGATCTGCCTTGGTATGGTGGCTCATGTTTGTAATCCCAGCACTTTGAAGGGCTGAGGTAGGAGGATTGCTTGAGGCTAGGAGTTCAAGATCAGCCTGGGCAATATAGTGAGACCCCATCTCACGATAAAAAATAGAAAAATTAGGTAGGCATGGGGGTGAATGCTTCTAATCCCACCTATTCAAGAGGCTGAGGCAGGAGTATTGATTGAGCCTGGGAAGTGGAGGCTGTAGTTAGTTGTGATCACACCACCGTACTCCAGCCTGGGCAACAAAGAAAGACTCTGTCTCAGACAAACAAAGAAACAAATAAAAAACACAAAAATATAAAGAAAGAGCTTTTGTTCTGTACTACGTTTTTCCAGGATATTTGTGTAGTGAGTGGCCTTAGATGGTAGAGATAATGTCCACATTTGTTGGCTTTCCTGGATAATAAAAACAATTCCCCCCAGCACAGCTAAGTTTGGGAAGGTTTATTATTCTTCCAATAGTTAATGTTTCCCTGACAAATTCCAGCAAGTCCATCAAGCATTCTTTAGTGTGATTTCCTGAATACCAGCCTCATTACTGTTGGGTTGGACCCTTGTAATTTTTACGATTCTATTAGTTGTATACCTTCTGGTTAAGACATTGAAGTACTAGGAGATGTTTTGGATGATGCTAAAGGGGTCAAGTTTATGGAACTAGATTTAGTAAAGGAGGTGAATCAGACTACTTTGGGGTTCCTGGAGGGGAAAGATACCATTTTCTGGGGGTCTGAATTTGTATTTAAATGTTTTGAGGTATTCTTAGCACTAACATTATCAAACCCCACATTCTTCTCTGTTCTGTGTTTCTTTCATCACAGGAGCGCTGGCTGATTTATTCTGCCTAGACGAGGGCTTCTGGGAAGCAATTGCACAATCCCTTTCTTAGGAACTTTTGCCCAAAGTGCCTTATAGACCTAGAAGATGCCTAGGTTTATTTAATTATTGTGAAATTGGGGAGAAATGCAGAGCTTTTTCATATGGAAAAGGAAATGCTTCCAAGAAGGCAGTCTTCAATTCTGTGAAGGTCAAGTTGGCAAGCAGCAAAAGAGTCATTGTATTTTTCTTTTTCCCATTGGCTATGCAATTTGGAAATCTTGAATAAATCTCACTATCCTAAGGCGGGCATATCCATTTCTAACTTCAGATTGTAGAGGGACCTCAGACACATTAGATTCAAGAGAATAATGTTGGAACAAGCTGGAATTTAAAAAGTAGAAGAATAACAAGAAACACACCAAAAGACACAGGAAAACACACATATGTATAAATACACACACACACACACACACACACACACACACACACACACAGGAATTAGCAAATACTCATGTCATAAAAACATAGCATCAAAGTTCTCATACAGATTTGAACTTGTAGCATGAGAAATGAAGGTAGATTTATCTCTCTGTGTGTGCCCATCATTATGCATGCACATAAGTGAAAAAAATGATTAAATATGTGAATATATGCATATTAAATAGCCTTGTAACTCTGGAGGTGAAACAATTGTATTGTCCTGGAGTAAGTATAGAGAAGCATCAGTTTTGTGTTTTCTTTTTTTAAATAATAATGAGCTATCAGGGTCATCATTGCTCATAGTTAATTCTTTGATATGGTTTGGCTCTGTGTCCTCACCCAAATCTCATCTGGGATTGTAATTCTCATAATCCCCATATGTTGAGGAAAGGACTGGTGGGAGGTGATTGTATCATGGTGGAGGCTCCCCCATGCCATTCTCATGATGTGAGTGAGTTCTCTGGAGATCTGATGGCTTTATAAGTGTTTGACAGTTCCTCCTTATTATGTATGTATGTATGTATGTATGTATGTATGTATGTATTTATTTTTGAGATGGCGTATCACTGTGTTGCTCATGTTGGAGTGCAGTGGCATGATCTTGGCTCACTGCAACCTCCACCTCCTGGGTTCAAGCAATTCTCCTGCCTCAGCCTGACACTTTGTGAAGAAGGTATTTGCTTCTCCTTTGCCTTCCACCAGTACTGTAAGTTTCCTGAGGCCTCTCCATCCATGCAGAATAGTGAGTGAATTAAACCTTTCCGTTATAAATTACCCAGTCTCAGGCATCTCGTTATAGCAGCATAAGAATGAACTAATACACCCTCCATGTGTAGTGACGCAAAAAAGAGTGATAGTGGTAGAATTGAACACCAAAGAAATGAAAGGTTACTGCTTCTGCTAACATTGATGTTACTTGTATTTCAAATAGCACACCGAGAACACACCTATCCCAAATGTACTTGCCTTCAACATTAGACTTCATGGTGTACTTTTTGTGATGGTTTGAAAGAAGAGGTATAGCATTTTACATATGGACTTAACAGTCCTAAATGATGTTTAAAAATTTTCCTGAAGCTAGCAATACCACAAATTCCCTGGGCTTTTTGTCTACAATTGTACCAGTTCAGTAGTAGTATTCTCATTAATAACAACAGTCCTGTCTCCTGTTCTACCTAAATTTAATGAAAGAAAATAAAATTGATTCACGTTTTTGCATTGTAGCTAATTATTTTCAATCCCTGAATATGAGGGCTACATAAATGAATGACTTTAACGGTGAAACATTTTAATGCCAATCACTTGGAAAATCATAACATTTTACAATCACCATTAAACATGTTATGTATGTTTTAGGTGTTATAGTTATATGCAACATTCATTTAGTATTTTAAACATTGTCAGTTGGAATTTTTATATTAGTTTACTAAAAACATATTAATTTTCTTTTATACAGCCCAACTTAATTTCACCATTTCTCTAAAATTTTCCTCTAGTTAAAGATAACTTTTTCAGAATTCTGAAACAACTATTTTATAGTAATAGATTGTTAAATATGATTATATAAGTATGTATTATTTCTTTGATACCCACTGAGAAAATCATATGTCATATCGACAATGCTTTGAAATTCTTTAACATGAAATGACATTTATTTTGTAATTGAAGAGAAAGACTTCAAGTAAAAGAAAAATTAATGGCATAAATAACAATACAAATAATTATAGGAGTAATAATAAGCAACATGACCGGAAGGTTTACTATGTGTCAGGCAGTTTAAGGCATCAGTTAGGAGATTAATCATCACTATAAACTGGCCAGATGCAGTGGCTTATGTCTGTAATCCCACTGCTTTGGTAGAGAAAGGAGGCGGGATCATTTGAGGCCAAGAATCTGAGACCCTCCTGGGCAACATAACAAACACCTGTCTTACACACACACACACACACACACACACAAATTAGCCGTGCATGACGGTGTATGTCTGTAGACTCAGCTACTCTGGGGGTGTTGACATGGGAGGATTTCTTGAGCCCAGGATGTCAAGGCTGCAGTGAAATCTGGGACACTACAATCCATCCTGGGCAACAGAATGAGAAATTGTCTCTAAAAATAAAATAAATAAATAAATATTTTTTTAAAAAAAAAATTACCACAGCAAGCTGATGGAGGAGAAATTTGGCTGGGTTGATCTATAGATGAGGACACTAAAGTGAGAAGAAATGTTAAAACATCAACCAGGAATCCAGGTACAATATGGATTTTGATATCTGGGTGCCAACCTTGGGCAACATCCCCAACCACCACATTGTCCCTTAACTGGGTGCTAAATGCATGAACAGCATTTCCCAGGTAGAATTAGGAGAGACTGACATCACAGAGTTTGATTTTAGCAAAAATAATTAAGGCTAGAAAGGAGAAAATGGATTTAGCCTAATCCATCATGTGCTTTTCCTGTTCTCTGTATCACTCCAAGAATGTCAGCATCTGATGGGTGTGAAAAATCACACTTTTCTTGTACCTTGCACACTGTTTCCTTGTCTTGGGCCTTTCCTCATTATAATGGGACATACTTGTATCTCCATTCTTTCCATACTAGGAACTTTGGCTTCCGCTATGTATAATGTGGTTAATCGTGCGCTTAAATACCATCAAACTTCAAAATGTGTTTCCGAATGGGATTCTTATCCATGTTACCTTAAAGTTTCTTTTTTCCCAATAATAGGATATTCTTTAATAAGTGACCTCTTGGTCTAGATCATTAGTGTATATCTGCCCATATTGACAAGGATATAGCTTGATTTTTTTTTTTTTTTAAGAAATGTTGATGCTATTTCTAGGTTAGGCAAAAGTTTCCTACAGAAAAAAAAAAAAAAAAAAAAAAAAAAGCAGGGTGATAATATTAAAATTAGTTTTGGTCAAGCATGTTGGGTCACACCTGTAATCCCAACAATTTAGAAAATCAAGGTGGGAGGGTCGCTTGCGGCCAGGCATTTGAGAACAGCCTAGACAACATAGTGACACTTCATCTCTAAAAATAATTTATTTTTGAAAATTAGCTGGGTGTGGTGGCACATGCCTGTGGTTCTAGCTGTTTGGGAGGCTGAAGTGTGATGATTGCTGATCTCCAAAGAAAAAGGCTGTAGTGAACCATAATCATCCCATTTGCACTCCAGCCTGGGTCATAGAGTGAAATCTTATCTCAAAAACAAACATCAGTGTTTATTGCCTAAGTTTTCTTAATTTTTCATTAAGAAAAAGCCGTTGGTCATTTTTTCTGGTTTAACATTTTATGCTTATTTTATATATATTTTTAAGATTGATTTCTCAGTTTGAAACAAAGGTTTTCAGTAGCCTGCTAGGACAAGAATGTGATTGGAATGGAGAAATTTCTTCCATGTAAGTTTCAACTAAGGGCTATGTAATAATACAGAATAAATGATAGGGCCATTATTTTGATGAAACTATCCTTTACTTGAGGAAATTTTAACATCATGATGGGAAAAATTACCACTATTTTATAGTGTTATAGATTATCTATCATTACCTACTTTTATTCTGAACAGAAAAATTTGCAAGTGGAGCTGAAAGAAATCAGAATGTTAGAATCACATGCATGTCTCAAATAAACTCATTTTTCAAAACTTCACAAACATATTCCTTGTGATCAATTTTATTTACCAAAGGTGTTCAGAGCATTTCTTCCATTCCACAGACCCTTCATATAGAGCAACTTTAAAGCTTTAAGATTCTTCTCAGACAAAAGATTCTCCTGGCAGGTGTGTGTGCTCAAGCCTGAAATAATAGCATTTTGGAGGCCAGGGTGGGAGGATTGTTGAGGCCGGGAATTGGAGACCAGCAACATAGTGAGACCCTTTTTCTACAATGTAATAATAATAACTATTATTATTTTAAAATATAACCATGCATGGCAGTTCACCTCTGTAGTCCCAGTTACTTGGGAGGCTCAGGCAGGAGGATCACTTCAGTCCAGGAAGTTGAGTCTGCAGTGAGCCATGATAGAACCACTGCACTCCAGTCTAGGAGACAGAGCAAGACCATGTCTCAAAAATAAATTAATTGAATAAATAAGTAAATAAATAAATACATAAATAAATAAAAAGACGCTCTCTCCTCTGGAATCTGAGCAAGGCTGTGAAAACAGAGGAAGTGACACTATGTACATTCTGAGGCTGGATTGTAAATGAAGCCTAAGCCACTTCGGGGAGGTGCTTTGTACATTTCATCTGAGAGCTCTTACTGAGCCAGCATCCATCCACACACATAGGAGTGATGAAACCTTCACTTCATTCTATTCCTCAGCCACAGAGTGCCTCCCCGACTTTGTAAACTCCAAACACCACAGGCAAAGACAGCCATATACAACGAACCCTTTCAGAATCCCTAAAGCACAAAATCTTTAGCATAATAAAACAATTGCTCTTCTACAAGACTGAGTTAGGCATCGGTAGAGTTTGGATATTGGATCCGCCATAACTCATATTGAAATTTTATCCCCACGTTGTATGTGGGGCCTGGCGAGAGGTGTTTGAGTCATGGGGGTGGATTCCTCATGAATGACTTGGTGCCCTTTGGAAGGAGTGAGTCCCTACTGTATAGTTCATCTGAGCATGGCACCCCTCTTCCTCTGTCTTTTCCTCCCTTGCATATGACTCTCCATTTACCTTTCACATTTGCCATTACTGGAAGCATCCTGAGGTGTTTACAAGAAGAAAAGTCTTCTTATACAGCCTGAAAAATCGTGACTCAGGTAAACACCAGGCTTTATAAATTGGTAAATTACCCAGGCTCAGGTATTTCTTTATAGCAATGCAAAGCAGACTGAGACAGAGTTGATCTGTACATAAAAATAGAATAGGAAAACACGCTCACAGGACACAGACAAACATGTTTTCAAATGAAAGCTAAGAAGATTAAATAAGGTTCCAAATACATAAGCAATTATTTGCAAGACTATTACTTTTATAGTATTAGTATATTACTAAAATAATTATTTTCTTAATTATTGATGTGTGTATACATATTATCTATAAATATAGCTAATATAAATATGAATATATTTATATTATTTATAAATATAGTTCTATTTTTATGTATATCTATTATATTTATATTATTTATGTATAGATATAAATAATAACAATAATTTTAATTAACCAGGCTTGGTAGTTCACCCCTGTAGTCTCAGTTCCTTGAACGGTAATTATATGGTCTCTATAATATAAACATCTATTACTATAATTATATTTCTATTATATAAATAATAGATAATATTTATATTCTCTATAAATGGAGAATATAAATACAATACTCATATTATCTATCATATGAAACATATTTATATAATAAAAATATAATATATACTATAAATATACTTATAGTAAATTATTATATATACTATAAATATACTATATTATATATTAAATAACATAATTATATTTATATATTATATTATATATTATAAATATAAATTTATTTATATTACATACATATATTATTTTTAATATAAATACAAATGCTATCTACGACTGTCTAGGACTGCTTACAAAAAAAGCAGTCCTTGATAAAATTTATATCTCAGGTATAAAATGAGCAAATGAGGTGTTTTAAAACAAGTAGAAGCTGGGCGCGGTGGCTCGTGCCTGTAATCACAGCACTTTGGGAGTCTGAAGCAGGCGAATCACTTGAGGCCAGGAGTCTGACACCAACCATCCTGGCTAACATGAAAAAAAAAAAAACCATCTTTACTAAAAATACAAAAGTTAGCTGGGCATGATGGTGGGTTCCTGTAATCCCATCTACTCCCAGCTGAAGCAGAAGAATCAATTGAACCTGGGCGGCAGAGGCTGCACTGAGCAGGGATCATTCCACTGCATTCCAGCCTGGACAACAGGCTGTCTCAAAATTAATTAATAAAATTAAATTAAATTAAAATGAATAGAAGTCTTATATATTTGTGTGTGTGTGTGTGTGTGTGTATGTGTGTGTCTGTATACATATAAATGGTTTCAATTTATGCCATTCAAGTTTTATAGTGGGCAAGTAAAATAGCATTTCTCACGGCTTTAAAGCTTTTGCTGGGGTGACATGATTATACAAGTATAATGCTGAGCCATCCATTTTATAATGAGTTTTGCACCTTCACAGATGACATATTCTGGCAAGGAACTTTTCAAGCATAAGAAACATTTTTTACTGACAAGTATGAGGAAAATTAAATTTAAAAGTAGGTACTATCTATCTCGTGTCAGCTTTCAATGAAGCAAAATCAGATTTTCACAGCCTTGTTCTCATATTTCCACAAAGCTTTCCCATTTCCTCTGGGAATGCCTGTTGCAAGAGCCACTTTTAATAATTAGAAAATAAAAGTAAATATGTATCATTGTCAAATTTCATTTCGACCCATTCAACTAAAAAAATAATACTAAATTAGGGTGGGTGACAGGAACTCCAGTCTCTGGGTCTTAAAACAAAGAAACAAACAAACAAACAAAACAAGACAAGCCTAATTCCCCTAATGTGGAAAATCTGACAGATCATTCAATAAACATAGTTCATTAAATTCCAATCCACCAGAAATCAAAGCCATGAAAAATTTAAACAAAGAAAGGGAATTTCCCAGCCATTAGCTTAGCAAAAATTCAAATGTCTGCTGTATTCATTGTTGCAGAATTGTAGCAAAAGGGAATTTGTACCCAATTTTGGAAAAGCCATTTGGTATTGTCTAATGAAATGGAAAGTCTGCAATGGCATTTGTTACTCAACAGTACCTTTAAGAAGGCAAGACATGTTTAATTATTGGGGTTTTTGGGACAGACAGGCTGGATTTGATCTCAGCTTTTTTCCTGCTAGGTGTGTGATTTGAGCAATTTAGTAACTAGGCTTTAGATTTTCATTTTATGAATTAAGGCAACTAGACTTTTGTTGAGGCAAATAAGCTTAATATTTATAAAGAGCATTAACAAAATACCGCCAAATAAATGCTCACATATGTACACAAAGAGGCATTAATAATTTTGTTTCTTGCCATATTGTTTGTAGAAGAGGAAAAGTGGAAATGACTTAGATCAAGGAAAAGGGAGTAATTAAGAATTAATAGCTCATAGTGTATGCATACCAGGTATATTACAGTTATACAAATTGGCTCTATCTAAAAGGGCAATAAAATAATTACAAAAAGATGTATATAATAATGTACTTCTAAAGTAAATTTAAAAAATATTCACCAGCTGTAGTTTAGTGATACATATATTTTTACTGACAATATAAAAATGTACTTTGGAAGACATTATGAGAATATAATTGATTGATACACAACTTCAGCATTTGTCACCAGTGGTTTTCTCTCTCACAAGATGTTTACACAGTGTATGTGAACAAGTTTCAATTTGCAAAGGAATGCCCGAGAAGGCAAATAGAATAGAGTGAATTTTAAATATAGTGTGCTTGATGTTCTTAATTTGGAAAACATTTAAAAGATGTGCACTGTTATAATTAGCATGTGTGTGTTGTGTATGTGTATGTGTGTATATATGTGTAAAACTAATGTCCTATACATTTATATATATTTTATATCAACATATACATGTGCTCTGTTATAGTAAATCAGCATGTTACATATAGGTATGCTTATATGTGTATATACATAAAGAAAAATGTCATATACATTTATATATACATATTATATCAATATGTACATATGCACTGTTAGAATAATCAGTATGTATGTGTAAATGTATGTATATAGATTTGTGTATATATAATAAAACAAATGTCATACACATTTATATATACCTTTGAACAATATATACATTTTAATAAGCATTTAACATGTACAGTTGACCCTTGGAAAAAAACAGAGATTAGAGATGAATTTTTAAAATATTACATTTACATTACTTTTTTTCATTAAATAAAATTATTATTGGTAAAGTTGAAGTTTACCAAGTGAAATTTGTTGAAAGCAACAATCCACCATCACCTTGGCAGCTATAGGGAGGGGACTGCCATCAAACAAGCTTCAAATTTACCAATAATCATTATATTTAATAAAAAGCACAAATGCAACGAATATATAAATGTATATGTATATATATGGCATTTATTTTATACACACACACAGACACACACACACATATATACACACATGTAAGAATTGCTGTAACAATGAACATTTTTAAAATATTTTCCAAATTTAGAACATCAAACACACTAGATTTAAAATTCACTGCATTCTTTTTGGCTTTTAGGGCACACCACTGCAAATTGGAATTTGTTCACATAAATTGAGTAAACATCCTATGACAGAGGAAGCCCTTGGGTAAAAATGCCCATGTTGTATATCAATTAATGACATAAAAATAATCTAGTGTATCTCCTTTTATATGGCAATTCTATAAAATGTGTCTGTGTAGCTGGTGGTTTAGCAACTGTCTAAACAGAACTACCTGGATGCCCATAACATAATTATTCAGTCAGAATATTGTGTCTATTTTTTTGTGTCTTGAAATCATGAAACATATGGAAGAAATGTAAATAACAAAAAATATTCAAGAGTGTAACAAAATTAATTTTACTGAACACAAGTAGCTACATATATAATGATATAATTTAAATATAAATGTGTATGTATGTGTGTATATGCATATACAGCTGCCCCTTGAACAACATGGGTTTGAACTGTGTGAGTCACTAATATGTGGATTTCCTTCCACCTCTGCCACCATTGAGATAGCAAGACCAACCCTTTCCCTTCTTCCTCCTCAGTCCACTCCAGGTGAAGACAATGGGGCTGAAGGCCTTCAAGATGATCCACTTCCACTTTGTGAATAATAAATGTATTTTCTCTTTCTTGGAATATTCTTAATGACATTTTATTTTCTATATCTTACGTTATTGTAAAAATACAGTATATAGTACATATAATGTACAAAATGTGTGTTAATTGACCATTCATATCATTGGTAATAGCCAATCTACAGTATACTATTAATACTTCAGTTTTGCGGGAGTAAAAATTATACATGGATTTTCAACTATACATGAGAGTCGGATGGAGGTTTGTTCCTTACCTCCCATGTTGCTCAACGGCTAACTGTATATGTTAAATGTTCATATAAATGTATGTATTGGTTTAAAATGTATATATTAAATATTCAAAAACATATGAAATATGCATAGATCCAAGTTATAGATATGTACCATATACATATATATGTGTAGGTGTATATACACACACACACACACACACACACTCACACACACAAACACAAGTTTATGTACAAACGCTCCTTAACTTATGATGGGGTTATGTCCCAATAAACCCATAGCAAGTTGAAAATACCAAAATTTGAAAATGCATTGAATACACCTAACCTACTAAACATCATAGCTTTGCCTAGCATACCTTAAATATGCTCAAAGCACTTGTATAACCTATCATGGAGCAAACTCCTCTAGCAACACAGAACACTGTAGAGTTTTGCCTATGAACCTTTGTGATTGCAAGGCTGAGTGGGAACTGGCTCCCTGTAGCCTGGCAAGAGGGGAAAACAGCACTTTCTACTGCATGCATGCTATTCTCACACCACCATTAAGTCCAGCAGTTGTAAATGGGACCATCTCAAGTGAAAGACCATCTGTATATCAATTTATATGTATACAAGTTTGTAAATAAATACATAAATGTATGTTTACATATATACAAGTCTATATATAAATATATCAGTGTACATGTATAAATAAATGTAATTACATATTATTGATGGCATTTGGCTCTGCGTTCCCACTAAAACCTCACTGTGAAGTGTAATCCCCACATGTCCAGGGAGGTGCCTGATGGGAGGTGATTGGATCCTAGGGGATTTTTCCCTTGCTGTTCTCAAGATAGTGAGTTCTCACGAGATCTAATGGTTTAAAAATGTGGCACTTCCTTGCTCCCTCTCCCTCCTGCTGCCATGAGAAGATGTGCCTTGCTTCCGCTTCCCCTTCCGCCATGATTATAAGTTCCGTGAGGCCTCCCAGGCCCTGCAGCACTCTAAGTTATTAAACCTCTTTTCTTTAAAAATTACCCAGTCTCCAGTAGTTCTTTAAAACAGTCTGAAAATGAACTAATACAGTGATATGTAAGTATATTGTATATATTATTATTATTTATAATAATTTTACTAAACAGAACTAGGCACACATATAAAGATGTAATATATTTTATTTTATTTTATTTTATTTTATTTATTTATTTATTTGAGACTGGATCTTGCTCTGTGGCCTAGGCTATGGTGCAGTGGTGTGATCTGGACTCACTGCAACCTAAACATCTGGGGTTCAAGCAATCCTCTTACCTCAGCCGCTGTCTCCAGTAGCTGGGACCACAGGCATGCACTGTGATGCCTATATAATTTTTGTATTTTTGGTAGAGACAGGGATTTACCATGTTGTGCAGGCTGCTCTCCAATTCCTGAGCTCTCGCAGTCTTTCCATCCCAAACTCGCCAAGTCCTGGGACTTACAGGCATGATCTGCCGTGCCCAACAAAAAGCTGTAATTTAAATATGGAGATGGGTATTCATTTATATATTATAAAAAAGTATATATGGGGGTGGAGCCAAGATGGCCGAATAAGAACAGCTCCGGTCCACAGCTCCCAGTGTGAGTGACGCAGAAGATGGGTGATTTCTGCATTTCCATCTGAGGTACCGGGTTCATCTCACTAGGGAGTGCCAGACAGTGGGTGCAGTGCCCCATGCAGGAGCTGAAGCAGGGCTAGGCATTGCCTCACTCGGGAAGTGCAAGGGGTCAGGGAGTTCCCTTTCCTAGTCAAAGAAAGGGGTGTCAGACGGCACCTGGAAGATCGGGTCACTCTCAACCTAATACTGAGCTTTTCCAACGGGCTTGAAAAACAGCACACCAGGAGATTATGTCCTGCACCTGGCTCAGAGGGTCCTACACCCACGGAGTCTTGCTGATTGCTCGCACAGCAGTCTGAGATCAAACTGCAAGGTGGCAGTAAGGCTGGGGGAAGGGTGCCTGCCATTGCCCAGGCTTGATTAGGTAAACAAAGCAGCTGGGAAGCTCCAACTGGGTGGAGCCCACCACAGCTCAAGGAGGCCTGCCTGCCTCTGTAGGCTCCACCTCTCGGGGCAGGGCACAGACAAACAAAAAGACAGCAGTAACCTCTGCAGACTTAAATGTCCATGTCTGACACCTTTGAAGAGAGTAGTGGTTCTCCCAACACGCAGCTGGAGATCTGAGAATGGCAGACTGCCTCCTCAAGTGGGTCCCTGACCCCCGAGCAGCCTAACTGGGGGGCACCCCGCAGTAAGGGCAGACTGACACCTCACACGGCCGGGTACTCCTCTGAGACAAAACTTCCAGGGGAACGATCAGGCAGCAGCATTTGCGGTTCACAAATATCCACTGTTCTACTGCCACCACTGTTCTGCAGCCATGGCTGCTGATACCCAGGCAAACAGGGTCTGGAGTGGACCTCTAGCAAACTCCAACAGACCTGCAGCTGAGGGTCCTGTCTGTTAGAGGGAAAACTAACAAACAGAAAGGACACCCACACCAAAAACCCATCTGTATGTCACCATCATCAAAGACGAAAAGTAGATAAAACCACAAACATGGGGAAAAAACAGAGCAGAAAAACTGGAAACTCTAAAAAGCAGAGTGCTTCTCCTCCTCCAAAGGAATGCAGCTCCTCACCAGCAATGGAAAAAAGCTGGACGGAGAATGACTTTGATGAGTTGAGAAAAGAAGGCTTCAGATGATCAAACTACTCCGAGCTACAGGAGAAATTTAAACCAATGGCAAAGAAGTTAAAAACTTTGAAAAAAAATTAGATGAATGGATAACCAGAATAATCAATGCAGAGAAGTCCTTAAAGGAGCTGATGGAGCTGAAAGGCAAGGCTCGAGAACTATGTGAAGAATGCAGAAGCCTCAGGAGCTGATGCGATTATCTGGAAGAAAGGATATCAGCGATGGAAGATGAAATGAATGAAATGAAGCGAGAAGGGAAGTTTAGAGAAAAAAGAATACAAAGAAACGAACAAAGCCTTCAAGAAATATGGGACTATGTGAAAAGACCAAATCTACATCTGATTGGTATACCTGAAAGTGACGGGGGGGAATGGAACCAAGTTGGAAAACACTCTGCAAGATATTATCCAGGAGAACTTACCCAATCTAGCAAGGCAGGCCAACATTCAGATTCAGGAAATACAGAGAACTCCACAAAGATACTCCTAGAGAAGAGCAACTCCAAGACACATAATTGTCAGATTCATCAAAGGTGAAATGAAGGAAAAATTGCTCAGGGCAGCCAGAGAGAAAGGTCGGGTTACCCACAAATGGAAGCCCATCAAACTAACAGCGGATCTCTCAGCCCAAACTCTACAAGCCAGAAGAGAGTGGGGGCCAATATTGAACATTCTTAAACCCAGAATTTCATATCCAGCCAAACTAGGCTTCATAAGTGAAGGAGAAATAAAATACTTTACAGACAAGCAAATGCTGAGAGATTTTGTCACCACCAGGCTTGCCTTAAAAGACCTCCTGAGGGAAGCGCTAAACATGGAAAGGAACAACCGGTAACAGCCACTGCAAAATCATGCCAAATTGTAAAGACCATCGAGGCCAGGAAGAAACTGCATCAACTAATGAGCAAAATAACCAGCTAACATCATAATGACAGGATCAAATTCACACATAACCATATTAACTTTAAATGTAAATGGGCTAAATGCTCCAATTAAAAGACACAGACTGGCAAATTGGATAAAGAGACAAGACCCATCAGTGTGCTTTATTCAGGAAACCCATCTCACATGCAGAGACACACATAAGCTCAAAATAAAGGGACGGAGGAAGATCTACCAAGCAAATGGAAAACAAAAAAAGGCAGGGGTTGCAATCCTAGTCTCTGATAAAACAGATTTTAAACCAACAAAGATCAAAAGAGACAAAGAAGGCCATTACATAATGATAAAGGGATCAATTCAACAAGAAGAGCTAACTATCCTAAATATATATATGCACCCAATACAGGAGCACCCAGATTCATAAAGCAAGCCCTCAGTGACCCACAAAGAGACTTAGACTCCCATGCAATAATAATGGGAGACTTTAACACCCCACTGTCAACATTAGACAGATCAATGAGACAGAAAGTTAAAAAGGATACCCAGGAATTGAACTCAGCTCTGCACCAAACAGACCTAATAGACATCTACAGAACTCTCCACCCCAAAACAACAGAATATACATTTTTTTTCAACACCACATCTCACCTATTCCAAAATTGACCACATAGTTGGAAGTAAAGCACTCCTCAGCAAATGTAAAAGCACAGAAATTATAGCAAACTGTCTCTCCAACCACAGTGCAATCAAACTAGAACTCAGGATTAAGAAACTCACTCAAAACCGCTCAACTACATGGAAACTGAACAACCTGCTCCTCAATGACTACTGGGTACATAATGAAATGAAGGCAGAAATAAAGATGTTCTTTGAAACCAATGAGAATAAAGACACAACATACCAGAATCTCTGGGGCACATGCAAAGCAGTCTGTAGAGGGAAATTTATAGCACTAAATGCCCACAAGACAAAGCAGGAAAGATCCAAAATTGACACCCTAACATCATAATTAAAAGAACTAGAAAAGCAAGAGCAAACACATTCAAAAGCTAGCAGAAGGCAAGAAATAACTAACATCAGAGCAGAACTGAAGGAAATAGAGACACAAAAAAACTCTTCAAAAAATTAATGAATCCAGGAGCTGGTTTTTTGAAAAGATCAACAAAATTGATAGACCGCTAGCAAGACTAATAAAGAAGAACACAGAGAAGAATCAAATAGATGTAATAAAAAACAATAAAAGGGATATCACCACCGATCCCACAGAAATACAATCTACTATCAGAGAATACTACAAACATCTCTATGCAAATAAACTAGAAAATCTAGAAGAAATGGAAAAATTCCTCGACACCTACACCCTCCCAAGGGTAAACCAGGAAGAAGTTGAATCTCTGAATAGACCAATAACAGGATCTGAAATTGTGGCAATAATCAATAGCTTACCAACCAAAAAAAGTCAAGGACCAGATGGATTCACAGCCCAATTCTACCAGAGGTACAAGGAGGAGCTTGTACCATTCCTTCTGAAACCAATCCAATCAATAGAAAAAGAGAGAATCCTCCCTAACTCATTTTATGAGGGCAACAACATCCTGATACCAAAGCCTGGCAGAGACACAACCAAAAAAGAGAATTTTAGACCAATATCCCTGATGAATATCGATGTAAAAATCCTCAGTAAAATACTGGCAAACCGAATCCAGCAGCACATCAAAAAGCTTATCCACCATGATCAAGTGGGCTTCCTCCCTGGGATGCAAGGCTGGTACAACATACCCAAATCAAAAAATGTAATCCGGCTTATAAACAGAACCAAAGACAAAAACCACCTGATTATCTCAATAGATGCAGAAAAGGCCTTTGACAAAATTCAACAACCCTTCATGCTAAAATCTCTCAATAAATTCTGTATTGATGGGACGTATCTCCAAATAATAAGAGATATCTATGACAAACCCACAGCCAATATCATACTGAATGGGCAAAAACTGGAAGCATTCCCTTTGAAAATGGGCACAAGACAGGGATGCCCTCTCACACCACTCCTATTCCACATAGTGTTGGAAGTTCTGGCCAGGGCAATCAGGCAGGAGAAGGAAAAAAAGTATTCAATTAGGAAAAGAGGAAGTCAAATTGTCCCTGTTTGCAGATGACATGACTGTACATCTAGAAAACCCCATTGTCTCAGCCCAAAATCTCCTTAAGCTGATAAGCAATTTCAGCAAAGTCTCAGGATACAAAATCAATGTGCAAAAATCACAAGCATTCTTATACACAACAACAGACAAACAGAGAGCCAAATCATGAGTGAACTCCCATTCACAATTGCTTCAAAGAGAATAACATACCTAAGAATCCAACTTACAAGGGACATGAAGGACCTCTTCAAGGAGAACTACAAACCACTGCTCAATGAAATAAAAGAGGATACAAAGAAATGGAAGAACATTCCATGCTCATGGGTAGTAAGAATCAATATTGTGAAAATGGCCATACTGCCCAAGGTAATTTATAGATTAAATGCCATCCCCATGAAGCTACCAATGACTTTCTTCACAGAATTGGAAAAAACTACTTTAAAGTTCATATGGAACCAAAAAAGAGCCCGCATTGCAAGGTCAATCCTAAACCAAAAGAACAAAGCCAGAGGCATCACGCTACCTGACTTCAAACTATACTACAAGGCTATGGTAACCAAAACAGCATGGTACTGGTACCAAAACAGAGACATAGATCAATGGAACAGAACAGAGCCCTCAGAAATAATGCTGCATATCTACAACCATCTGATCTTTGGCAAACCTGAGAAAAACAAGCAATGGGGAAAGGATTCCCTATTTGATAAATGGTGCTGGGGAAACAGGCTAGCCATATGTAGAAAGCCGAAACTGGATCCCTTTCTTACACCTTATACAAAAATTAATTCAAGATGGATTAAAGACTTCCATGTTAGACCTAAAACCATAAAAACCCTAGAAGAAAACCTAGGCAATATGATTCAGGACATAGGCATGGGCAAGGACTTCGTGCCTAAAACACCAAAAGCAATGGCAACAAAAGCCAAAATTGGCAAATGGGATCTAATTAAACTAAAGAGCTTCTGCACAGCAAAAGAAACTACCATCAGAGTGAACAGGCAACCTACAAAATGGGAGAAAATTTTTGCAACCTACTCATCTGACAAAGGGCTAACATCCAGAATCTACAATGAACTCAAACAAATTTACAAGAAAAAAACAAACAATCCCATCAAAAAGTGGGCCAAGGATATGAACAGACACTTCTCAGAAGAAGACATTTATGCAGCCAAAAAACACATGAAAAAATGCTCATCATCACTGGCCATCAGAGAAATGCAAATTGAAACCACAATGAGATACCATCTCACACCAGTTAGAATGGCGATCATTAAAAAGTCAGGAAACAACAGGTGCTGGAGAGGATGTGGAGAAATAGGAACACTTTTACACTGCTGGTTGGACTGTAAACTAGTTCAACCATTGTGGAAATCAGTGTGGCGATTCCTCAGGGATCTAGAACTAGAAATACCATTTGACCCAGACATCCCATTACTGGGTATATACCCAAAGGACTATAAATCATGCTGCTATAAAGACACATGCACACGTATGTTTATTGCGACGCTATCCACAATAGCAAAGACTTGGAACCAACCCAAATGTCCAACAATGATAGAACGGATTAAGAAAATGTGGCACATATACACCATGGAATAGTATGCAGCCATAAAAAATGATGAGTTCATGTCCTTTGCAGGGACATGGATGAAACTGGAAATCATCACTCTTAGCAAACTATTGCAAGGACAAAAAACCAAACACCACATGTTCTCACTCATAGGCGTGAATTGAACAATGAGAACACATGGACATAGGAAGGGGAACATCACACTCGGGGACTGTTGTGGGGTGGGGGGAGGGGGGAGGGATAGCAATAGGAGATACCTAATGCTAAATGACAAGTTAATGGGTGCCGCACACCAGCATGGCACATGTATACATATGTAACAAACCTGCACATTGTGCACATGTGCCCTAAAACTTAAAGTATAATAATAATAAAATTTAAAAAGTATATATATTTACATATACATAATATATTTTAACTTTATGTATATTAATGTATATACAAGCTTGTATGTAAATTTATAAATGGATATCAAATTAACATACACGTGTGTTTGTTGTTACATTTTAAATTTACATTTCACAATTTGCCAAGTCATGTTATTAGTAGTACTTAAGTGTATTTTTGTTTAATTGAACTTATTAAGGTTAAAAGAACCTTTGAACTGAAAAAAAAAAATGCCTAAAACTTCAAAAAGAAGAAACATATGGACAGCTTCCTCTATGCATCCCACAGTATATTAAATGTTGATTTCTGGGCACCTTGGAAATTTCAGTGTCTGAATGAAACATTGCAGCAAGGGTTGGAGTTGTTGCTCTGCTGCAGATTTTTTCTTTATTTCTGTAACAGTCCTGCATTAATCCTCTTCCACCCCTCATCTCAGCTTATACTTCAGGAAGTTGCCTTGATTAGCCTTTCTTGGCACAAGATGGATACTGCTTCCTAAAACCCATGGGGCAACAACAAAGATATTATAGAGAAATTTTGGCTAAACTCAAGACTTTCTCTGGGCACCCGAGGAAGAAATAGCTGACAAATACTGTCAGAAGAAATGTTGGGTAATCCTGTGGAAGATCAAAACATCATCTATGTTTTGACCCTTTCATCAGTTCTGAACTCCTGAAAAAAAAAAAAAAAAAGGTGATTCCAGTGGTGAGTTTTACACACCCATATGATTTACTCTTCCCTTTAGCAAAAGCAAAACTCTTCACAAGGCATAGAGATTTACTATCCTGAATCTTGATCTCTGTATTCAATTGTCCTACCATGCTGCAGTTTTTCTATATAACTAACATAGAAGCAGAAAGTATCTAGATTCTGCAGTTGGAGAGCATGAAACATTCATACCACTGGCCATAGCTGCACGTGACTCTCTCAAGTTTTTTTTTTTTTTTTTTTTTTTTTAGAGAAACAATTCTCAGAAAGTTATAACCCATAGCTTCAAGAAACAGACATTCTATATCACTAGACTGCTGGCATTATTCCTATACTTTGCCAAAAGAGCAGCATGAAAATAGACTCAATGATCCATAGTGGAACTACCTGAGTCAATCCCTTCATCTGTAACTCTGAAACACTGAAAATGTTGCTGTAAATGTATCTACAATTACTGCCCAGCATCATGCAAATGACTCATTAGCCTGAAACTCAGAAATGTTTAAAAATTTATAAGGTTTTAGGAGAGTTTCCCCTGATGTTGTTTGAATTGCTAAGAAGTCTTACAGTGGACTTCGTACCTTAGGACATCCACGGACTAATTACGTTCCGTGGGTCAAATCCAGCCCACTACTTGTTTCTGTAAATAAAGTTTTACTGGAAAACAGCCATGCCCATTCATTTGTATATTGTCTGTGCCTGCTTTTGTGGTATGATAGAAGAGCTCAGTTACTACAACAGAGATTATGTATCTCACAGAGATGAAAATGTTTACTATTTGACTCTTTTTATTAAAAGTAGGCCAATTTCATAGAACTATTAACAGTACTAAAATATAAAGCTGTCTCCCCCTTTTTTTCTAATCTTTCTCAACTTGTCATGTCTTTACAAAATAAATTTATATTTGATGTTGTTCTAAGTAAGGAAAAAATAAAATATTTAGTCACTGGCATGGTTTTCCATTTTTACCTTTATATTGTGTAATGCCAATTTTGAACTCCAGTATCTGAGCAGTTAACATGTATTCAGAATCACTGAAATTACACAAGCTGTTATTTTGTAGCATATGCATAAGTATCTACTGCATTCTTACCAGAACAGGGGAAGTGTGCTACACAAAATGAACTCAGCTGATTTTATTTTACTTCCTGATATTGACATATTCTAGCAACACTGTACCTTCAGCTCACTGATGATAAGGAAGGCATGTAACTAACAGGAACCACAGGTTGTCCTCTCATCCCCATCTCCTCTATAACATCATTTTCCACATAAGTGGTTGCCTGACACAGCAAGAAGAATAAGAGATAGGATAGAGTTCTTGTTTGTTCTGGGATTTTTTAGAATTTCATTGCCACTTATCTATATTTAAAGTAGGTTCTAATTTGTACTCAAAGCATGACCTCTCTGGGATGCAAGAGCACTCACTTTGTCATAGAAGTAATAACCTCACTTTGTGAATCTTACTGAATTTTCCCTTATTGCCAGTCCAGCAGAATTCTGTGCCCAAGAGGGTTCATGAACACTGTATGCAATTGGGTAGGAAAGAACAGTGGCAGAAGTGCATATGGTGCATATCTCCTCTAACCATGTGCATGCATTCCTCTTCTTTCATTGCATTCCACATATGAAAGGAAAGTGCAAAGATTAATTCTTCAGAATTTCAAGACAGCAGTAGCAGAACTCTAAACCTAGCATGGGGCGCTCTGAACCCCAGGACCCTGGGGATTGCTTGAGGCCACACACCTGTGGAAGAGACACTGAGGTATGGAATGGAAATGTAAATGAATGCTGCCTAATTTCTGTTTTCAATCAATATTTTCCTTCCTCATCAAAGGAGACAACTATACTGAATGTCCTGCTAACTTTTCTAGCACTACTCTATTGTTAGAGAATACATTCTTAAGTTTTGCTTGAATTTGAATGTTATGTAAGAGAATCATACTGTTTATAGTGTCTTCCTTAGGTTCTTTCCTTGAACACGGTATTTTTCAGAGATTCACGCAGGGTGATTCATAATCATGAAGTCTAGTGATCTTCATTGCTGTATAATATTTCTGAGTAACTGATTTAACACAAATTGATTATCCATCTTCTTTTTGATAAGTATGTGTGCATTTTGAGTTTTTTTCAGCATTCTGAAGCTCCTTTGAATTTCACTTTTATGAGAGTTCTGTGCATGTATGTTTGTAATATTTTATTGATATTTTGGCATCTATTGATAAGTGAATCTATTTAGATTATAGTTGATATATTAACATGTTTGAATTATATTTTAAAAATATTCAAGCACTAGGAAAAATGTTGTGCATTCCTGAAATGAACTTCAGTTGATCGTGATGAATATTATATTTTCTAGCTCCGTCAAAAGACGTTGTTAGAAATACCCCTATATGCATTTCATGGTGTAAGGAGTTCCTGAGTATCTGTTACATATGCATTCAAGTAGAGTTCTACACTTATGGTTCATTTTTAGAACAGACATTGTAGAGTGACAGCAAACTGTATTCTGAAAGCACGGTAACAATTTATAATCCAAGTAGATATGAGAGAAAGTTCAAACTGATCTAAGCCTCAACATCACAGTGTTTCAGCCAACTATATGGTAAGAAATGATGCCTCGTTGTTAGTGAAATTTATAATTTTTTATGAACAAACTTTATGGTTTTATATTTTTATAAAATCCAAATGATAACTTTTCTACACCACCTGTTTGAAAAATTCCCATTATTATAGCATAGTATATGCATGTATATATGTTATTGGTATATTTTCTGGTAAAATATATTGAAGATACATTCTCCAAATTAGATGCATCACATATCACTCAATTTTAACATTGGATGGGCAAAATTTTTAACTTTAATGTAGTTGAATTAATCAAAATTTTAACCTTGGTTATAGTTTTTTATATTCCTTTTCTTTGTTTAAGATTACAGAGTTTCACTCTGTGGCCCAGGCTGGAGTGTGTTGCTGTAATCTCTGCTCAATGCAACATCTGCCTCCTAGGTTCAAGTGATTCCCGTGCCTCAGACTCCTGAGTTGCTGGGATTACAGGCACCCATCATCATAGCCAGCTAATATTTGTATTTTTAGTAGATATGTTTTTGCCATGTTGGCCAGGTTGGTCTCTAATGCCTGGCCTCAGGTGATCCATCTGCCTTGGCCTCCCAAAATGTTGAGATTACAGGTCTGAGCCACCATGTCTGGCCCAGTTTTTTATATACTTAATCATCTAGTATTGGAGCAGCAATGAAAGGAAATTAAAGAATATGTAAGCAGAAACTCTGTTATATGTAAAAAAAAAAAAAAAAAAAAAAAAAAATCCCCGAGAAAGAGAAAGAGCTGGAGCGCTTTATAAATTAACTGCCTGTTTTTCTGTCACTAGTGAGCCTTATCTCTCCTACTTTCCCAGGCATGGCGAAGATCCTGTTTCTCCAGCTGTGCAGTTGCAAGGTCACTAGACAGATAAACTCAAGTCATAAAACATGTTTTTCCTTGAAAAGTAGAAATGATGTAATGCGTGTCTTAATTGAATAACTGTCTTTGTTTCTCACTTCTGTAATATGCTTGTCCCTGCACAGATCTACCCCCAACCCACAAAATGCTTAAAATGTAACTTACCTCTTTGTTCAGTGCTCAGTCCTTTGCATGTTAATCTGACTGGACTGGTGCACCTAAAAAATAAATATCCTCCTCAACCCCATCAGTCTTTCTGATTCCTTATCAATCCCACTACAGTATGATAAAGATATTTTCAAACACTTTGATATTTTTAAGGTTTTTAATTGCTCCTAAGTTTTAAAGTTCTAATATCAGGCTTTAAGGTCTAAGCAAACCTGTAATTATTTTTTAATGTAATTACTTATTTAAATTTTATAATTTGTACAAGATACTTTACTAAAATGTTTACCTTTCTTCATTCATGAATAAATTATGTTTCCATAAATGTCTGTTTGGTCTCACTTTTTTTTTGTTGGTAGGTAAACCTATCCTAGCATCAGTATTATGCTCTTCTAAGATTTAACAGTAAGGCATATGGAATCTCGTGGAACACATCTTCCACCTTCATCATTTCCATAAAGGGTTTCTTGGTGTATCTCATGCAATTGTCTCTCTATATAAATTTTTGGATTAGCTTATTGATTTCTACAAAACATCTTTTTGGGAATTTTATTTAAATTTTATTGACTCCATAGGTTAATTAAGAGACAATTGTCATCATTATTTATTGAGTCTAATTATATTTTGTCAAGTAAAATTTTTGTTTGTTGTCTTTATAAATTATATGATAATCTGCATTTTCTAAATGATTATTACTATTGAAGATAAGAAAATTGATTTTTAAAAGCTGATTTTATATCTAACAACACTATTAAATATTCATGTTGATTTGACCAATATGAGTTTGACAGTATATTTGTGTAGATTTTCTCTATGTATTATCATATGATTGATAAATAGTGACATTTTCCTCCTTTTCCATTCATAAAACTGTTCTTTCTTTCCTCTTCTATCCAGCAAAATAAAGAAGAGAGGCTCTGATAAAAAGCATTATTGCATTTCCTGATCTTAAATACAACAAACATTGTTTGCTATAGGTTTTCTTAGTGTCCTGTCCCTCATCAAGAAAGCACCTTTGAATTCCAGTTTTCTAAGAGCTCTGTGCATGAAAGTTTATAATATATTATGAATTTATTTGTATCTATAAATAAGTGAACATATTGAGATGATGGTGTATATATTAGTGAGTGTAAATTATATATAAAAATATTCCAGCACTAAGAAAAATATTATGTGTTCCTGGAATCAACTTCAAGAGATCATGATATTACATTTTATGCAATCAACTTTTTTACGTGTGTGTATCTGTAGTTTCATTTCTGTGGTGATGAGTGAGACAGGTGTGGAGTAAATCAGTCCATTACATTCTTTTCTAGGTTACTTGAATTTGACATCTCAGTTCAGCATTGTAAACTCTTACAATGAACTCATAAAGTTAGAACAAAGTTAAAAATAATTGCTATCTAAGTATCAGAGTTAGAATAAATTATTCCCAAGGTTTCCCCTCACTTTAAGTTTCCCTGATTCTTGTATTTTTTACTTAAATTGGATATACAATTATTATTTTTTCATTATTTAATTCATAATACATTTGGTAAAATAATTTCTTTTTAAGTAAAACATTTAATAGTGCAGTTTGGTTCGTGTTAATTATACTTCAACGAACCCCTTATGTTACTTGCCTAGTGACAGAGTATGTGGGTAAACAGTTGATCAATATTCTGCTAAATGTTACTTATGAGATTTTCTATTTAAACAATCACATATTGTCACTTTTGTTTGTCATTAGTTTAGTATTGTATCTTGAAAATTTAGTATGTGCTGTTTTAATTATTACACAGACAATATCTGTATATCTATTGTCTATATCTATATTTATCTACCATATGTCTCTATATATTATCCATCATCATCATGATGTATATCTGTCATCAAATTATCTAGCTATCATGTACTATACCTATCATCCATTCTTAGGTATTACCTATCTTTCTCATTACCATACCTATGCATTCTATCTATTTACCTTATCTATATATCTTTCTATCTTTCTATATTACACTGAAGTGGTTTATCTTTTTGTGGTGGAGGTTGTTTTAGGAACGGTGTTTAGACTCTATAAAATCTCATTGAATTAAGTTGAATGAAAAGCATTTTTTCACATGGCGTAAAGGCTTATACCTGTAATTTTAGTACTTTGGGAGGCTAAGGCAAGAGGATTGCTCAAGGCCAGGAATTTCGAGACCAGCCTGGATGACACAGAGATACAAAATAACAATGATTAGGCAGGTATGGTGGTGCACACCCGTGGTCCCAGATACTTGGTAGCCAGCTTCAGGAGGACTGCTTGAGCCTGGGAGATTGAGGCTGCAGTGAGCCATGATTGTGCCACTGCACTCAATCCCCATGCCACTCGATACCCCATGGCACTACCACTGTACAAAATACCCCATGACTGAATGTTTATAAATATCCTAATAGTCAGTATTAACACACTTATGCATGTCAACCCGAAGACATAAAGAAGGTTAATACATTGCTCTATAAAACACCTTTATTTGGAAAAAAAATGGGCATTTATAGGATCAGGAAAAATATTCTTCTTACCTTTGAACCTCCATATATTTTTCTCTTCACAGGTAGGGCCCTTGTACCTATGCCAAAGATTCAGGCAAGTAATGTTATTCTTAGGACCAATTTCTGTCCTCAAATAAAATGTGCTATTTCATTTAAAAGTCAATTAAAAATAAAACAGGTAAGAGGGCCAGTTGGGAGGTAGAGACAATAACACTATAAAAATCCATGACTAAAGCACAGAATTAACTAAGTTCTGTTAATTCATCATCTATATAAAGGCAGCAATGCACAGATGAATGTAAATTAAATTTTGAAATTAATTTTTGATTGTGGGTAGAGTTGAAACTAAAATTTATTTTTATATTTTTATTTCCTAATTTTTAAAAATTTCATAAATAAAAATCAGTAGTGAATATTCAAGGGCTGGATTTCTGTTCAATGGATAGAATTCTGTTTAATGGTTTTCTAGAAGGTGAAGAAAACACTTAGTACAGCCAACTTCTCTGAAAATCTACCACCTCGGTTATCCCCACTGATTAAATCTCTCGATGGTGTACTCTGACAAAAGATTTGCCTAAAAGTTATTGACTCAAGGAGAAAATAATTTCAAAACCAATAACAAAAATATTTCTTATAAAATTAAGTGTTGAAGCTGAACATGGAAGAAGAGAATGAATGGGAATTTCATAAACGTATGAAGAGATAAAAAAGAGAATGGGCAAATAGATGAGTTAATGAGAAGGGTTACTCTCACAGTAAAACTTAAAACCAAGAGAGGCAAGTACAAAGCAAAACAGAAACATTATAAATCTAAATGAGCAATAAATGCAAATAGGAAAAATATATATAAATTCTGAGACTGTGTGTTCCTGTAAGAGGAAAAAGATTTTTATCTTTAATTGAATCTGAGCAATGATATGCTGAATTCTCTAGGAATCTGTCAGGACAAACGTATTTTTTCCCTTCCTGTTTATAGTGACTCAGGTAGTCACTGCCTTCTTGGAAACCATGTGAGATGCAGTGCCTCTTCATTGTGCATCAGGCAGATCCATTCAAACACCTGCCCAAACACTGAGAACAGGCCACTTTACTACTGCACTCAGTCTTGCAAGGTTCAAAAGGTTTAAAGAGAGCAGTGATGCAAGGGAAAACATCTTTAAATAAATAGGTGGAAATTCAATGCTAGAATGTTACAGCAAGTAATGAAATGGAATCTGAAAATATTGTAATTGCATACAATTTTTGGCCCAAGTGTATTTTACCAAAAACATAACAAGAAAAATATTGGCCAGGCACAGTGGCTCATACCTCTAATTTCAGCAATTTGGGAGGCCAAGGCGGGCAGATCACTTGAAACCAGGAGTTCAAGACCAGCCTGGCCAACATGGTGAAACCCCATATCTACTAAAAATACACACACACCAAAAAAAAAAAAAAAATTGCTGGAAATTGTGGTGCCTGTCAGTAATTCCAGCTACTCTGGAGGCTGAGGCAGGAGAACAAGTTGAACCCAGGAGGTGGAGGCTGCAGTGAGCTGAGATCAAGCCACTGCACTCCAGCCTGGGCAAGACAGTGAGTGAGACTCCATCTTAAAAAAAAAAAAAAAAAAACAGAAAAAAAATTTGCATATAGAGAGGTATACACATACATACACATACATAGTGTGTACGTGTGTACGTCTATGTTTGTTTGCATAGAAAAAGAGTGAGCTATAGAAGTGAATATTTACCACCTATCTTGTTATCCATCCATCTAACTTTTCATTCATATCTCCTGTTCATCCATCGTTCATCCTCTAGTTCATCAAATATTCTCTATCATCAATAATCAATATTTTATATAAAACTTAAGTATCTTTTCTGTTACCTCTCTGTCCCTCAATCCAGCATCACTTGTTACTAAATATTTATTAATATCCTAAATTATATATATATTATTTATGTGTCTTTTATATTGTCTAGCTAAACTACCTATCTATCCTATTTATCCATTTATCAATTATCTATTATCAATAAGCTATATTCATCGCTGGCATCTAAACATACTTTCTATCATTTCTTCATGTATGCATTCATCATCTATATCTATTACTTTTTTCAAATATCTACGTGTCATATCTATTATTGAAATAGCATTTCCACTGTCTATCCATCCATCCAACATCTATCTCTCCCATTTAGGTACCCATCTATCATCCAACTTATATACATCGATTATCAATTATCCATATTTTATATCTATTATTTAAATATATCTTCTATTATCCATCTATCCATCATCTATCAATCTCACCTGTCTATCTTCTATCAATCTTATCTATCTGGCGTATCCATCTACAGAAACATACACAAACATCTGAGTGGTACTGACTGTCCACAGATTGTAAATTTCAAGGAGAAAGAGAAGGAGAAGAGTAAAAACCCGAGGCATATTTCCAAGGTACCCTCTTCCCAGTATTCTACCCCCATTTTCCAGAATGGGACTAGATGGTGTGGTTCTGTGAGACAGAGAAGGCTGAGTGTTTACTGCAACTTAGTCTGTTAACAGAAAAGAAAAGAGAAAAGCAAGTAGGCAGTGTATTTTGAAGTCATTCCCCAGGGCCTATGGAAGCTGTCAATTTAGGTTATGTATTTTATTTGCAAAATTCCATTCAATATCTCTATTAATTGGCATTAATATTATTCTTGTTTGTATATGTAACTGTGCCACTTTCAAGGGGAGTTGATGCTTATGAGAGGAGGTGCCATCTGGTCTTCCTGGGTAGAGTAGGGGCTCAGAAAGCTGTGAAACTCACTTATTTCCTGCATCAGGACATACTTTGGTCCTGGATGAATAATATTGAAGATATATGTTTAAAATATCCCTAACATCAGAATTTGTACATGTGTTTTCTTCCCCAAGAAAGCTAGAAACAGTGAAAATGTTGTTGTAAGCTTCCCTGTGTCCTCTCTCCCTTCCCCATCCCCTGAAACTAAAAGGAATATTAAAAGCCTGTTTTTCTGTGACAAGCAGAGGTTATCTATTCTCCCAATTCCAATTATTTGGAAACACAATTTGTAAAATCCTGTGAGATACTGACTCCTTTGCCTTGACTCTGCAAGGTCATAAAGTAGACAAAACAAGTGGCAGTTCTGGTTTTCTTCAAGATCTGAGACACGTTAATTGTCTTTGTTTCTCGCTCTGGTAACATCTTCCGTCCACACGTATTTCGCGCCTTGAAGAGTTTAAAAGGTGATTGAAAAATCTAACACTGGCTACCCGCTTGGGAGCCCTTCCATGCTGTGGAAGCTTTGTACTGTTACTCTGCTTAATAAAGCCTACAACCTCTTTCTCTCAGTCCTATCCGTATCTCTCTCTCACCACAGGCTGCTGCCACACCAATCCTTTGGCATGGCTAAGACAAGACCCTTTGGCATTACACTTATAGAAGGGAACCCTTATGACTTTATTGACAATTCTATGACATCCCTCTGCTACTGAGTCTATGAAGGAGAAACTATTGTCTTTTTCAACATAACTCTAAGTTGTATATAACCGGACAATTTTCAGTAATTTTATTCATTTTCTGAAAGACATACGAGGCAAACTATCATATGCCTTGGGTATCCATCCATTATTTCAGGGTGTAATGATAGCTTTTCTTTGAAGATAAAATTATTGTAACCCTGAGACATGATGGAAAATTTATTCATTTTTCTAATTCATTTTTCTAAATTAATGTATTTTTCTACAGGTTTTGATATTTTTCCAAAGTAGTTTGATGTTTAGGATCAATAAAATTATGCCAGCATCTTGACACATGCATTGATGAAACCTGAAAATATACACTGTAAATTTTATAATGTATTTTTAAAATACCGTACTTACAGAATTGTGCCTAAGTCATAATTTTCATTTCCTTTTTTTCAATACTGAAAACCTGCTTTCACTAATTTCCTGGCTACCTCAGTGGACTGCCTTCATAGCAATTAATTTGATCTCTGGCTTAATGAAGTCACATATCTTCAACATCTGTTTTCTTCAAAACTCAACTGCTTTTTTTTTTTCTGTTTAATATGTATTGAGAATCACAGAAACAATTACTTTCCTGTATTTTACTGAGGTTTTATTTTTCCATCTTTCATTTTATTTTTGGAGAATTATTCACACAATAGAAGAATTATGAAGGAAAGTGCCCTAAAAAATAAATAAATAAAATACTGCAGACTTATGGGCACATTTGATAGGGTAATCAGAGATTAACATTTTCAGACAGATATGATAAACTTGGAATCTACTGGGAATATCAACCACTTTAAAATTTTTCACTTTCTGTTTTGGAAAGAGCATATGAGAAGTAGATAACTACAGGTATTTGGCATTTCCAAGATTTTTGTCCTGGCGTCTCAAATGTCTCTCATTCCATGATTTAAGCACGGGAAAGGAGGGATTGTGAGTAGGGTTTAATTGTAATCGGCAGCAGACAAGCTCTGAGGCTCTGCAGTCTTGACCTTGAAGATTACTCAGTCTTTATGATTCCAACAAAATGCTGGTGGTGTTACTGGACCCATCTAGGGGTTCCTTGCCTGGCACAGTAAGGCCAAACATTCACACTGAGGTTTTGAAGCAGCGGAAAGGAGGGTGTTTATATTTGCAGGACACCAAGCAAAGAGAATTGGGCAGTTCTCACTGAAGACCTAACCTCCCGGTGGCTTGCAAGTAATGGTTTTTAAAGGCAGTAGTACATTTCAGGAATGCAGAAGTCACAGGTAACATTGTAAATGAATACGTGGAGATCATACATTGGTTTTAATGGGAATAATATTCAAAATCCTAAGGAAATTGGACACTCAAACAAAGGATTCTTAGCAAAGCCATTTTATTTCTGCACAGAGGGGTGCTTCTCCTTGGCCAGTAGCCATGAGAGCACACCTGAATAAAGGGGCACAAGAGACATCATTCCTGATGCAAGTCATGTCAGGCCTCTGAGTCTAAGCCTACACGTATACATCCAGATGACCTGAAGCAACTGAAGAATTACAAAAGAAGTGAAAATGGCCCGTTCCTGTTTAACTGATAACATTATCTTGTGAAATTCCTTCTCCTGGCTCAGGAGCTCCCCCACTGTGCACCTTGTGACCCCCACCCCTTCCTGCAAGAGAGCAAACACCCTTTGACTATAATTTTGCACTACCTACCCAAATCCTATAAAACTGCCCCACCCATAACTCTCTTTGCCAACTCCTTTTCAGACTCAGCCTGCCTGCACCCAGGTGGAAAAAAACAGCTTTATTGCTCACGCAAAGCCTGTTTAATTGTTCTTTTCACACAGATGTGTGTGACAAGTCCTGCCCCGTATGTACCCTTTCCCCATTGGCCAGGGTCGGGTCATACTCTCTAAACTAATCCTGGTTGGCTAAACATCTGAACTTTTTTTTTTTTTTTAAATAAGTTGGGCACATAAAGGAGAGAGGGGAAAAAAACGGTGTCTGTAATGAGCTAGACAGCTAGTCTTGTTTCTAAATAGTGAAAGGAATGTGAGCTGGCAACGCCTGGTACTGTGGCATGTCTGGGCATATAAAAAAGGGAGAAAGGAAGAAAAAAGAGAGAAAAAGGAAAAAGGGATGTAGGGGGGATGCTATAAATTAAACAATAAAGGATTGATCAGGCTATTTAAAGAGAAACCTCCTCATATCCCACAGTTTGAATTAAAAAGGCAGGATATTTTGAAGTGGGCCACCCAAAAATGACAGCTGGATTGAAATATTTTCTGATTTCTGATTGGTTAAGGAGGGAAAGTTTTATCTAAAAAATTGCCTTCAGCAGAAAAGAACGTTAACTCTGGTCTGTGGGTGTGACTTCCTCCAATCTCATCAGGAAGAAATGTAAAACAAAGAATACTGGCAAGAGTTAAGTCCTTAGTTCCCCCATATCTGATGGGGATCTACATGCTAGTGGATCCATTTGTTGGGAATTCATTGACTTTTCAATGACTAACTGAATGGTTTCTTCCCCATACACTAGTCAAGCAAAATGCTTGCTAAAGGAACATTTGTTAACAAGCACATTGCCTACTGTTAAGAGGCCCTTTTGAGAAAAGGGTGGCCTGGGTTAAAACATCCTCTCACCTACTAGTTGGTACAGTTACCTTTTCATCCTATATACCCATAAAAGAAAAGCTTATTTTCCACTTAACCTGTGAACTGCCAGCAGATATCATAAAAGGAGAGTTTACCTGACTGCTATAGTCATCTTCTCTCTCCTGTTGCAATCATCCTATCCAGAAAAAAAAAAAAAAAAAGTCTCCTTACCTAAATCCAAATTTTCTTTTCACACACACCAACATTTCCTTTTTTTTTTTTTTTTTTTTTTTTTTTGGTGACAGAGTTTCAGTCTGTCACTCAGGCTGGAGAGTTCAGTAGCATGATCTCAGCTCACTGCAACCTCTGCCTCCCAGGTTCAAGCAATTTTCCTGCCTCAGCCTCCTGAGTAGCTGGGACTACAGGTGCCCACCACCATGCCTGGCCAACTTTATGTATTTTTAGTAGATACTTCGTTTGCCATGTTTGCAAGGCTGGTCTTGAACTCCTGACCTCAAGTGGTCTGTCCACCTTGGCCTCCCAAAGTGCTGAGATTATGGCGTGAGCCACTGTGCCCAGCCCATATGCCAAAATTCAAGTAAGGAGAACAAGGGCTATCCTGATCTCAGAATTTATTCAGGAAATATAACAAAAATCAATGGCTTTTTTTTGAATCTCTGAAGATATTTTTATTGATGATATAATTGTGGATGAAAAGAAAAAAAACAGATGTTGAAATTAAACATACCTGGCTTATTTCATTGACCCCTTTTAAACTGGTCCTGTTGTTGTAACTGAGCTAGTTATAGAGAAATGCCACACTTTGAGACTAATTTAGCAGTCCTTTATTTGCTGATGTACCCCACCCAGAATGGATATCAGGCTGAGCTGGAGGTCTTGTCATTGCAGCTGAGGTTTAGCAACCAGGAGTGGTGGTGGAACAGTTAAATTGACCCTGTCTGGGTGTTTTTGGAACATAGGATGCTGAACACAGTTTCAACATCAAATCCAGCGATATAAAGCCTTAATCCCCATGACATGCCATAATGCCATTGAGCTAAATTGGGGTTACGGATGGTTATAGTAAGAAGATTGCAATTTCCCCTTGCACACAGTTTAGGATGGGAAGCATGAGCTATGGAAAAGGTTGAAGGTCGGATTGATCCCCCAGAGTAGGTGGCCAAAGTTATACATGTCTAGTCAGGGCAGAAAAATTGGTAAGAATCTTGACACCTAGAGTCAAGGTGATTTCCAGGACAGAAGTAAAGTTCAACGTTCTGGAGTCCTTTTTCTGCACCTTTGGAGCTTCCACATCCAGTCTAGCCTCTGGAGTGTCCAAACTCTGCAGCAAGGTCGATGTTCCCTGCTCCTATGATTGGCAGATTGTGTTGCTCTTCGAACGTATGAGCAGGCTCTGGAAACAGAGCACATAAATCGACTGCCAAAGAGACTTCCTTGTAGGTCCCCGACTTCCAGGTGGTGTTTGCAAACACACTTCCTGTCATGAAAGAAGTCAGGAATAAAGAGTAGGAAGAAGCAGAGGGCACGACAGGCAGAAACAAACAAAAGAGATAAAGAATTAATCTACTGGCTTCACTTGACTTAGGTGCAGTTGTAAGGGGCCTCTACCAGTCTTGGGGACCCATGTTTCTTGCTGGGTTTTGTTAGTCTTCTTGATGCAAGAGTGATGAATCCAAGCAGGAATGTTATCTACTTTTAGAGCTCTTGGTGTGGTGAGGATGACAGTATCAGGTCCTTTTCAGGCAGGAGTAAGTCCTTCTTTCTGGAACTTTTTAACATACACCAGGTCACCTGGCTGGAAAGAGTGGCAGAGCCCCTTGTGGTCGGGAACTGGATTGGGATGTGCTCCTCAGACATGTGGCTGGATAATGTCTTGTACCTGTTGCAGAGACTGCTGGTACTGTAACAAATTAGCTTGTGAGATTTCTGTTAAATGGGTATCTCTTAGTTTGGACAAGGTAGGAGGAGCCCTCCCAGACATGATTTCAAAAGGTGAAAACCTAGCCTGGTAAGGGGTGCATCTTACTTTAAGAAGGTCTAGAGAAAGGAGTTTTACCCAATTCTCACTGGTCTCTAGGATTAATATTGTAAGATTACTTTTTAGGATGCAGTTCATGCATTCTACCTGCCTAGAGCTCTGGGGTTGATAGGCACAATGGAGTTTCCATTGAATGTTTAATGTCTCACTAACTGATTGAGCTACAGATGAGGTGAAGGCTGGTCCATTATCAGACCCTATGGCAGCGGGCAGCCCATGTCAAGGAGTGATTTCATTGAGTAATAGCTTAACTACCATGGTGGCAGTCTCGTTTTTGGTGGCAAATGCCTCAGTCCATCTGGAAAAGGTGTCTACTAGCACCAGGAGGTATTTATACACTGCCCAGTGTGGTTTTATCTCTGTAAAGTCAATTCCCACCTTTCTCCTGGTGAGTCTCCCCAGAGGCGGTGGCCTGGGCTGGGTTTAGGACCTTCCTTGTCATTTACCTGAGCACAACCTATACACCAGAGGGCTGCTTGGTTAGCTAAGCCCTGAAGGTGGAGGATCTTGAAATGGCTCTTTAGAAGCTGGGCCAGTTTTATTGCTCTCAAATGTGTGGTAGAATGCAGATGACTGGTTAAAGTTTCCCCGAGGACTTGGGGCATGAAGATTCTGGGATCAGGAAGAATTCACCAACCTTCCTGATTTTTACTGGCCTGAAGATCTGAAGCCTCTTTTTCCTCCTCTAGGGAGTATTCTGGGTGGTCTCGAAAGTCAGGCTGCAGAAAGGATATAGAGGGCAGCAGAGTCAAAGGCATGACTGGAAACTGAGCTGTCTTTTTAGCTGCAGAATCTGCTCTTTGGTTACCACAAGCAATGACCATATCTTCTTTTTGTTGTCCTTCGCAGTGAATTACAGCCACCTGTTGAGGGAACCAAACAGCTTCAAGCAAGGCCAAAATTTCTTCTTTATTTTTGATAGTTTTTCCTTCTGAGGTGAGTAGCCCATGCTCCTGATAGATGGCTCTGTGTACATGGACAGTAGCAAACGTATATCTGCTGTCAGTGTAGATGTTAATGCATTTATTTTTGCCCTATCGGAAGCTTGAGTGAGGGCAACTAATCAGCCCTCTTTGCCAAGTTGCCTGCCAGCAGCACCTGGGCCCACAGTATATCTGTTTCCATAGTAATGGCTGGAGCAGGCTTTCATACTCCTTGTTTGAGGAAGCTGCTACTCTCTGTAAATGTGGTGGTGTCTGCCTCCTTTAAAGGCACATCTTGGAGATCAGGTCAGCCAATTTCTATAGTCACTAACAGTTCCTCACAGTCATGGATAGGTGTGGTAAGGTCTGGATCAGGGAGCAAGGTAGATGGATTTAAACACCTTGTGGGAGAGAAAGTTACACGAGGCTGATCTAACAGTAAATTTTGATACTGCAGGATGCAAGCGTTCGACATCTATTTGGCAGAAGCACTTTGTAGCAATGTCTCTATGGCACGAGGAGCCATAAGGGTTAAATTTTTACCTAGAGTCAGTTTATCAGACTCCTGAACCAGGCTTGCTGTGGCTGCTATGGCTCGCAGACATCTTGGCCACCTGGAGGCCACAGGGTCCAGGGGTCCAGTTTCTTAGACAAATAGGCCACTGGGCATCACCATGGCCCCAAAGTTTGAGTGAGTACCCGTCTAGTGACTCCCTGGCTTTCATGAACAAAAAGGTGAAATGGTTTTGAGATTATTTGGGAGGGCTAGAGCAGGGTCCTCAGTTAATGGTTTTTTCCAGTATTGAAAAGCCTGTTCCTCTGTGTAAGTCCAAGCTAGCAGGTCATTTTCTCCTATAACAGAGTTTAGGGGCTTGGTGATTTCCACAAACCCTGATATCCATAGATGACAGTATCCTACAGACCCCAGGAATTCATGTACCTGTCTCTTGGTGATGGGAGTGGGGATCCACAGGATGGTTTCCTTTTGAGCACTGGTGAGTGCCCTTTTTCCCTTGTCTATCTCATACCCCAGATAGGAAACCCTGGGGAGATAAAGCTTGGTCTTCTTAGCTGAAACCCAGTACCCAAGTTTCTGGAGAAGGCAAAGCAGGTCTCTAGTATATTGCAGGCGGCTGTCAGTAGTTTTAGCAGCTAATAAAAGGTCATCCACGTACTGGAGAAAAGTGCAGTTAGGGTGACTGGCTCAGAATGGTATGAGATCTTGTTGGAGGGCTTCTCCAAAAAGTGTGGGGGAATTTTTAAAACCCTGGGGTAGCTGAGTCCAGGTTAATTGAGTGGTGTCTCCCAAGCCAGGATCTGTCCATTCAAAAGCAAAGATAGATTGGCATTTGGGGACCAGAGAAATAGCAAAGAAAGCCTCTTTTAAGTCCAGGACAGCACATACTGTATGTTCTGGCAAAAGCAGGCTGAATAAAGTATAAGGGTTAGGGACAGTTGGATGGACAGTGACTGTCCACTTGTTAACTTCCTGCAAGTCCTGTACAGGCTGGTAATTATTTGTTCCAGGTTTCTGGACCGACAAAAATGGAGTATTCCAGGCCAACTAACACGCTGTGAGTATACCAGCTTGTAATAGCCCCTGAATATGGGGATTGATTCCCTCTCTAGCCCGCTGACTCATAGGATAGTTTTTTTTACCTGGACTGGCAGGGCAGTGACCAGGAGTTCTACAACTAACAGTGGATGATGCTTTGCTAGTCCTGGGGATTTTGACTTGGCCCAGACTCAAGGAAACACAATCTGTAGATACAATAGGAGAGGATTAGCTTTATTCTCCAGCGGTCATAATCAGGAGGCTGTAGGCAGAGAGGCCACAGGGGATGTAGTCAAAGAAACGAGGCAAGATTTTGGTGGAGCAGGAGGGTTATGGGGTGGTGGAAATGCGTGAGAAAAACTTTCCTCTTCTTCAGAAAAAGGCAGTACAGGAGGAGCTGAGGGGGCTGAGGGTCAGAATGACAGTGAGGCCTGGCTCAAAAGCACCTTGGAGGTAGGATTATGAACAGCACATGAGTGGAGCCAAGGGGAAGGGCCCCAGACCAAGCTCAGCCATTGATCAATGTAGGGAAACTGATCAGGGTGACTGGGAGTTCCAGCAATGAACTGCCACACACATTCAGTGACCCTTCTGGGGGCCACCCGGTTCCAAACTGTAGCCGTTCTACTTCACAGAGTGTCCAGAATTTGCCTTTTTTAAGGCAAACCCCATAATCCTCTGAGAAGCCCAGGGAGAAATTTTGTAACATACATTGGAGAGGGCTCCAATCTCTATGAGGCCAGGAAGAAGAGCTTCCCATTCTGGAAGCAATTTAACAAGGATTGAGCAGAAATATTAAATCCAGCATGGACAGAGCAATTCACTCTCTGGGGGCCCGTAGTATCAGAAGAACAGAAATATTACGACCAGAAGAAGTAGGAAAGCAACTATAGCCAACACTTCTTGCCACATAAGCTCTTTCTCTTTAGGTTTTGAGATCTAGGGAGAGGACAAGAGGTGGGTCTGAGGCCTGTGGGACCTACATGATCCCTCCTTCCTTTTTGACTTATAGCCTGAATATTTTTGGTGTCTTCATGACTCAAAGGCAAACAGTTCAAACTTGGCTTTTTCTTTTAAGGGTTTTAGGAGGGTGAGCAGAGCCAAGTCTTGGAGGTGCTGGACTTGCTGTGACACAGGAAAATGAAATGTACGGGGTAAGGGATGGGGATGAGTAGGAAAGGGGCCACTTGGATCTTTCCTAAGGTAGGAGAGTAGCTACAGAGGGATAGAATAAGAGTCCAGATGGAATAAGACAGTACAGGCGTAGGTTTCTCTGCACAGTGCCTTATCCAAGGGCATGGGAAAAGTTACAGGATGACAGAAAAGGTGAGCAAGGAAATCTGCAGGGTGGCTATTTTGAATCCCCCACTGATCTAAGGAGGAGGTGTTTCAGTCACTGGGGTTTGAGGTATGGCAATCCAAATGCCAGCAACCTTTATGGTGCCAGAAATCCCAAACGAGAGACTGTTTCCCATACACCTCCCCATAACAACACCTGACTTTTTTCCGACAGAAAAGACAGGACTCGGATGGCCAGCCCAAATGACTGATGAAAGATTTGAACTCCTGGGATAGAAAATCTGTACTAACGACCTTGAAGAAGTCCTTGCCCAGTCATCTTGGGCAGTATTGAAGACCTGACATGTGAAACTTAGGCAAACACCAGACAGGAGAATAGACACTGGGGTATATAAACAGTTATGAAAGTTTTTATAAACAGACAAGATGAGGGGCTTCTGTGATGTGATTAGTCAGATGCCTGCCTGGCCACTCCCCTTGCAGGGACTTAGGCTCCTCTTGACATTGGCAGGCCAGTATAAACCCCCAGCTCAGGTCGAGCTATGCCCTTTGCTACCCTAAGCCTTATGAGGTCACCCGGAACCACAGGTGAGGGCCCACTCAAACTCTGTAGCTTTTGCCATGGAGCTACAAACTTGAAATTCAAGCAAAAGCCCTTGAACTCCACATTCACTCACTCACTCCTTCAGAGTTTATTATAATTTTTCATACCCATTTAAACAGGGGTCTCCTTGAGACCTGAATGAGAGAAGAAGAAGAGACAGAGAGGGAGTGTGAGAGTCTTAACAGAGAAGCCTGACAGAAACCAGGACTTTGCCCTCCAGTGTCCTGGAGTGTGGACAGAGTCTGAGGGAGGGCCCTCAATAGGGCCATTTCCCTCCCAGAGAAACAGAGTCAGATCTGACTTACCGTCCCAGGACCAGAGACTGAGGACTCAGGAGTTGAATTTGGTGGGCACACACCAGCAGTCGATCCGTTCCCCCTCCGGAATACGGTGGCCTATGGTGCCTTGGAAAGTCTTCAGGTGGCACCTCCCCTATAAGACCACTGTCTGTCCAGGGGAGCCTGGAATGAATTCAGCACTCATCTCATGGCAAATAAATCTCGCCGGGACTTCCAAATGTTGTAACTGAGCGAGTTGTAGAGAAACGCCACACTTTGAGACTAATTTAGCAGTCCTTTATTTGCTGGTGACCGAGAGATGGCTAGTGCTCAAAATTCTCTCTGCCCCAAAGAAGGGGCTAGATTTTCTTTTATACTTTGGTTTAGAAAGGGAAGGGGGAGCCTAGCTGAAGCAATCTTACAGAAGCACAACAGACAAAAAAAGTTAAAAAGACGAACGGTTACGGGAAAACAAACAGGTCCAGGTGCAGGGGCTTTAAATCTATCACAAGGTGATAGATGCGGGGGCTTTGGGCGCTATCAACTGGACACAAACACTGGGGCTTTGAGTACTATCAACCAGGTGAATTCCTGGGAACTGCGGATATAGCTTGCCACAGTATCTTATCAGTAATTGCATTCCTGGATGTGCTGGGAGTCAGCTTGCACAAGTTAAGTCTTTGAGGAAGGGGGTGGGTAAGGGGCTGCAAGTGAAGGAGCCAAAATGGAGTCTGTCCACTTCTCTCAGCCAAGGGAGAGTCAATTCAGGTTAAAACAAGGTAGGATATCACACTGTGACCTTAAATACAGGCAAGTTACTTGCAAGTGACTTATGTCCTCTAAGCCCCTCTTTACTCACTGGAGGGAGGAAAATTCTTAAAGGAGAATGACTTCAAATACCATTTAAAACTAATATTTTGGGATGTCCATGGGAAAAAAAAAAAAAGCTTAGCCACACAAAAGACTAATAATGGAATGGAAAATTGTTCACCTGCCCTCATGCCAAGTTCTCTCACCACGTTAATCATTTCTCATCATTTTTTCTTTAAGTCTTCTTGAGCCAAGATGATACTTCCAACATCTTTACAAACGTTAAGGTATATTTATTTACTCCAACATAACAATGACAAATAATACTTGCTCATAATATCATAACTTTTATAATTCTGCATTTTTTGAAAGACTGAATCTAAAAGTAATTTTTTCTATGTTTATTTCTTGAACCATTACATTTGGACTGTAGGATATAACATCTTACTCTTAAGTGATTAGCAAAGTAAGCATTATATATTTTCCTTGATATCCCCTCTTTCCTTCCTTAATTTACATTGGCTTTTCCATTCATTAATTAATTAACCTTTGAAACTGATGTTTTTTAATCCGTAAAAATAATGACTTCCTATTGGTTTCCAATAAAGTTAATTCTGAAAATTAAAAACCAATCAATAGAATTGAGAATAATCCTTGTGTGGATATTTACCAGTGGACCCCAGAGAGTATGAATGAATCTACAGAAACCCATGTGATTTAGTCCCACGATATTCAACATGAACTGCTTTAAGAAGAGTTCATGTATCAGGAGAGTCATATCCTTCTTTCTTAAAGTCTAGCACATTACTTGAAAACATTGCATGATTGTGATTTTCCCTGGAGTTCACAACTACTCTTCTATTTCTTGTTGCAAGAAGAGACGTCTATTCTTCCTCTCTTGTCCCAATAAGAGTTCCTTGTTGACACTCAACCTTCTTTGAATAGTCTTTTTACATTTTTCTTCTCAGTATGTCTCTCAGCAGGCTTCTCTCTTTCTTTGAGTCACTGGATAAAATGATGGGAAAATATAAGTTTGTCATGCTATCACATTTTCATATCTTTTCTGTAGGTGATATTTCAGGCACACTTCAAATATTTTCTGGACTATTCAAGATATTGGTGAATAATCTGATTCATGTATGTTTAAATGACCAATGCAACCTAAAGTATAATTTCAATATCTCATTATATTTGAAAATTCCAGACCAGATGCAGTGGCTCACATCTGTAGTCCCAACATTTTGGGATGGATTGCTTGAGCTCAGGATTTCAAGACCAGCCTGGGCAGCACAGTGAGAACCCACCTATACAATAAAATAAAAGAATTAGCTTGGCAAGGTGGTGCACACCGATAGTCCCAGCTACTCAGGAAGCTAAGATGAGAAGATCACTAGAGCCTGGGATGTAGAGGTTGCAGTGAACCAAGAGCAAGCCATTGCACTTCAGCCTGGGCAACAGAATGAGACCCTGTCTCAAAACAAACAAAAACAATCTCACTTTCCATTCATCTGTCAAACTTTATCAAGTTTGCAAGGATATTTGAAGAAGGATGTCATACTCACTTACATAATTTTTTTTTTCCTTGGGGCATTGTTGCTTTTATAGGACTTATTGCAACACCCACATCTCTGGTTTCTAGCTTCTGACTATACTTCTGGTTCTATTTTCCCTGTAGTGTCACATTCTCAGAAGGGAGAAACTTTGTCAGTGTCCCATCTGGGTGATCAAGGCTGTCATCTTTCAGAGCACACTTGGCCAAAAGAAATTGTCAATCATTCTGTGCTGCCCAACAACACCAGATGGCCAAGCCTGTGTTCTTGTAGTCTCACCTCTTTATTCACCCTTCACTAAACTTGCAGACAACCTAGTATCATTCACCTTCTTCAAAGAAGAGTCAGCCTATAGTCTCTCTATTCTGTGACCCCCAGATTCACTGAGAAGGTCTCTTGATGCTATGCTCCAAATGTTTGTGTTTTTCCAGAATAACATCTTGAGTCCTAACTTCCAAGGTGATGGTATTAGGAGATGGAAGGTGATGAGAGTGGAGCCCACATGAATGGAATTAGTGCTATTATAAAAGGGACCCAATAGATCTTCTTCACCTCTTTCACTGTGTGAGAATACAGCTAGAAGATACTGTCTATGGACCTAAGTCCTCACCGGACCTAAGTCCCACGGGACACTAAATCTACCACGTTTTGATCTTGGACTTCCAGCTTTCAGAAGAGTATGCAATCAATTTATCCTTTTTAGAAGCTACGCAGTCTATGGTATTTTCATTATTGCAGCCCAAAGTGGATGAGACACTTGACGTCCCTTCAATCAATTTCACGTGGAATCTCCTTGATACTCTCCTAACAGAAGAGAAATGCACAGAACTTGAAAATGTCCCGCAAAGTAGCCCTCACCAGCTCTCAGTTATTTTGCTGAATACTGAGCTTATCCTTACATATGTTGAAGATAGGAGATGAGCTTGGGGGTCAAGATTTCTGCCTAGATCATCTAGTGGAGGTCAAGGTTTCTGCCTAGATCATCTAGTACTGAGAGGGAAAAGAGGAAGAAACCCATTAAGCAGCCAGTTAGAGTTGTTCCAAGGTTAAATGGTTGAATTCTTTTAAACAAAAGAATAGCCTGCAGGCACACATAAGGGAACTTACACAGGGGAGCTTGACTGAGACATGCCCACAGCCATACAGATAAGAAAGTCTATATAGCTGATTTGACTAGACTTGCCTGCAATGGAAAATTCCATCCCCTGGCACAGGCATCATAAGGGGAACAAAACAATATGGAGTAACTCAAGCTAAAGGCCTGTGGGTGCACTAGGAGGATGGGGTGGAGCTACCAGAACTTCACACCTTATGCAAATGAAACACTCATCCCTCAACGATTTCTTATAAAAGGCTCTATATTCAACTGTGAAATTGCAACCCTTTTTTGGGATGCCTCTCTGCGGCATAGGGCTTTCTTTCCTTTATTAAATTTCTGATCTAACCTCATCCTTGTCATGTCGATATCCTTGATTCCTGAAGGATATCTCATTTATTGTTAACAGTTTGCATCTATGCCTATGACTATGTTTATTGTGAAAATAAATATAATTTAAAAGCTATGGCAGTCCCCCACAAGAGCACTTTAAGCCATGAGAGAGATGTGACCGTCATCTGAGTCACATATGGTAGCAACTTCTGTTCTCAGATTATAGATTAACTCACTTTTTAATTCTCCGTGTTCTGTAAAAAGACTAGGGAGAATTAAGCAACATCAGGCTGAGTGCAGTGGCATGATCTCAGCTCACTGCAAGCTTCTCCTCCCAGGTCCACACCATTCTCCTGCCTCAGCCTCCCAAGTAGCTTGGACTATAGGCACCCACAACCATGCCTGGCTATTTTTTTTTTTTTTTTTTCCAGTAGATTTTTAACATGGTTTCACCATGTTAGCCAGGATGGTCTTGCTCTCCTGACCTTGTGATCTGCCCATCTCAGCCTCCAGATTACAGGCATGAGCCACCATGCCAGGCCCCTGTCTGCCCTTCTTAATTAATGATACTTGTGATAGATTAAGCCCCCCTGGGTTGTCCAGCTTCACTGAGAGTAGATAAAGAAAATCCATGACTGTTACAGCCTCTGTTTAAAAAAATTGTTAAATGTACTCTTCCCCCCATAAAAACTGCCTGTAACCAATCTAATGGCTGCAACTCTGTGCCAATCTTGTAGGAATGATGTGGTAATCTTGCTAAAAACTCATCTGTCTCTGGCTCTATACATGAAACCTTAACTTTCCTACTCCATAATTTTGGAGTTGGTATGATGGGTGTGAACCATCCATCTTCACACTTGGGTCTTGAATAAACTTTGTTTGAATTATACTCTAACCTTTTTGGTTATTTAAAGTTGACACTATCTTTGTATCTGTGACACATTCATAGGTACCTGAAAGACATGTCCTAGGTTGTTAAAGATTTTTGTATGTGTGTAGGTAGATCTATGGCTATGTGAGGGATTCTTGAAGGACTGCTCAGTCTGCTGTAACAGATACCATGAACTGGAGGGCTTACAAAAATTATTTATCAGAATTTTGGAAGTCCAAGTTCATCAAGATGTCAACCTGGTTTCTGGAGAGAGCTCTCTTCCTGGTTTGTTGATGGTCAGTTTCTCACTCTAAGTTCACATAGTATAGCTGCCCAGTGGGTTCACCTTGCCCGCTGCCTAAAGAGAGCCAATTTCTCAAGACAGGGGACTTACAATAGAGAAAGAGTATTTTATGCAGAGCTGGCTGTATGGGAAACTGAAGTTTTATTATTACTGAAATTAGTCTCCCTGAGCATTTGGGGATCAGAGTATTTAAGGATAATTTGGTGGGTAGTGCAGCAGTGAGTCAAGAGTGCTGATTGGTGGGATTGGAGATGAAATCATGGGAAGTCGTGGCCATCGTCTTGTGCTGAGTCATTTCCTGGGTGGGGGCCACAACGTCAGGTGAGCCAGTTTATCAGTCTGGGTGGTTCCAGCTGATCAATCAAGTGTAGGCTCTGCAAAATATCTCGAGCATTGGTCTTAGGAGCATTTTAGAGAAGGTCAGAATCTTGTAGTTTTCAGCTGATTAGTCGACTACTAAACCATAATTTGTAATCTTGTGGCTGATTTGTTAGTCCAACAAAGGCAGTCTAGTCCCAAGGGAGAAATAAGCCTTGTTTTGAGAAAGGGCTGTTATCATCTTTGTTTTAAACCGTAAGTCCCTCCCAAAAGTAGTTCAGCCTACGCCCTGGAATAAGCAACAACAGCTTGGAGGTTGAAAGCAAGATGGAGTTAAGTCAGATTCAGAGACAGGACTAGCTGGATTTCCTATGCCGACTAAGAATTCCTAAGCCTAGCTGGGGAAGGTGACCACAACCACCTTTAAACCCAGGGTTTGTAACTCAGCTCACACCTGACCAATCAGGTAGTAAAGAGAGCTCACTAAATATCAATCAGGCTAAAAGCAGGAGTTAAAGAAATGGTCAAATCATCTATCATCTGAGAGCACAGGGGGAGGGACAATGATTGGGATATAAACCCCAGGCATTTGAGCTGGGATTGGGAACCCCCTTTGGGTCCCCTCCCATTTTATGGGAGCTGTGTTTTCACTCTATTAAATCTTACGGTTGCACACTCTTCTGTTCTGTGTTTGTTCCAGCTCAAGCTGAGTTTTCACTCATCATCCACCACTGCTGTACACCACCATCATAGACCTGCCACTGACTTCCACCCCTCCAGATCTGGCAGGGTGTCTGCTGCATTTCTGATCCAATGAGGCACCTATTGCTGTTCCCGTTCAAGCTAGAGGCTTGCTATTGTTCCTGCATGGCTAGGTGCCCAGGGTCATCCTAATAGAGCTGAACACTAGTCACCAGTTTCCACAGTTCTCTTCCATGACCCATGGCTTGTAGTAGAGGTATCACACTCACCGTGTGGCCCAAAGTTCCATTCCTTGGAACCTGAGAGGCCAAGAAACGCAGGTCAGAGAATAAAAGGCTGGCTGCAATCTTGGGAGCAGCTGCCACCATCTTGGGAGCAGCCCACCACCATCTTGGGAGCTCTAAGAACAAAGACCTACCTATAACAAGATGTCTTTCACTCTCAGTCATAATTTTGCAAAGGTGGCTTCAAAGGCAGAGAGAAAAAAAAAAGAGCACTGGGCTGGTCATCTTCTCATAAAAACATTGATCCCATCATGGGAGACCCACTTTCAGGATGTCATCTAAAACTAATTACCTTCTAATGCCCCATTTCCAAATACCAACCCACTGGGGGCTAGGGTTTCAGCATACGGTGTGTGACTGTGATGGGACACAGACATTTAGTCTATGGCACCTCCTTAACTGTAAACAGCTTACATCATTTTCCATGTCAATGTCTATGTCTATGTTTATAACCATGCCTGTTCATATTACAGAAGCCAAGGAAAAACTTGCCCTTTGCTCTCTGAAGGTTCGCTACAAATCACCTGATGAAAGGTAGATTAATAACCTTCCACAACCTAACTGCCCTGTGGGATCTTTTTTCCTATTGCCCAGAGAGAACTAAATGATCAAGACAAGGTAAGTGCAATAGAGGAAGAGTTTAATTCATGCATACACAGATAAACAAGAGACCAGAGTTTTATTATTATTCAAATCAGTCTTCTCAAAAATTTGGAGATCAGGGTTTTTCAAAGATAGTTTGGTGGGCAGGGGGCCCAGGAGTGGGAAGTGCCGACTGGTTGTGTCAGAGATGAAATCATAGGGAGTTGAAGCTGTCCTCTTGCCCTGCATCAGTTCCTGAGTAGAAGGCAAAAGACCAGTTGGTGAGTACTGGTACAGCTATTGGTAGTCAGAAATGCAAAAAATCTGAAAAGCTATCTCAAAATGTCAATCCTGGGTTCTACAAGAGTGATGTTATCTGAAGGAGTAATTGGGGAAGTTCAAAATCTTGTGACCACCTAAATAATGGCTGGTAATTATTTAACTATGCTTATATCATAGTAGAATTCAGACCTTTATCCTCCTGACCTGGTAGGCTTTCCTTAGTTTTATAAAGGCAATTTTGTTTTGGAAAATGCTTTTATAATTTAACTTGCAGGCCAGGAGTGGTTGGCTGACACCTGTAATCCCAGCACCATGGGAGGCTGAGGCACGAAGCTTGCTTGAGTTCAGGAGTTCAAAATTAGCCTGGGCAGCCTGGAAAAACCCCACCTCTACTTAAAAAAAAATAAACAATAAATAAAAAATAAAACAATTAGCCAGCAATGGTGGCTCATGCCTGTAGTCTAAGCTACTTAAAAGGTTGATGTGGGAGAATAGCTTCAACTCCCAAGCTAGTTGAAGGTTGCAGTGAGCCGAGATCATGCCACTGCACTCCAGCCTGGGTGACAGAGGGAGTCCCTTTCTTAAAAAAATAATAAAGATAATAAAATAAACTATAAACTAAATTTCTCTCAACATTAGCTTTGGCACATGCCCAGGAAAGAGTGAAGATAGCCAACCTGTGAGGCTAGAAGCAAGATGGAGTGAGCTATGTCAGGTTTCTCTTACTGTCATAATTTTGCAAAGGAGGTTTCTATACGAATTTATTAATTTGGATGGAAAAGTACAAAATTTCTTAAAGAAGTGGCCAGATTATTGATGCTTTTATACCATCCTGGGCTTGGGTCTTACAGCATGTGCAAAAACAGATTATAAAACCTGGTAACTCAGGTTACGGACACCAGACAGGTTGTGGAACAGGGAGAAGAGCATCTAGCTAGCAAAGGTGGTGGTGGCATGTAGATGAAACCTCACAGGTAGCAGCACTCAGAGAGAATAGATGGTGAATGTTTCTTTCAGATCTGTAATGGTGTTTGATTCTCAGTTCATCTTTCCTAGATTAGACAAAGAGGACCTCAGAGAAAACCTGATTGTATCAATGCAGATTTTTCTTTTGGTTTTTGTTGTTGTTGCTGTTGTTGGTGGTGTTGTTTTTGAGACAGAGTCTCACTCTGTCCCCCAAGCTGGAGTGCGGTGGTGCAGTCTTGGCTCACTGCAATCTCTGCCTCTTGGGTTAAAGCAATTATCTTGCTTCAGCCTCCTGATTAGCTGGAATTACTGGCACTGCCACCATGCCCAGCTAATTTTTGTATTTTTAGTAGAGACAAGCTATCACCATGTTGGGAAGGCTGGTCTCAAACTCCAGACTTCAAGTGATCTGCCTGCTTGGGCCTCCCAAAGTACAGGGAATACAGGTATGAGTCACTGCATTTGGCCTCAGATTTTTTCTACAGATGCAAATCTCCCCCACAAAAGACAGCTTTTGAACAATTCTTGTATTTACTGCACTTCTGACTACCCATGCAGAAATATGCAAACGAAATACATTGTAAAAGAAAACAAAATTTCAGAACCCTCTATGTTCATGATGCCAAGGGAAAAGTTAAATCCTGGATACTTAGACACAGAGTATGTCTGCAATTTTGCTTTTTAGATTGTAGATTAACTATCTTCCGTATTTATGTTGTTCTGTAAATTCCTACCAGAGACCAGAAACTAGACTTCCCCCTAACAATCATTGATCGATCTTACAGACTAACTGCCTTCTTTATCATCCTGTACCTAGCTCAGACTAGATGGTGCCCAAGATGTCCGTTACATCTTCAGTGAATTGGCTCTATCTATGTAGCAGGCAAGAAGAATCTATTGGGCAATTACATCATGAAAGAAAATCAAATAATTTTCCAAAGTACAGATACAAAATTATACATTATTTCCCAAGGAAAAATAGAGCTCAATTTCAATCCACAGTAAAGAGTAACCATATATTATTGACACATACACTCATATAATCTATATGATATATTATGCATATATATATGTGTACATATATGTGAATAAGGTACAGAGTGCAAGCAATTTACTGGCAGAAAATGATAACATTTCCTTCAGACATCTCCACAGCTACACTGAGAGAATAGATTAACACAATTTTTACATAGTGTTGGGAATGTTGCATACACCTTTCCCAAAAGAAGAACACCACTTTAAGTAACCAGATTGTTTTAACCATGCATCAAGCGATACAGAGAAAGATGATGAAATTCTGTCACACTTTTCTAAACTTTGTCCACATAAGGAATTCAAAACAGTTACCCTTTGGAACCCTGATTTCTCTTCTTCAGAATCTTTGATTGGAATGTCATCCATCCTCAGACTTGAATAAACTATCTTGAGACTAGATTCTGACATTTTTTTATTGCTCTTGGTTGACAACATTTTGGGGTAAAATATTTTGATTATTTCAATAGTTATGTTATTGTTACATAATAATAGTAAATTATTAAGTATATTTAAATATAAATATCAAAATATTAAAATAAATGTTAATATTTATTACATAAATATTGAAAGAAATTAAAGTATTTTACCCTAAAAATGGTTCTTTTTCTAAAACCAGTTTATTGAAGTATGGTTGTCATACAAAAAGCTGTACATATGTATTATACACACTGTGATGTGTTTTAAGATAAGTATATGTCTACGAATCTATTGAATTTAGTTTATAGTTTAATTAAAAAATAAATATATTAACACTGTCTTTGGAAAACTAACAAGTTAACTACAAGATTGGAAATTATGTCTCAGGAGCCAAGTAGCCAGAGGCCACAAGATTCCCAATCTCCCTAGTTCCTCCTATAGATGAAACTACTATTGTAAAACCTAAGATTGGTGAGTGGACGTATTTTTCAGACCCTGCATTCTGGTGAAAAAGCTGGTGCCAGTCAGATCCATCACCCATACCAAGAAACCGGCTCAAACTAGTCTTGTGACTTCCACACAGAAACTGGAGACAGCAAGAAGAAAGCCAAAATTCCCTATCATTTCAACCCCAACCTGAGCAGTCAGTATTCCCCATTTCCTAGCCACCTGCCCACCTAATTATTATTTTAAAAACCTAGTCTCTGAATGTCCAGCAAGGCTGATTTGAATAATAAACTAATGTCTTCCCTGTGCCTAGCTCTGCATTGATTAAACCCTTCCACTTCTGCTGTATCAGTGAATTGGCTCTATCTATGTAGCAGGCAAGAAGAATCTATTGGGCAATTACATCATGAAAGAAAATCAAATAATTTTCCAAAGTACAGATACAAAATTATACATTATTTCCCAAGGAAAAATAGAGCTCAATTTCAATCCACAGTAAAGAGTAACCATATATTATTGACACATACACTCATATAATCTATATGATATATTATGCATATATATATATATGTGTATATATATGTGAATAAGGTACAGAGTGCAAGCAATTTACTGGCAGAAAATGATAACATTTCCATCAGACATCTCCACAGCTACACTAACTGAGAGAATAGATTAACACAATTTTTACATAGTAAATACATTTAGATTCTCAAATTTGGATACCTCGATTACTTCCTACTTAAATCAGAAGAAAGCAGTCATTATGAAAAGTAAGAAGACTGGAATCATAGAGGTCACCACCTCTTTATAAATCATCTAATCAAAACCCAAATGGCAAACAAATAATTGAGACAATTTTTGGAAAAATAAAACTCCAGCCAGCCAAAGAAAGAAAGTGAAGTAAATATCTCATCATGTATGAAAACAAGTCTATAAACGATTCTCAGTGAACTTTGAATCCACTGAAATAAATAGCCATCTGTCCACAATTTTTAAACTTCAGTTACAAAACTGAAAGTACCCATAATGCACCTTTAAATATTTTGATGTCAATTGAGAAAGATGGAAGATTTAACACTTGCTAGTTTCATAGTTTTTGTTTGTTTGTTTGTTTCCCCAGTAGGTGTACAAGATATTCTAATGGTGAAAATGGGCAAATAGTGTTTCAGAATAGGTAATGCCTGGAAGGGTGTTATTTAGACATTACAGTGTATTAAAATTACATGAGTTCTTATGAAATACATATTCCAAAATGCTGTCCTTAAGAGAGTCTAGTTAAGTGGTTATCTGAAAGGGAAATCATATTTTTCAATCACTCAGCTGGTTTATTGCAACGGTCTTTTCCCTTATCTTGAGAAATACTGCGCCTCAGGAGCCAAAGCCTTACTCTCGACTGTTTTGTTATGAAAAGAGAAATAGTTGCATGAAACACTACCACATCATTCATACACCAAAAGGGTGCATCAAATAAGGGAGGTAAAGTACTAAAATAATGTACATGCTGCCCATTGAAAGACATGTGATAACAAGAGATATCATAAAAAATTATCACAATCAAATGCTGGATTAACATTTTATGAATTCTGACACCATATCAATAAATGAAATGTAAACTTATACAGTCAATAGATACACTCAAATCTAATCAGAAGAGTTTTTAATTTAAGAGAGGTCAACACCTCTATGAAAATACATGTAAAGAAAATCAGAACAAGCCTTGCTTAATATTAATAAATCCTTAATAGTAAGACAAACGTCACTAAATGAAAATTGTAAAGCACAAAACCATCAATGCAATATGTCTCTGTTGATGTTACATAACAGGAACAGGGAGGCAGAGGAGTTAAAACCATAGATAGGGTCTTTCATGAGAAAGATTTGACCAGGCTCTGCTAGCTTTAAATGTGGAAGGGAGGCCGAGTGCAGTGACTCACACCAGAGATGCCAGAGCTTTGGGTGGCTGAGATGAGAGAATCCCTTGAGGTAGGGAATTTAAGATGAGTCTCAGCAACACAGCAAGATCTTGTCTCTACAAAAAATTTAAAAGTTAGTCAGATATGGTGGCACATGCCTATAGGCCCAGCTACTCAAGAGGCTGAGTAGAAGGATTACTTGAGCCCAAGAGGTTGAAGCTACAGTAATCTATGATTGTATTAATACCACTGCACTAAAGCCTGGGTGAAACAGTGAGACTCTGAATCAAAAAAAAAAAAAAAAAAAAAAAAAAAAAAGGAAGAAAGTCACTGTAAAAAACTTACTGGGTTTCTTAACAATAGGAATAGTATAGAAGATAGGCAGAAAATTATTGTTAGGGTAAACAGGAAGAGTAGTCTCTTAGCATGTTATACAATTATATGTTCTCTATTGTTTGCTTTTAAAAATATTTTAAGGTTTTAAAGCCTCTCACAATAATATGACTTTAAAATCATGTAGATTTCTAATTGACTTACTCTCTTTTGGTATCTTATGAGATAAATGCAATTTTTAACAAATTAGCCCATGAAAAAATCTTAGACTGGATTAGTTTCCATGAAGTTGACAGAAAATAATAACATACATAATCGCCTAGACATATATATATATATATATATATATATATATATATATATATGTATACATTGTATATATTTAGACTGAAATAACTAATTCATTCTCTTCAAATACAATACTAGAAGCAATCTGTTGCAATGGGCAAGAAGATTCATTTTGTTGCTATTTTAAAATGCATATGCTTTAGACCTAGGATTTTTTCAGAGTACAGACTTTCTATTAGGCTAGTTCTCTTTGCATTAACATATCTTGATATTAATAAGAGAAGGTGAGCAGTAACTAAAACTAATAAGAGAGATAGACCGTAACTATGAAAAACCAAGAATTATTCTAAGGTTGTTAATTATTATTACCATGTTTAATCATCAAATAAACCTTCTGAAACTGATGTAAAAGAAAAATTGAATCTTATTTTTATCCAAAATGGGAAGAGTCTTTAAAAAAACAAAACTCTGATTTTCCTACTAGTTAGCCCTAACCCAGAAAATCAGTGTATCTTTCCCAATGAATATTGTTTTTTTTTAGGTCCCCATTTCCAGTTTCCTCTTCTGTGAAATGGGATAACAATAAATACCTAGTTCATAGGGTGGAAATGAGAAAGAAATGAGAATGTTTGGAGATGCTTATCATAACACATAGAATTCAGTAAGCAGTCAAAGTATGTTATCTATTATTGTTTTACCATTAAGAATATTTGGTGGCTTAGTGAAATTTTTCAATAGGTGTGTTTTCTTTTCCTGTTTTGAATTTAGTATTTATTTGTTGACCTTGACAATGGAAAATTTTCCTGAATTCTCCAGGTAGTGCCAATGTAATCACATGGGTCCATAAATGTAGTAGATAAAGAAAAGAATGTATCAAAGTTGTGCCAGGTGAAATTCAACCAGCTCTGTGTGTGTGTGTGTGTGTGTGTGTGTGTGTGTGCATGTGTGCATGTATGATTTTGTATATTTTTTCCCAGTAGTATAAAATTTACTTCAAATCTGCTATACCAACAGCCATGAGTTATTTCCATAAGCCCTCCCTCTTCTGGGTGGTGAATACTCAACAAAGGAAAGAGGAATATTGAGGAAATGTTTTCTAAAGTTTGAGCTGCAGGTGCTCTAGGAATGTAGATAAATCACACTCTATACAGGTATGAGTGTGCATGTATTGAGTATATATAAACACACACACAAATATGTGTATATATGGGTGTTTAACATATGCACATTATTGCCTGTATAGGATGTGCATTATATATATGTATGTGTGTGTATGTACTGGTGTGTATATTGTTGTTTATCATAGAAAATAATATATAATTTGTATTTTTAGAAATTAGTATGAGATAGTGTTAATCAGTAAAAACTAGTTATCTATAAATATCCTGCATATAAGGAAAAAAAAAAGTTTGGGAGCAACAGTTTAGGCCTGTAATTCCAGCACTTTGGAAGTCAAGGTGGGAAGAACTGGTTGAGCCCAGGGGTTTGAGACCAGCATGGGAAACATAGTGAGAACTCCATCTCTACAAGTAATTTAAAAATTACCTTCTCATGGTGCTGCACACCTGTACTTGGGAGGCTGAAATGGGATGACCACTGGTGCCAAGGCAGTTGAGGATGCAGTGAGTTTTGATTGCAGCACTGTACTCCAGGCTGGCAGATAGAATGAGACCCTGTCTCAAAAACAAAACAAAACAATAAAAACTGGTTAAAGTACAAATAATAAAGCTGTTAGTTATTTTTACTGTGCAAAAAATAGCAATGATGGGCAGTCCACTGGTCTTTCTTTCCAGCTAAAAAAAATAGTCTTCCTGCTTGCCATTGAGATGATCACTTTGCACCTACATCACTGTTAGAAAATGCCTCCCCCAACCCCAACTGATGTTGGATGCTCAGCAAACACCTTTCTCCTTCTCACACAGATCTTGACTCTCCTTGATCAGAGGCAATAGATGGATTTTCTATTTCTTCCTTTATATATGTCAAATGCAGGATTTTCTTTCATTATCAAAGATCAGAATCAGGGACTATTCTATTTCTAGACTTCTTGTTGACCCAAGAGCATTAGGCATAATCAAGTATGGTTTTGGAAGATAAGGTATATGAAGTATTACTCTGTAGTTCCTGACACTTAAGCATTATACAACATATATGCCTTATAATAAATTACAAATTTTATTACAGGTTAAATGCCATAGAAGTGTTTAATAAACCCAACACATAAAAATGTTATAACAGTTTCTGGGAAAATACAGTAAGGCCGAGCTGCCAATAAGTAATGAAACTTTTTGTGCTTTTACTGCTGCATATTGTAATAAAACAATCTGAAGATTTTAGACCTCTTATAAGAAAATTATTTGACTTCCCTTTAAGGTAGGAGTCACCTTTCGATTCGTTTATCAATTGTCTCTGCAAAATTTAAAGAAAGAAGCAATCTAATACTCCGTTAGAAATATTTATATTTATATGTGTGTTGTGTATCATTAAATATGTTTATAGTTGGCTGGGCATGGTTGGTAACACCTGTAATTTCAGCACTTTGGGAGACTGAGGTGGAATGACAACTTGATGTCACAAGTTTGAGAGCAGCCTGGACAACATGATGAAAGCCCATCCCTACTAAAATACAAAAATTCACTGGACGTGGTGGTGCACACCTGTAATCCCAGCTACTTGGGAGTCTGAGGAAGGATAATTGCTTGAACCCAGGAAGCAGAGGTTGCAGTGAGCCGAGATCAGGCCACTACACTACAGCCTGGTCCAGAGAATGAGACTCCACCTCAAAGATCCAACTAGAAAATCTACCACACATTTATTCCTCAATGTTAGGCATTTTCACCAAGCAAAACTACATCAGAAAGACAAGCAGGACAATGTATGTTATGTTATCTTGTGAACACAAGGTAATTTACTATGACAGCAAGGATAGTAATAAAACTGTTTAATGTAGTTGAACAGGTGAAGACAGTCTAATAATTTGCTAACTTATAAACAAACATGAAGAAGATACATTAGGTTAATAAAACCTGTTTGTATAGATAAAGTACAATGTTACTATATTCTTTAGCTAGGTTATCACTGATTATGACTGGTTGTATAGTCTTTGTCCAGAAATATTTCTTAATATCATCACTACTTACAGAGACTTCTGTTTTAGCATATTCTTTACATAAGCCCTTTCCTCATGTATCGTGAATCTTTAAACGCATGGTTATTGACATGGTTGTTCGACAATAAAAATATTTAACCTCACATTTTAGAAGAAGTTATCATAGACTTTTAACAGAAAGTGGAGTGAATCCATCTGAAGACTGTACTTAATTTTCAAACTCAGGATATACAATAAACATCCTTTGAAAACTGAAGTCCTAGAATACATGTATGAGATTTTACTAAAGACCTAATTTAGCAAAATGAAATTGCATTTTCTAAGTGTAGGTTGCATAAACAAAAAAGATTGTCTGCAGACAATCTTTATTTTCATATTTCCACACTATGCTCAATGCATAAAGTATGGTCAACCATAGCAAATTATGGCATTAAACCCAAAACATTCTCTGGCAATGAGAATAGCATGATCGAGGGAATCTGAAAACAGGTTGTTTGTGTAACTTTGCTTTAATTCCATCGTATTTTCTTTCTGCCTTTACATTTTATTCTCTTCTGAGCATGTGAAAAATTCTGTAAATTCAAGTGTAAATTATGGTATAGGCAATTGTAAATTATAAGCATATTTAAATTTTATATTTGTACATATGTGTGTATATGTATACACACATGTGTATTGCATATTATGTACTGTTTACAAAATAAATCTATCGTATATATTTAAGGTATACAACATGATGTTATAAGTTACATACATATAGTAAAACATTCACTATGATGGAATTAATTTACATATTTATCATAACATGTTACTCACTTCACCCCTCTGGCAAGATGAGTTATAATCTACTCCTTTAGTAGAAATCCTACAAACAATAGTGTTATTACTTATAGTCCATAGGCTGTATATTAGATCTTTAGATTTATTCATCCACATATTTGCTACTTTATATCTTTTGATGTACATCTTACCATTTCCTACTTGTCACCCCATCCCTAAGAACTACTGTTTTTCTCTTTATGACTATGTATCTGAACATTTTTTAAAATGCCATTAAATATTCTCTTTTTATTTTTCTTCTTTCTTACTAAAAATGGTAATCATATTTGTAACAGAATTTCTTTCTTCTCCCTTCAACCCTGCCTACTTATCTCACATAAACTCTTAACTTCAAATTTGCGAACATCTTTAAATGTCCAATAAAATGATTTACACTGGTATAGCAGTAGACAATAGAAATATTGGGGCCAATCAATTTAACATACCTGGTAGTTTATGAACTTGTCTGAAGTGTTTGTGGCCTGGTGCCATAAAGAAATAGCACCCGAACATAAATTTAATCTATTTAGTAAGGCAATTTTTACTTCCTGTAAAAAGGGTATACACTCTCCAGCAGTTTTGTCACGAGAGTACACCGAACAAAGGTGACAGGGTCATTTATATCCTGATGCGTCCATCCTACTGCCGTGTCCAGTCTCCATCAGCTGGAATGTGACCTCACATTCTGTATTTGTCCCGATTGGCCAGCAACTTGCAATGTTTTAAAAGACACAAAGGTATAGGAGAACAAAGGAAGGAGGAAGTAACTTGTGAGATGTTGAGAAAGTTAAAAACACTTTTAAATAAGGAAGAAGAACACACTATGACCTAACGCTTGCTTGGACCAGTATAAGCATGCCAGGGCAAATATTTATGCTAAATTGTGGGAGCTAAGAACATAAAATACATTGATTCATTATGGTTAGCAGACATTTAAGAATGTTAGCACAGGTCTTTGAATAAATATTGCTTCTAAGAGAAGTTACTATTTATTCCTAAATGGGGAGGAAAGTCTTTGAAGAGGAACCTCTACTTTACTTCTTACAAACTTGAAGTCAAGTCCACTCCCATGAGCTTCAGATTGTCTTCCACTAGCAGCTGCCTGAGGCAATTTTGGGAAGCTCTTTCCAGCAAAATCAGCAGCTCTTGGTGACAATAGGTGGCCATTGAACTCTTTGCAACATTTCCAAGGAATAATTGCTCAAGCCAATTTTGTCCCATAAGGAGCTGACTCTGTTTTCTGCTTGAGAGTGTTTCCCATGTCTCTGAAATTTTATGCACCTTGTTGTTCAGTCCTGTTGAAAGATCGGGAAGCCAACTTCAGTAATATTTTGTGCTATATGGTATATTCAACTTTTTCTTTAACATGTATACACCTATTACTGCTAAACTTCCAATAGCATCGTCTACATTTTGCATACATAAGATACTTACTTTGGATTCTTTGCTATGACTTACTTAGTGAAAGTTAAAAAGCAAATTGACTTATTTCTGACTCATGGAAAGAAAACAATACCAGTGTCTTTTGTTAAAAATTATTGAATTCCAAGGTAAAAAAGTGGAAAACTATTTTGATGTGTGCTATGTTAAAAATAATCAGCCAGTTCCCATAGACCATCTATATAGGAAGGATCTATAATGAATAAGGGATATAGGAAGGTGTTGAAGACACAAGCTGATTAAGTCACTGAAGAAAACCTCCAGGGGACTTTGTAAATGTTAACAAGGTAAGATGATTTTATAGCATTGATTTAATAAATGCATACTGAGGATTGTTGGGTGGTTTTGCCTGGGTTTCGTTTCTAGTGTATCCAGGCAATTCCTAAATGCCATCATAGATTTTTTTATTATTATACTTTAAGTTTTAGGGTACATGTGCACAATGTGCAGGTTAGTTACATATGTATACATGTGCCATGCTGGTGTGCTGCACCCATTAACTCGTCATTTAGCATTAGGTATATCTCCTAATGCTATCCCTCCCCCCTCCCCCCACCCCACAACAGTCCCCAGAGTGTGATGTTCCCCTTCCTGTGTCCATGCGTTCTCACTGTTCAATTCCCACCTATAAGTGAGAATATGCGGTGTTTGGTTTTTTGTTCTGGCGATAGTTTACTGAGAATGATGATTTCCAATTTCATCCATGTCCCTACAAAGGACATGAACTCATCATTTTTTACGGCTGCAATAGTATTCCATGGTGTATATGTGCCACATTTTCTTAATCCAGTCCATCATTGTTGGACATTTGGGTTGGTTCCAAGTCTTTGCTATTGTGAATAGTGCCACAATAAACATACGTGTGCATGTGTCTTTATAGCAGCATGATTTATAGTCCTTTGGGTATATACCCAGTAATGGGATGGCTGGGTCAAATGGTATTTCTAATTCTAGATCCCTGAGGAATTGCCACACTGACTTCCACAATGTTTGAACTAGTTTACAGTCCCACCAACAGTGTAAAAGCGTTCCTATTTCTCCACATCCTCTCCAGCACCTGTTGTTTGCTGACTTTTTAATGATCACCATTCTAAATGGTGTGAGCTGGTATCTCATTGTGGTTTTGATTTGCATTTCTCTGATGGCAAGTGATGGTGAGCATTTTTTCATATGTTTTTTGGCTGCATCAATGTCTTCTTTTGAGAAGTGTCTGTTCATGTCCTTCGCCCACTTTTTGATGGGGTTGTTGGTTTTTTTTTTTTGTAAATTTGTTTGAGTTCATTGTAGATTCTGGATATTAGCCCTTTGTCAGATGAGTAGGTTGTGAAAATTTTCTCCGATTTTGTAGGTTGCTTGTTCACTCTGATGTTAGTTTTTTTTTTTTTTTTTTTTTTTTGGTGTGCAGAAGCTCTTTAGTTTAATTAGATCCCATTTGTCAATTTTGGCTTTTGTTGCCATTGCTTTTGTTGTTTTAGACATGAAGTCCTTCCCCATGCCTATGTCCTGAATGGTAATGCCTATGTTTTCTTCTAGGGTGTTTATGGTTTTAGGTCTAATGCTTAAATAATTATACAGTTGTGTAAATAAGAGTGATTTTAGATATTTCAGACAATCCAGAGCCACATAACTTCCCAAAAGTGAGGCTCTGGGACATGATAATACTTTACCTCCTCTTCCAGGCTCCATTGCCAGGGGTAACAAGAAAACTTTTGAAACGCAGACAGCCCTAACCTGCGGCACTCATGTCCTGGCTCCCACTGTGGCCTGGCATTCCATTTCTCTGTGTTTATCAGTCATACAATAGCAGTAGCTTACAGGTCATCACGCTTCACCTCCTGGACTCCAATAATCCATGGAACCCATCTGATGATTCATCTCCTTCCTGTATACAACCTCTGAAATTTTCTCATTGCTTCATGGAATTATGGAGATCTTGTTACTACTGCTTCTCAAACCCTCCCTCAAGGACATCACCTCCCCTGCAGTTATTTAAGATTCTGGGTTAAGTGGAGGGGTCATAAGAAGAAATGCCTTAAAGCCTTGGACTCTTAATGCTGGAATTAGCTTCCATGTTTGCCTTGTTCAAATTTCCACCTTCAGATCATTTGTCCTCTGGCTTCTTAAACCACCCAGCTTCGGATGTCATGGCATCTGATTTTATCAATTTCATCATTTTATGATCTTATGATATCAAATTATATCAACCTCCTATACTGACACCCAACTTAGTACCAATTATTTCTCAACATTGTTCCTCCTTCTTAATTTTCATCATCTCCTAATGAGGTTATTCTTTTTTGTTTTCTTTTGAGACAGGATCTAATTCTATGGCCCAGGCTGGAGTACAGTGGTGCAATTATGGCTCACTACAGCCTGGAACTCCTGAGGGCAAGTGATCATCCTGCCTCAACCTCTGGAATAGCTGGGAATACAGGCATGCACCATGATGCCCAGCTAATTATTTTAATTATTTTGTAGAAACTGGGTCTACTATGTTACCCAGGATGTTCTCAAACTCCTGGCCACAAGTGATCCTACCACCTCAGCCTTCTAAAGTCTTGTGATTACAGGTGTGAACCACTTCACCAAGCCCTAATTCTTGATATTAGGATATATACATGTAATTTTTCAACACACTCACCTCTCAAATTCTCTAAAATCTTACCTCCAATACATTTTTCTATATTTTACCTAATTTCTTACGTATTATAAGTTCCAATAAGTACCACTCCTCTATAATCTTAATAGCACAACTTCCCCTTTCTAATAACTCAAGTATTTGCAGCACACCACTACATTTTACTGAAATGCATCTTCTTTTCTTTTTCCTATTTCCCCACTGAAATCACATTGCCAAACCTCACAATCACTCCCACGGGGATTCCCTGAATCTCTTGCTTCCTTCTTGCTTTCTTTTAGACTGGGTTTTAACCACAATTCTGGCTAAATAAAACTCCACCTACACTCCATTGGCCTTCATCTGTGCACACAAATAACCATACCAGCTGCTCAGACTTTATATTTGTGATTAATTAGCTCCAAGTTGGGATTCCAGGAGCTGTTGCTATACTTTCCCAGTCTATGAATACTTTAACTCCTTCTGAGAGCTGTTTTATAGTTTCTTTTCCTGGAATTCCAACACTTTTCTCTGCTAATCAGGAGATTAAGTTCTCTTTCATCAAGAGTAGGGAAGGGATGAGATACAAGCTTCCATGGGCTTCCACCTGCACATGCATCAAGCTACCGACATCTCAACCTACACACTCTTCCCTGTAGTTTCTTAATGTGGATGAGTGGTACATGTTTTCCTCTAAACATAATCCCTTTATCTGTGCAATAGATTCTCTCTTCTCTTTTCCTTTCAAGGATACAGCTACTTAGCTCTTGCCCTAGTGAAACCTTTCCATCCAACAAACACATACATTTGTCATATTTTCTATAATTGTAAAAGAAATTATCTTGATCTTTGCTATGGTAAGAATTTTTGTGTCTTCTGAAATGTTTATGGTGAAATCATAAACCTCAATGCAATGTGTATTAGTCTCTTCTTATGCTGCTAATACCCAAGACAAGGCAATTTACAAAGGAAAGAGCTTTAACTGACTCACAGTTCCACATGATTGAGGGGTAAGGCTCACAATCATGAAGAAAGGCACATCTTATATGGTGGCAGGAAAAAGAGTTTCTGCAGGGGAACTCCCCTTTATAAAACCATCAGTTCTCATGAGACTTATTCACTATCACGAGAACAGCATGGGGAATACCTACTGCCATGATTCAGTTATCTCCACTTGGTCCTGCCCTTAACATGTGGGGATCATTATCATTCAAGGTGAGATTTGGGTAGGGACACAGCCACACCATATTACAATGGTATTTGGAGGTGGGGGCTTCATGTGGTGATGAGATCATGAGGGTGAATCCTCATGAATGGGATTAGTATCCTTATAGAAGGCACCTCATAGAGCTCCCTTGCCTCTTCCACCAAGTGAGGACACAGTAAGAGGAGCAGAAAGCAAGTTGTCACTGAATCTGCCATGTCTTCATCTTGGACATCTCAGGCCCCAGAACGGTAAGAAATAAATTTCTGTTGTTTCCAAATTATCCAGTCTAATGTATTCTGTTAAAACAGCCTGAGTGAGCTAAGACAATCTCATTTTATCAGTCAGATAGTGGCACCAACCCCACTCCTTTCTTTGTGCTCCTATATCAGCAAAATTCCTCCATGATAGCTGTGTCTCCTCACCATGCCCCTGTTTTTTCCACCTGCCATTCTCTTTTAATAATGTCCATTCAAAATTTTCTACTACCTTTCTGAGAAGTTATGTAAAGGTCACTGATAACGTCACAGTGTTGAATTCTATTTTCAATTCACAATCTCTATCTTGAAATGACTTGTCACTTCTGCATACTGGTCTTTAGGACAATACACTGCCTTGCTTGTGTGTGTGTTTCTTTTCCTACTATACCCATTGCTAATTCTCAGTTTGCCATTTCCTTTGCTTTTCCCTGATATTGTTAAATTCTGACTCAGTCTTTTACTGACATTCACTCCTTTCATACAGTGGGATGCCATTGAATGTCATCTACATATCAGAAAGACTCATTTTTTAATCCCTCTGCTACAAACTTATTTTCCAAACTCAATTTTACATGACTAAGTTCACCCTTGAAAAGCATCGGTTTGAACCACATGAGTTCACACATGCATGAATTTTCTTCTACTTCTGACACCCCTGAGACAGCAAGAACAACCTCTTCTCCTTTTTCTCTTCCTAATCTTCCTCTTCCTCAGCCTACTCAATGTGAAAACAATGAAGATGAAGACCTTTATGATGATCCACTTCCACTTAATAAATAGTAAATATATTTTCTCTTCCTTATGATTTTCTTAATACCATTTTCTTTTCTGTAGCTTACTTTATTGTAAGAATACAGTATAGCAGTATGTAATGCATAGATCATACAAAATATGTGTTTATTGGCTGTTTGTATTATCAATAAGGCTTCTGGTCAAAAGTACACTATTAAGAGTAGAGTTCCGGGGCAGTCAGAAATTAAATGCAGACTGTTGATTGTGAGTGGGGATCCGTGTCCCTAATCTTTATGTTGTTGTAGGGCCAAATTTACTTAAAATAATTAAATTTGCTTAGCACCATTTTTCATGGCCTCCAAAAAATTGCCAGGTGTCATATGAAAGTTTCCTTGTTATTTCTGAGTATTTTCTAATTTCCATATTTATTTTCAGTTGGTAAAGGAACTACTTAGAACTTTCTTTCTTAATTTCAAACATTTTAGCGTTTTTTTCTAGTGGTGAAACTTTGTGTTCAGAGAAAAAAAGTTGTTGAAGTTATTGAACTTTGCTTTACAGCCCAGGATGTGGTCTGTTTGGTGGTCTCGTCAGGCCTCTGAGCCAAAGCTCAGCCATTATAGCCTCTGTGACCTTCACATATACATCTAGATGGCCTGCAGGAGCCAAGAAGTCTGGAGCAGCTGAAAAACCACAAGAGAAGTGAAACAGCCAGCTCCTGCCCTAACTGATTGACCAACCTCATGACATTCCACCAACTTATGACATTCCACCATTATGACTTGTTTCTGCCTTGCCCAAACTGATCAATTGATCCTGTGACATTCTTCTCCTGGACAATGAGTCTCATCATCTCTCCACCAGGAACCATGTGACCCCCTCCCCTACTGAAAACAGACAACCACCTTTAACTCTAACTTTCCACTGCCTACCCAAGCCCTATAAAGCTTCTCCTCTCCTATCTCCCTTCTCTGACTTTCTTTTCAGACTCAGCCCACTTGCACCCAACTGAATAAACAGCCTTGTTTGCTCACACAAAGCCTGTTCACGTGGTCTTCTATATGGACACGTGGACATATGCCCAAGTTGGTCAGAGTACAGTTTGGCTTTACACACTGTAAGGAGATGGGAGACATCAATCAACATATATGTAAAATAAACATTGGTTCAGCCTAGAAGGGTTCAAGTCGGGAGGGGTCTTCTAGGTTGGAAGTAGATAGGAGATAAATGGTTGCATTCTTTTGAGTTTCCGATTAGCCTCTTTAAAGGAGAAAATCAGATATGCATTTATCTCAGTAAACAGAGGGAAGACTTTGAATAGAAGGGGAGGCAGATTTGCCCTAAGCAGTTCCCAGCTTGACTTTTCCATTTAGATTAGTGATTTTGGAGCCCCCCAGATAGTTTCCTTCCACAGTTATTATTTCACATGTTCTAAAGAATGTGTATTTTACACTGTGGATGTAAGGTTTTATAGATTACAAGACTAGTTTACTAATCATGTATTCCAATTTTAAATATTTATAACCTTCTACTGATTCTTTGTCTAGTTATTTTATCAGTTCCCTAGAGAAGTTTGTCAAATCCCCTATTATGTTATGGGTTTCTCTAGTTTCATTTTTTGAGTTTCTGCAGCTAAATTTCCAAATGGCACTTATTAATTCAGAATTTGAGTAACTTTTGCTGTTAAGTAACGGCATTGCTGCTGATTTTGATTCTTTGAAAGGACTGCAGTTGGACTTAAAATCAAAGGAAGAAGTTTGGTAGGGGAAATAAGCAAAGAAAAAATGGTGCTTTGAGGAAATGGCTTCCTCTTTTACACGTGCTAGAATTTGAAAGGTTTCTATGGGAGGGGGAAGAAGAGAGTTGTCCCCTAGCAAGTCTGCCATCTGTCACCCTTGGAATGTGTGCAGATGATTTCAGACTCTGGGAAAGCAGCTGAATATTATTATCTTCCTGGTACAACTGATGCACTGATAAATTATGAAATGAGCATAAATAGCTGGTGCCAAATGTGATATAGTCTAAACATCCATTATAACTTAGCTGCAATTATTTTCACAGTGAGACTGTGCTGCCTGTGCTTTTTCCAATTCTGTAAACTTTCCAGGAATTTTATCTTATGTCCCTGAAAATGTTTGAGCATTTCACTAGGAGTTCCTTGAATTCCCATCCCATCACTAGCTTCTGCGGATGCAAACCCTCATCTACAATTTGTTTCCACTATATTTCCATGCAATCAGTTTCTCCCATGTTTTATACTTCTTACTCCTCAAGCTCAGAGACAATTTAAACAGAATACTCCTCTTTCTTTGAATTGTCATTCTGATCACAACTGGTTTAGTGACATGGCTGCAAAGTAGGTATACAGTTCTTGAAACCCTGTCTTCTTTATCTTCACTTTTTCACTACCACCTTGTTAAGCACTGTCATTCATAAAGCTTTGTTCAGATAATTACGTTTTTAATGTAATAACTTGCAATATTGACTGGAGAAGCTAGCTAGGTTTCCTGGGTTGAGTAGGGGCTCAGAAAGCTGTGAAACTCACTGATTTCCTGCATTAGGAATTGTTTCCATCCTGGATGGATAGTATTGAAGATATATGCTTAAACTATTCCTAACACCAGGATTTGTGCATGTGTTTTCTTCCCCAAGAAAGCTATAAACAGGAACAATTTTGCTGTAAGTTTTCCTGTGTCCTCTCTCCCTCTCTGCCTTCCCCCTCTCCCAAAACTAAAGTAAAAGGAATGTTAGCTGTCCACTTTTCTGTGACCAGCAGACCTTATCTATGCTCTCAATTCCAATTCCTTGTAAACATACTTTGTAAAATCCTGTAAAATCCTGTCTCCTTTGCCATGCTGTGGCAAGGTCATAAAGTAGATAAAACCTAAGTTGCACGTATTTTCCACCTTATGGAGTTTAAAAGGCATTCATATACTCTAATTCTGGCTACACATTTGGGATCCCTTCCATGCTGTGGAAGCTTTATACTTTCACTCTGCTCAACAAAACTTACAGCTTTTTCTCTCTATCGGGCCATGTCACTATCACTTGCCCAGGTTCAGCCACCACACCAATTCTTTGGCATGGCTAGGCAACAACCTTAGCTGTGACATTTCGGTGAGCCAGCCAGGAGGCTCCAGGAAAAGCACCTAGATCTTCAGGTGGTGGGTATGATTGGACTTATTTCTCTTGCTATTCTGTTGTATCCTTCCTTAGAATTAGGAGGATAAAAACCAGTTGGCCACTTAGAGGCAATTAGCATGGCCACTGGACTAAAGACACGGATGTCAGGCTGTCTGGAAAAGGGCTCTCTAACAACCCACGACTCTTTGGGGTTGGGAGAATTTGTTCCCAGTTTTGCTTCCCATGGTGGTCCCAAAGTACAACTGGGAGTGCTCAGTGAACATCTTAGTCTCCCAGATACCCTGGTTGAGACCATGGTCCCACCAGAGTCTACCCCTGCAGAGGTTACTGAGCATGAGACATCTTCTGACTCCTGCCTCCTGGGTCCTTATGTCCAATGGCTAAACTTCTTTCCTCATCTCACAAGTAGGTTATTCCTGCTAGGCAGGATCAAGATTCCCTATTTAGAAGTCTTAAATTCTTGGGGTGGTGCCCAGAAGACCTCTGTTCATGTTGCCTCTGGGATTTAGGCAGGTGTCACCATTTGATGGCCACTTTGAAAGGCCAGTCCCCCATCATAGTGTATGGCCACCCACATCAGGACAATTTAAAGACAGGTCTGTAATTTTCATGTGGATAGTAGAAGCCTTAGGGCATTTCCACCATTGCTCCCCAGATAGGCTTTCTCCTACCTGGGGCCACTCAAGGACAATCTGTTGTGCATAGGCAAAGTCTTAGAGTTGTTGAATTGTTGTTTCAACCATTCAATAATTGGTAATGGAAGGGTGAATATACGGTCAGTTTGGACACATGATACTAGTACCACCTTGAAAGGGGGGCTTACTACTTTGATGGCAAGTGGGGACAGAAGGCTAGAGTACAGCAGCTGTTCTCTCGGCCCTGGCCTAGAGGACATCCACCACACCCTTAAAGCTTCTTAAGCCTCCTGTTGCTAATTCAGAGATTTCTCCTTGAAGGACAGTTTTGATGACCAGGCCCACATAAATTGGGCCTTAGCATGCAAGCATCAGTGGTGCCCCGACCCAGGCCTTGTCACCCTGGAAAAGGTAGGATGTGTTGGAGGAAGGACCACAATAAATCCAACAGTCCTTGTGCCCCATTTAGTGGTCAATGGGTGCATGGCAGGGGCAAAGGAAGTTTCCATCCTGCTGGTAAGCATGGTTAAATCCGGCAGGCGGAGGGCTCAGGAAATGCAGCCATGAGCTTTGAGCACAATAGGACCTGACCCTTGGGGGACACCCTAAGAGAAGAAGAGTCCCAGTACTAACCAGGGGTGTGGGCATCTCTGTGTGTAAAATTCCAGATGGGCTCCATACCTTCAAAACTGGACACCCCCTTAAGATGTATCCTGAATAACTGGGACAAATTCAACCCTGAAACCTTACAAAAGAAGCAGCTAATTTTCTTCTATACCACTGCCTGACCATGGAATTTCTTACAAAATGGAAAAACTTGGCCCCCTGAGGGAAGTATTAATTATAATACCCTTCTACAGCTAGATCTTTTCTGTGAACAGGAAGATAAATAGAGTATAGTCCCTTATGTACAGGCTTTCTTTGCCCTTCATGACAATACTGCCCTGTGCCAAGCCTACAAGCTTTGCCAAAATGACAAAGGCCCACAGTTACCTCCATACTCACAGCCTCTTCCCTCAGCCCCACTCTCCTCCCCCACTGACTCTCCTCCATCCTGCCCCACTGAAGTGGTAAAGAGAATGTAAACTCCCCAAGCCAGGCACCCAAACTATGTCCCTTACAAGCAGTAGGAGAGGAATTTGGGCCCTTCCTTGTACGTGTCTCTTCACACTCTCAGACTTAAAACAAATAAAGTCAAACTTAGGGAAATTCTCAGATGAACCTGATAAGTATATAGATGCCTTGCAAGGATTAAGGCAGTCCTTTGATCTAACATGGAGAGATATAATTTTACTTCTTGATTAGACATTATGTCCTACTGAAAAGCAAGAAGCTTTAACAACAACCTGGCAATTTGGGGATCCGTGGTACCTTAGCCAGGTAAATGATCAAATGGCCCAGAAGGTGAGGGAAAAATTCCCCACAGGGCAAAAGGCAGTCCCTACTGTAAACCCTCACTGAGATACTGACTCAGATCCTGGAGACTGGAGCCACAGGCATTTGCTAAGTTGCATTTTGGAAGAGTTGAGGAAAACTAGGAAAAAGCCTATGAACTACTCAATGCTATCCACAGTTGTGCAAGGAAAAGAGGAAAACCCCTCAACTTTTCTACAAAGGTTAAAGGAGATCCTAAGAAAGCACACCTCCTTAGCTCTGGATTCCATGGAAAGCCAACTTATCATAAAGGATAAATTTATCACCCAGTCAGTGACTGACATTAGGAAAAAACTCCAAAAGTCTGCCTTAGGCCCAGAACAAAATTTGGAGGCATTATTGAACTTGGCAACCTCAGTGTTCTATAATAGGGACCAAGAGGAACATGCCAAAAGGGAAAAGCGATATAAGAGAAAGTCTCCAGCCTTAGTCATGGCCCTCAGACAGGCAGACCTTGGCAGCTCAGAGGGAACCAAAAGAGGAGTAGGACAGTTGCTGCCCCCTTACCCATGTCCAAGATGCCAAGGTAATCACTGGAAGTCACACTGCCCCAGAGGATGAAGGCCCTCTGGGCCAGAAGCACCCAGTCAGGTGATTCAGCAACAGGACTGAGGGTGCCAGGGCAAGCGACAGCTCAGGCCATCACCCTCAAAGAGCCCCAGGTAAGTTTGAACATTGAGGGCCAGTAAGTGGACTTCCTCCTAGACACTGGCCCTGCCTTCTCAATTTTAATCACCTGCCCCAGACGACTGTCTGCAAAGTCTGTTACTATCCGAGGAATCTTAGGATAGCTTGTAACCAGGCATTTCTCCCAGCTCCTCAGTTGTAATTGGGAGACTTTGCTCTTTTCACATGCCTTTCTTGTTATGCCTGAAAGTCCCACACCTTTATTAGGGAGGGACATATTAGCCAAAGCTGTGGCTATTATCTACATGAATATGGGGAACAAATTACCCCTTTGTTGTCCCCTACTTGAAGAATGAGTCAACTCTGAACTCTGGTCCTTGGATGGACAATTCAGAAGGGCAAAGAATGCCCATCCAGTTAAAATCAGGCTAAAAGACCCCACCTCTTTTCTTTATCAAAGTCAATATCCCTTAAGGCCTGAAGCTCACAAAGGATTACAAGATATTTTTAGACAGTTAAAAGCTCAAGGCTTAGTAAGAAAATGTAAGCAGTCATTGCAACACCCCAATCCTAGGAATACAAAAACCAAATGGTCAGTGGAGACTAGTGCAAGACCTCAGAATCATCAATGAAGAAGTAATTACTTTATATCCAGCTGTACCCAACCCCTATACACGGCTCTCTCAGATACCAGAAAAAGCAGAATGGTTCGCTGTTCTGGACCTCAAAGATGCCTTCTTCTGCACTCTGACTCCCAGTTCCTCTTTGCCTTTGAGGATTATACAGAGCACATGTCCCAGCTTATGTGGACAGTCTTACCCCAAGGGTTTAGAGATAGCCCTCATCTGTTTGGGCAGGCACTGGCCCGGGACCTAGGCCTATTCTCCAGTCCAGGCACTCTGTTCCTTCAATACATGGATGACATACTTCTGGCTATGAGTTTGGAAGCCACATGTTAGCAGGCTACTCTAGACCTCTTAAACTTTCTAGCTAATCAAGGGCACAAAACATCTAGGACAAAGGCCCAGCTCTGTCTACAACAAGTTAAGTGTCTAGGCCTAATCCTGGCCAAATGAACTGGAGTCCTCAGCAAAGAGTGTATTTATCTTATACTGGCCTACCCTCACCCTAAGACGTTGAAAAAGTTGAGGGGGGGTTCCTTGGAATCACTGACTTTTGCCAACTGTGAATTCCTGGATAGAGTGAAATGGCCAGGCCACTCTATCCCCTGATAAAGGAAAATCAGAAGGCAAATACCCACCTAGTAGAATGGGAACTGGAGGTGGAAACAGCCTTCAAAACTTTAAAGCAGACCCTGGTACAAGCTCCAGCCCTGAGCATCCCCCAGGACAAAATTTATCTTTATATGTCACTGAAAGAGTAGGAATAGCTCTTGGAGTTCTTACTCAGACTCCTGGTACAGCCCCACAGCCAGTGGCATACCTAAGTAAAGAAATTGATGTAGTAGTCAAAGGCTGGCCTCACTGTTTATCGGTGGTTGCAGCAGTAGCCATCTTAGTGTCAGAGGCTGTTAAAATAATACAAGGAAAGGATCTCACTTTCTGGAACACTCATGATGTAAGTGGTATATTAAATGCTAAAGGAAGTCTGTGGCTGTCAGATAGTGGACTACTTAAATACCAGGCGCCACTCCTTGAGTACCAGTATTTCAAATATGCATGTGTGTGGCCCTCAATCCTGCCACTTTTCTCCCAGAGGGTGAGGAACCAATTGAGTATGACTGCCAACAAATTTTAGCTCATACTTTTGCCACCCGAAAAGATCTCTTAGAAGTCCCCTTAACTAACCCTGACCTTAATCTGTACTCTGATGGAAGTTCATTTGTAGAAAATTGGGTACAAAAGGCAGGCTATGCCATAGTTAGTGATACAGCAGTACTTGAAAATAAACTTCTTCCTCTAGGGACCAGTGCTCAGTTAGCAGAATTCATTGTGCTAATCTGAGCCTTAGAACTGGGAGAAGAAGAAAGCATAAATGTATACACAGATAGCAAGTATGCTTTTCTAGTCTTACATGCACATGCTGCAATATGGAAAGAAAGAGAGTTCTTAACCTCCGGAGGAACACCTATTAAATACCACAGATAAATCATGGAATTAATGCACACAGTGCAAAAACCTAAAGAGGTGGCAGTTTTACACTGCTGGGGCCATCAGAAAGGTGAAGGAGAAGAAGCAGAAGGAAAGTACCAAACAGAGTCTGAGGCCAAAATTGCTGCCAGGCAGGAGTTTCCTTCAGAAATGCCCAAGGAAGGACACCTGGTATGGAGAAACCTCCCTCCAGGAGGTTAAGCCCCAGTACTCTCCAACTGAAATAGAATGGGGACTTTCACAAGGACATAGTTTTCTCCCGTCGGGGTGGCTAATAACATAGGAAGGAAAGGTGCTCATACCTGAAGCCAGCCACTGGAAAATACTTAAAACCTTTCACCAAACTTTTCATACTGTTATTGAAAGTACCCATAACATGACCACGTCTCTATTTACAGGGCCAAACCTCCTCAAAACCATCAGGCAAGTAGTCAAAGCCTGTGAAATGTGCCAAAAGAACAACCCCTTGGCCCACTGTAAGGCCTCTCCAGGAGGACAAAGAACAGGACATTATCCCAGAGAGGACTGGCAGTTAGATTTTACCCATATGCCAAACCCAAGAGAATTTCAATACTTATTGGTCTGGGTTGATACCTTTACAAATTGAGTAGAAGCCTTCCCTTGTAGAATAGAGAAGGTCCAAGAAGTGGTTAAAGTCTTAGTTCATGAAATAATTCCTAGATTTGGACTTCCCATAGCTTATAGAGTGACAATTGTCCAGCTTTTAAAGCTACAACAACTTAAGGAATTTCCAAGGCACTAGGAATACAATATCAACTTCACTGTGCCTGGAGGGCACAATCCTCAAGGAAAGTTGAAAAGGCAAATGAAACTCTCAAGAGGCATTTGAGAAAACTAGAGCAAGAAACTCATCTTGCTCGGCCCACTCTGTTGCCCATGGACTTATTAAGAATCTGAAACTCCCCTCACAGAATGGGGCTCAGTCCATATGAAGTGTTGTATGGATGGCTTTTCTCACAGATGACCTCCTGCTCAATCAGGAAAAGGCCAATTTAGTAAAAGATATAACTTCTCTGGCAAAATATCAACAAAATCTTAAAACTTTACCTGAAAAGTGTGACAGGGAAAAAGGAATAGAGATGTTTCAACCAGGAGATCTAGTATTGGTCAAGTCTCTCCCCTCTAGCTCTCCTTCTATGGATCCCTAATGGGAGGAACCATACTTGGTAATCCTCTCTACCCCCACTGCAGTTAAAGTGACGGGAATGGAATCCTGGATTCACCACACCCAAATTAAGCCTTGGACACCTCCTGAGAAACTTACAGAATCATCAACTCAGGAGTCACAAGTCAGCCAGACCAGCTTCGATACACCTGGCCACCACAAGAGGACCTGCATCTCCTATTTTGGAAAGGAACACTTCAGACCAGAAAAAATCCTGCAGTTAATCCTGAAGAGGGACTTCTCCTTACCTAAATGAGGATCAGTGGGGAAAAAAAAAAAAAAAAAAACCAACATGATCTTTAACTTCTCTCCTTGCTCTCTTTAATGGAAGACTTCTACTGTTTTGTTACATTATTAAGCACGTTTCTTCTATCTGCCTTCCTTGTAACAGCAATTCACTCCTTTTTCCCTCCTCTTTCCTGTGACCATTTCACTTACAACACTTCATGATTCCTCTTAGGCTTCCTGTCATCCTCTTCATACTCGTGTCCCTTTCTCCAACAACAACACACACCCCGTGTCAGTGTGCCTCCCCTGGAGGAGACAACTGGCATTCTATCAGAAACTCTTGCAGATTGGGTAGCCCCTTCCAAACACCCACATCTTTTGCCACTCATACTTACATGAGAAAAGAATGTTATAAAACTGTTCCTTGGAGCCTGTTTAACACCACCCTTACAAGAATACAAGAGACCTCTCCTAATAATCCAACCAACTATTGGATGTGTCTCCCCTTGTGTTTCCAACCATATGTCCCAGTCCCTGTCCCCAGATAGTGGAACTTATCCACCCCAGTCCTAAACACCACCAAATTAATCGGTCCCATAGTCACCAATTTACCAGCCACAGAGGCCTCAAATCTCACATGCATGAACTTCAGCATGACTCTCAATAAAAACACCCCCCAATGTCATTCCTGGATGTCAGTAATGTCAGGTTTCACCTGTCTAACTTCAGGCATCTTTTTCATCTATAATAACACAGCCTGTTGATGCCTAAATAGCACTCCAAAAGAATTATGCTTTCTCTTCTTTATAGCAACTCCCATCTCCATATGCACTGAACAAGAGTTACAAAGTCTCCTTATAACACAATCTTGCCACATATGAGCCCTTATTGTCTCTTTTATTGTAGGAGCCAGAATAATAGGTGGGCTCCTATTGGAATTGGAGGCATAACCTCCTCCACTCAATTCTATTATAAATTATCACGAAAATTAAATGATGACATGGAACAAATTTCCAACACCCTAGTGACCCTACAAAGCCAGCTTACTTCTCTAGCTGCAGTGGTCCTCCAAAACCAAAGATCCCTGGACCTATTAACAGCTAAAAGAAGAGGAACCTTCATCTTCTTGGGAGAAGAAGGTTGCTGTTTCATTAACCAGTCAGCAATCATTACTGAAAAGTTTAAATAAATAAGAGAACGGAAAAAAGTAGGAAAAAGGAGCTTGATCACTCTGAACCCTGAAATATGTTTAACCAATGGATACCTTGGCTACTCCCCTTTCTAGGTCCTGTGACACCCATCCTATTTTTACTCACCTTTAGGCCTTGCATTTTTAACCTCTGTGTCAAATTTGTTTCCTCCAGGATCGAGGCCATCATGCTACAAATGGTCGTACAAATGGAACCTCAAATCAGCTCAAATCACAGCTTCTACTGAGGACACCTGGATTGACACATTGGAACCTTGACTGGCCTAGAAAGTTCCCCTCTGAAGAACACCACAACTACAGGGTCCCTTCTTTGCCCCTAACAAGCAGGAAGTAGCCAGAACGACCGCCACCCAGTTCTCAAGAGCAGTTGGAGGGTCCTGTTTAGAGGGGGGACTGAAAGGAGGGGCCGGCTGGGCTTCCTGGATTCAGTAGGGGCCCAGAAAGCTGGGAAACTCACTGATTTCCTGCATCAGGAATTACCTCAATCCTGGATGAATGATACCGAAGATATAGGCTTAAACTATTCCTAACACCAGGATTTGTTCATGTGTTTTCTCCCCCAAGAAAGCTATAAACAGGAACAATTTTGCTGTAAGTTTTCCTGTGTCTTCTCTCCCTCTCCGCCTTCCCCTCCCACAAAACTAAAGTAAAAGGAATGTTAGCTGTCCATTTTTCTGTGATCAGCAGACCTTATCTATGCTCCCAATTCCAATTCCTTGTAAACATGCTTTGTAAAGTTCTGTGATATTCTGTCTCCTTTGCCATACTGCAGCAAGGTCCTAAAGTAGACAAATCCTAAGTTACAATTCCAGTTTTCCTCAAGATCTAAAACATGCCACAAATTGTTAACTGTCTTTGTTTCTTGCTTTGGTAACATTTTCCCGCCACAGGTATTTCCCACCTTAAAGAAATTAGAAGGCATTTCTATAATCTAACTCTGGCTACCTGTTCAGGATCCCTTCCACGCTGTGGAATCTTTGTACTTTCACTCTGCTCAATAAAGCCTACAGCTTTTTCTATCGGTCTGTGTCTCTATCACTGGCTGCAGTCAGCTGTCACACTAATTCTTTGGTGTGGCTAGGCAAGAAACATAGAAGTTACAATATTACCACTATATTTATTATTGTGTGTCCATGCATCTTTAATGTTAAACTCTTGAGGGAAGATACTAGTGTATCTTCTAGTCATGAATCCTAGCACAGCACAACGGCCAGTGACCTAGTGTTTTTACCGGAAACACTTTGGAGAACCTCATATATATATGAGTATATATACATGGCTGTACCATCTAAGATTGTGTAAGTACACTCTAGGATGTTCACACAAAGACTAAATAATATGTAATATGTAAATATAATAGATACTAGAATATATATAATAGGCATATTATATATAAAAACATATACATGTAATACATATAATATATAAATTTCTAATATAGAAATATATGTGTATATTTATTTCTAATATAAACTTGTACTATAATAGAAATATACCTTAAACATGTAATATATGTATATTTATATATATAAATTTTACATATAGTAAATATAAAATATACAAACATACAGTACATAAATATTTACATATATGTAATATATAACTTACATAAAAATAAAATACAACTTACATATAAATAAAATATGTAATATTTATATTACACATCATATTTGTACAATTCTATTTATTATTTACTTTTAAAACATAAAAATATATGTATATTTCTATAATATAAAAGCATTATATTTATAAATATAAACATACAATACAGTTCATACGTATTATATAATATCATACACAATATTATCTATATGTGGATATATATTACATTCTCTCACAAGGAGTATAAAGAACACTATATCATATATATATATATATACACACACACATATATACATATACACACACACATATACATATACACACACACACACACCTGCATATATAGACCTATTCTGAATTTACCACTACCTCATTAGTTATGGGAAAAAGGGGAGCTTATGGTTACACTCTGGCAAATAGGTTACAAACCTTGTGTTTCTGCTATAACTCTCTAGAAAGACAAGCAAGATACAGAGATACAGAGATCTCAGGGGTTGTTGCTACTGTTTATAGGGTGTCACACACAGCCACTTGGATAATGTAAAACTTGATGTGACTCCCACCTATTAAAGGCCATGTTTTTATTAATGTACTCTAAGCTAGGACTAATGATGGCCCATGATAGAAGACGAATCATATACGCAGAGAAGCATGTTGGATCCCATGTGCAAAGGGATGCTGACTCCTGTGAGAGAGACCCAGAGAAAAGCTGCCTTGGTTTCTGCACATTGCCAGATCCCATTTCAGTTACATTTGTTTTTTCTATATGCCTATGCCTATGTGTATGTATAAAGAGTCATGTGTTACTTAATGACAATACTTCTGAGAAATGTGTCCTTGTTTGATTTAGTTCTCGTGCGAACATCCTAGAGTGTACTTATGCAGTCTTAGATGGTACAGCCTACTACACACTTAGGCTATATGGTAGAGCCTATTGCTCCTAGGCCACAAACCTGTACAGCACAATACCATGCTAAACACCACAGACAACTGCAACACAGTGGCAAGTACTTGTTCATCTAAACACTGAAAACGTACAGTAAGAATGCAGCATCAAAAATATAAAATGGTAGCCCTGTATAGGGCAGTTACCGTGAATGGAGCTTGCAAGACTGGAGGTTGCTCTGGGTGAGTCTGTGAGTGGGTGATGAGGGGATATGAAGACCTGCGACATTATTGCACACTTTTATTTAACTGGCAACATGCCTCTACACTAGCATGGACACAATCACATGAGTAATGCTTTTGTGCTACAACCCTAGGAAGCCTAGGACAGCACATTATAATAGGAATATCTGAGGTCCATTATAATCTCATGGAATTCTTATCATATATGTAGTCTGTCATTGACTAAAATGTCATTATGTAGCATATGACTGTACATACAAGTGTGTATGTGAATATGCCTATACATCCATGTATATGTGTTTTAGAAGTTTCCCATGCCTGCCATTGAAATAACTACAAACTGGGTGGCTTAAAACAATAAGAATTTCTGGCCAGGTGCATTGGTTTATGCCTGTAATCCCAGCACTTTGGGAGGCCGAGGTGGGCAGACCACCTAAGGTCAGGACTTCATGAGTAGTGTGGCCAACATGGTGAAACCCTTTCTCTATTAAAATTACAAAAATTCCCCAGGCCTGGTGGCTCATGCTTGTAATCCCCACTACTTAGGAAATGTAATCTCTCCTGCTGCTGGCAGTTTAAAAATCAAAGTGAGGCAGTGCGTCTCTCCCTCCACAGGCTCCAAGGGAGGACCTTTCCTGCCTTTCCCAGCTCCTGGTTGATTCAGGAATCCCTTGGCTTGTTACCACATCATTCGAACATAGCTTCCATCTTCAGATCTTCCATATGTCTCTTTATCCAATTCTTCCTCTCCTTCTGTTACAAAGATACCAGCTGTCAGATTTAGGTTCTGCCATAATCCAGTATTGCTTCATCTTATGTCAATTATATCTGCAAAAATTATATAGATATAGATTCATATATATCTCATATGTTATAAATTAATCACAAACATAGGTGTCGAAGAAAGAAAATAATTCCAGAAATAATGCTGCTGTAGTTTATAGCAATAAAAATATGAGTTTAGAGAACAGAATGCATACAGGCTGGAAGAAGAAATGACTCTCCAACAGAAGGCACTCATGGTGGCAAGGGGCTTCCAATCTATTCCCCACCACAGTGATTTCATCTCCAACAGAGTTGATCCTGTTAAGCCAGAGAAGCTTAGGGTTTTATCGTTTCTTAACTTCCATAATATTTATGTCTAACTCCCCCCAAAAAATGATAAAGGGAGTATTTTATCCCACAGAAATACAAACTACCATCAGAGAATACTATAAACACCTATATGCAACTGAACTAGAAAATCCAGAAGAAATGGATAAATTCCTGGACACCTACACCCTCCAAATACTAAATGAGGAAGAATTCGAATCCCTGAATGTAACAATAACAACTTCTGAAATTGAGGCAGTAACTAATAGCCTACTAACCAAAAAAAGCCCAGGGCTAGAAGGCATCACAGCTGACTTCTTCTAGAGGTATGAAGAGGAGCTGGTATCATTGCTTCTGAAACTATCATTGAGGAGGTGTGTGTTTATTATTTGGAATTACAAATGGTTTTGTTTTGTTTAACTCCAGATTTATTGAATGCAAATAGCAGCAAATTCTATATTATCAGATATGATATTGAAACAGGATAGTTCCCTGACCCTTTCAGGGGTGGGAATTGCAGTGCACAGGTGTCAGCAGGAGCGAACCCCACTCACTTGACCCACTGCGCTCCACCCCTCACCTATGACTCCTGAATCCCCAGAGAAGTGTTACAGTACCTTTTTAGCTTTGCCACCCATGGATGGCTTAAAAGTTAACAGCTCAGTGGAGGGTCAGTGCAACAGCCGTTTGCACTTACACTCTTGGCACCCAAGTCGTCCTGCATCCAGGAGGAAAGACGTCACACAAATGAATTGAAGGAGGTAAATGTGGGGATTTTATTGATGATGAAAGTGGCTCTCAGCGGGAAGAGAGATGAAACAGTGACAGAGAGGGAAAGTAATCTTCCCCTGGGGACAGTTGGACTCCTCACCAAAGCTACACTGTCAAGCTGTCCCTGTGAAGTCAAGCTGCATCTCTCTGATGTCCAACCGTAGTCCCTGAGGTCCTGCTGCATCTCCTCTTCTCCTTTCTCTGCTTGCTGAGCCTGGGGTTTTTTCTGGGCACAGGAGCAGGATAGGGCAGACAATGGGTGGTTTTAGAAAAGGCAACATCTGAGTGGGAAAGCAAGGATGTCAATTCTCACTGTCAGTTTCAGTGTTAGCCTTTTTGGCTTGAGGGTGAGGCCCTTGCCAGGGACCCACCCTCTTCTACCCAGAATTTACCTGCCTCCTGTTCCTATCAATATTTCATATTTAGTCAGTTACTTCATCTTTTTCACATGATGTGAGCATAGTAAGACCAGTGACCAAAATGGGCACATTTATATATCTACCTTTATAGATATTTCAATAGGTTATGTTCACAGTGAGCCACCAACTAGAAAACATCATTGCAACATTGCACTTGTAGGAATTTGGAGATGTCCTAAGTGGTTAACTCTATTGAAAGGGTCACATAAGTGCATAGGATATTTCTGCTCTCTGATGACCTATAGCTATTTAGACAATGTAGATAAATATACAAGCTCAGCCACAACGTGTTCTCAAGATATTTTGTTTGGCAGGAAACTACATTTCAGGGCATTAACTACAATGCATGTAACGGGGTGAAATAGTTGAAATGATGCTGAAAGACAAAAGTTTCTGCTGTGCCAGAAACTTTCTGAGCCGCTATAGTTTAGGGCTGTCTGATTTTGGAATCTTTGATCAATTAAACTCTGTTAAATTTAATATACTGAAAGTTTTTATTTTAACAATAGTATACATATATATATACAGTGTATGTGTATATATGTCTGTTTTTATATATAATGTGTGTATATGTGCATATATATCTAGTTTTATGTATATGATTATACATATATAGAATTCTACATATATATTTATCTGTAAAATGATTCCAAAAATATATAGAAAATACCATATATAAAATTCTGTATGTGTGTGTGTATATATATAATTCTATCTTATATTGTTTTCCTGCCAGCTGTCCCAGGGTTCATTCCTCTCTTTTGATGGGTCAACACATCCTAAGGTTTTTTTCTTGATTATATTCCTTGGGTACCCTGCAAACTCCTCTGGGGGAAACTCCAGCCCTTAGAGCACTGGCTGCTCCTAGCAGTGTGCAGGAGGTGGTGCTAATACTTGGTGTGTTAAACAGACACTACTATGGCTCACAGCCAGTCTCAGGTGGAGATTCTTGTTCAAATTCCAAAATCAGCACTGAAGGGAAACATAAAATAGAAGTAGAAATCTCATCTCTGAAAAACACTGACTCTCTAGGTTAACTCAGGGATCAGGTACTCTTTCTGCTGCCCCTTGTACCATGGAAGGTACATACTATAAAGACAACTTTAAAATATTCTTTTGAACCAAAAATGTAGACTATTTCTCTCTTACATGAATATTTAAACAATTTCAAAATTAGTAAACATATATTCAAATATTGGACTGTTTTTGTGTTATTTCGAGTATAATCTTTTCAGATATGCTCTTTGATTCTCTCTGGGATATAAAAATACAATTTTATTCACAATCTTGTAGAATCACTTAATAATTCCCATAGTCTGCCCATAGTTTCTTTCAGATTTTTCTATTGACTGGATTGTGACACTTACGAATAATGTCCCATTTCTCTCCTTCTTCCCTATATATATAGATAATGTTTGTTTTTCCTTGAGTTACTTAATTAAGATATCCAAAATATGATGAAGAGTGGCTAGTTAACTTATTCTCTATTTTTAAAATGTATTTTGCCATTATCATATCTAAATGAGATATTTTGCTGATATTCTTGATCAGATTTAGGAATGTCTCTTTCATCTCTACTTTGCTAAACATTATTTTAGGCTGGCAGCCAAGATGGCCGAATAGAAACAGCTCCAGTCTACAGCTCCCAGCATGAGCAATGCAGAAGACGTGTGATTTCTGCATTTCCATCTGAGGTACTGGATTCATCTCACTAGGGAGTGCCAGACAGTGGGCGCAGGACAGTGGGTGCAGCACACTGTGCATGAGCCAAAGCAGGGCGAGGCATTGCCTCACTTGGGAAGTGCAAGGGGTCAGGGAGTTCCCTTTCCTAGTCAAAGAAAGGGGTGACAGACGGCACCTGGAAAATTGGGTCACTCCCACCCTAATGCTGTGATTTTCCAATGGGCTTAAAAAACAGCACACCAGGAGATTATATCCCCCACATGGCTTGGAGAGTCCTACGCCCACGGAGTCTAGCTGACTGCTAGCACAGCAGTCTGAGATCAAACTGCAAGTCGGCAGCGAGGCTGGGGAAGGGGAGACCACCATTGCCCAGGCTTGCTTAGGTAAACAAAGCAGCCAGGAAGCTCGAACTGGGTGGAGCCCACCACAGCTCAAGGAGGCCTGCCTGTCTCTGTAGGCTCCACCTCTGGGGGCAGGGCACAGATGAACAAAAAGACAGCAGTAACCTCTGCAGACTTACATGTCCCTGTCTGACAGCTTTGAAGAGAGCAGTGGTTCTCCCAGCATGCAGCTGGAGAACGGGCAGACTGACTCCTCAAGTTGGTCCCTGACCACTGACCCCCAAGCAGCCAAACTGGGAGGCACCACCCAGTAGGGGTAGACTGATACCTCACATGGCCGGGTACTCCTCTGAGACAAAACTTCCAGAGGAACGATCAGACAGCAGCATTCACGGTTCATGAAAGTCCACTGCTCTGTAGCCACCACTGCTGATACCCAGGCAAACAAGGTCTGGAGTGGACCTCTAGCAAACTCCAACAAACCTGCAGCTGAGGGTCCTGTCTGTTAGAAGAAAAGTAACAAACAGAAAGGACATCCACCAAAAACACCTCTGTACATCACCACCATCAAAGACCAAAAGTAGATAAAACCACAAAGATGGGGAAAAAACAGAGCAGAAAAACTGGAAACTCTAAAAACAGAGCACCTCTCCTCCTCCAAAGGAACAGTTCCTCACCAACAACAGAACAAAACTGGATGGCGAATAACTTTGACGAGCTGAGAGAAGGTGGCTTCAGATGATCAAACTACTCCTAGCTACAGGAGGAAATTCAAACCAAAGGTAAAGAAGTTAAAAACTTTGAAAAATATTTAGATGATTGTATAACTAGAATAACCAATACAGAGAAGTGCATAAAGGAGCTGAAGGAGCGGAAAGCCAGTGCTCAAGAACTACATGATGAATGCAGAAGCCTCAGGAGTCGATGTGATCAACTGGAAGAAAGGGTATCAGTGATGGAAGATGAAATGAATGAAATGAAGTGAGAAGGGAAGTTTAGAGAAAAAAGAATAAAAAGAAATGAACAAACCTCCAAGAAATATGGGACTATGTGAAAAGACCAAATCTATATCTGATTGGTGTACCTGAAAGTGATGGGGAGAATGGAACCAAGTTGGAAAACTCTCTGCAAGATATTATCCAGGAGAAATTCCCCAATCTAGCAAGGCAGGCCAACATTCAGATTCAGGAAATACGAGAATGCCACAAAGATAATCCTCGAGAAGAGCAACTCCAAGACACATAATTGTCAGATTCACCAAAGTTGAAATGAAGGAAAAAATGTTAAGGGCAGCCAGAGAGAAAGGTCAGGTTACCCTCAAAGGGAGGCCCATCAGAGTAACAGCGGATCTCTCAGCAGAATTTCATATCCAACCAAACTAAGCTTCATAAGTGAAGGAGAAATAAAATACTTTACAGACAAGCAAATGCTGAGAGATTTTGTCACCACCAGGCCTGCCCTAAAAGAGTTCCTGAAGGAAGCACTAAACATGGAAAGGAAAAAGAAGTACCAGCCAATACAAAATCATGCCAAATTGTAAAGACTATCGAGGCTAGGGATAAACTGCATCAATTAACCAGCAAAATAACCAGTAACATCATAATGACAGGATCAAATTCACAAATAACAATATTAACTTTAAATGTAAATGGACTAAATGATCCAATTAAAAGACACAGACTGGCAAATTGGATAAAGAGTCAAGACCCATCAGTGTGCTGTATTCAGGAAACCCATCTCACGTGCAGAGACACACATAGGCTCAAAATAAAAGGATGGAGGAAGATCTATCAAGCAAATGGAAAACATAAAAAGGCAGGGGTTGCAATCCTAGTCTCTGATAAAACAGAATTTAAGCCAAGAAAGATCAAAAGAGACAAAGAAGCCCATTACATAATGGTAAAGGGATCAATTCAACAAGAAAAGCTAACTATCCTAAATATATATGTACCCAATACAGGAGCACCCAGATTCATAAAGAAAGTCCTGAGTGACCTACAAAGAGACTTAGACTCCCACACAATAATAATGGGAGACTTTAACACCCCACTGTCCACATTATTCAGATCAATGAGACAGAAAGTTGACAAGTATACCCAGGAATTGAACGCAGCTCTGCAGTAAGCGGACCTAATAGACCTCTCCACTAATGGACCTACAGAACTCTCCACCCCAAATCAACAGAATATTGATTTTTATCAGCACCACACCATACCTATTCCAAAATTGACCACAAACTTGGAAGTAAAGCTATCCTCAGCAAATGTAAAAGAACAGAAATTATAACAAACTGTCTCTCAGAACACAGTGCAAACAAACTAGAACTCAGGATTAAGAAACTCACTCAAAATCGCTCAACTACATGGAAACAGAACAACCTGCTCCAGAATGACTACTGGGTACGTAAAAAAATGAAGGCAGAAATAAAGATGTTCTTTGAAACCAATGAGAACAAAGACATAACATACAAGAATCTCTGGGACACATTCAAAGCAGCATGTAGATTGAAATTTATAGCACTAAATGCACACAAGAGAAAGCAGGAAAGATCCAAGATTGACACCATAACATCACAATTAAAAGAACTAGAAAAGCAAGAGCAAACACATTCAAAAGCTAGCAGAAGGCAAGAAATAACTAAAATCCGAGCAGAACTGAAGGAAATAGAGACATAAAAATCCCTTCAAAAAATTAATGAACCCAGGAGCTGGTTCTTTGAAAGGATCAACAAACTTGATAGACCGCTAGCAAGACTAATACAGAAGAAAAGAGAGAGGGATCACATAGATGCAATAAAAAATGATAAAGGGGATATCACCACCAATCCCACAGAAATACAATCTACCATCAGAGAATACTACAAACATCTCTATGCAAATAAACTAGAAAATCTAGAAGAAATGGAAAAATTCCTCAACACATATACCCTCCCAAGTCTAAACCAGGAAGAAGTTGAATATCTGAATAGACCAATAACAGGCTCTGAAATTGTGGCAATAATCAATAGCTTACCAACCAAAAAGAGTCCAGGACCAGATGGATTAACAGCCGAATTCTACAAGAGGTACAAGGAGGAGCTGGTACCATTCCTTCTGAAACTATTCCAATCAATAGAAAAAGAGAGAATCCTCCCTAACTCATTTTATGAGGCCAGCATCATCCTGATACCAAAGCTGGGCAGAGACACAACCAAAAAAGAGAATTTTAGACGAATATCCTTGATGAACATTGATGCAAAAATCCTCAATAAAATACTGGCAAACTGAATCCAGCAGCACATCAAAAAGCTTATCCACAATGATCAAGTGGGCTCCATCTCTGGGATGCAAGGCTGGTTCAATATATGCAAATCAATAAAGGTAATCCAGCGTATAAACAGAACCAAAGACAAAAACCACATGATTATCTCCACAGATGCAGGAAATGCCTTTGACAAAATTCAACAACCCTTCATGCTAAAAACTCTCAATAAATTCTGTATTGATGGGACGTATCTCCAAATAATAAGAGCTATCTATGACAAACCCACAGCCAATATCATACTGAATGGACAAAAACTGGGAGCATTCCCTTTGAAAACTGGCACAAGACAGGGATGCCCTCTCATCATTCCTAGTCAACATAGTTTTGGAAGTTCTGGCAAGGGCAATTTGGCAGGAGAAGGAAATAAAGGGTATTCAATTAGGAAAAGAGGAAGTCAAATTGTCCCTGTTTGCAGATGACATGATTGTATATCTAGAAAACCCCATTGTCTCAGCCCAAAATCTCCTTAAGCTGATAAGCAACTACAGCAAAGTCTCAGGCTACAAAATCAATGTACAAAAATCACAAGCATTCTTATACAACAAAAACAGACAGAGAGCCAAATCATGAGTGAACTCCCATTCACAATTGCTTCAAAGAGAGTAAAATACCTAGGAATCCAACTTACAAGGGACGTGAAGGACCTCTTCAAGGAAAATTACAAACCACTGCTCAGTGAAATAAAAGAGGATACAAAGAAATGGAAGAACATTCCATGCTCACGGGTAGGAAGAATCAATATTGTGAAAATGGCCATACTGCCCAAGGTAATTTATAGATTAAATCCCATCCCCATAAAGCCATCAATGATTTTCTTCACAGAATTGGAAAAAACTAATTTAAAGTTCATATGGAACCAAAAGGAGCCTGCATTGTCAAGTCAATCTTAAGCCAAAAGAACAAAGCTGGAGGCATCACACTACCTGACTTCAAACTACACTACAAGGCTACAGTAACCAAAACAGCACGGTACTGGTACCAAAACAGAGATATAGATCAATGGAACAGAACAGAGCCCTCAGATATAATGCCACATATCTACAACTATCCGATCTTTGACAAACCTGAGAAAAACAAGCAATGGGGAAAGGATTCCCTATTTACTAAATGGTACTGGGAAAACTGGCTAGCCATATGTAGAAAGATGAAACTGGATCCCTTCCTTAAACCTTATACAAAAATTAATTCAAGATGGATTAAAGACTTAAACGTTAGAACTAAAACCATAGAAACCCTAGAAGAAAACCTAGACATTACCCTTCAGTACATAGGCATAGGCAAGGACTTCATGTCTAAAACACCTAAAGCAATGGCAACAAAAGCCAAAATTGACAAATGGGATCTAATTAAACTAAAGAGCTTCTGCACTGCAAAAAAAACTACCATCAGAGTGAACCCACAACCTACAAAATGGGAGAAAATTTTTGCAACCTACTCATCTGACAAAGTGCTAATATCCAGAATCTACAATGAACTCAAATAAATTTACAAGAAAAAAAACAAACAACCCCATCAAAAAGTGGGCAAAGGACATGAACTGACACTTCTCAAAAGAAGACATTGATGCAGCCAAAAAACACAGGAAAAAATGCTCACCATCACTGCCCATCAGAGAAATGCAAATCAATACCATAATGAGATACCATCTCACACCAGTTAGAATGGCAATCATTAAAAAGTCAGGAAACAACAGGTACTGGAGAGGATGTGGAGAAATAGGAACACTTTTACACTGTTGGTGGGACTGTAAACTAGTTCAACCATTGTGGAAGTCAGTGTGGTGATTCCTCAGGGATCTAGAACTAGAAATACCATTTGACCCAGCCATCCCATTACTGATTATATACCCAAAGGACTATAAATCATGCTGCTACAAAGACACATGCACACGTATGTTTATTGTGGCACTATTCACAATAGCAAAGACTTGGAACCAATCCAAATGTCAAGCAACGATAGACTGGATTAAGAAAATGTGGCACATATACATCATGGAATACTATGCAGCCATAAAAAATGATGAGTTTATGTCCTTTGTAGGGACATGGATGAAATTGGAAATCATCATTCTCAGTGAACTATGGGATGGACAAAAAACCAAACACCACATGTTCTCACTCATAGGTGGGAACTGAACAATGAGAACACATGGACACAGGAAGGGGAACATCACACTCTGGGGACTGTTGTGGGGTGGGGGGAGGGGGGAGGGATAGCCTTAGGAGATATACCTAATGCTAAATGATGAGTTAATGGGTGTACACACAAGCATGGCACATGTATACATATGTAACTAACCTGCACATTGTGCACATGTACCCTAAAACTTAAGATATAATAATAATAAAATAAAAAAAACATTATTTTAAACACATCAATGCCTTTTGAATTTTATAATGATTCACACAATATATAAAAATAATATTATATTTTTTCTCTTTTTATTTTAAGTTACATTGATTGCATTTTAAATAAATACTAGTTCAACTGATAGGAATTGCAAACAAAAGAGATTGAGGAATGATGAAAAGCAGGCCAAAACTAGCAGATGTTAACTCCTGAAAGGAGACACACTTGGTGGTTTACACATTTATACTTTGTCATTTAGCTTAAGAGCAACATAAGCTGGTGTGAGATAGACAATTAGAACTCAAAAAAAATCAATGTCATTTTTTTCTAGAGGTACCTCAATGGAATGTCTTGAAACAAAAGATTCATTGGATTAACAACTGTACTCAAGCTCTGGAATAGTGACTGAACTGTCAATTCCTGGTGGGAAATTTCAGGAGATCTCATCAAAACTAGCAGCAGAAGACTGAAACACTGAAGTGCTAGTTTCATTTGCTGCCACCCACAGGAAAGGGATTTTAGGGTTTGAGTCTTGATTAGTCAGAAGGTGCTCTTGTACATGGCACTAACTCCAAAAGTGTGGAGTTAAACTCCTGAAGTCCACACTTTAGGAGTTAATGCCATGTACTGGAGCTTATAGAATTGATCTAAGACTAACTGGAAAACCAAAAAACAAACACACTAACAAAAAATAAATCCAGTCCTTCACAGAACCAAGACTATCAACCAGTCATATAATAAGAATAAACAAAAATTGCTCGAAAGGTCATAAGTACCAAAATTCTCTGCAATACACAAGCCACCATGAAAAAGTAATAACTGTCTATTGCAAATACACAGACAATTATGGCCTGTATTCTAGAGAAAAAGCAGATAAAACAACTGAATCCAAAATATTGCAAATATTGAACTTAGCAATCAATTCCTTTAAAGCCATAACTACACGTATCTTCAAAGATTTAAAGGACAACGTGATCATAAGGAATGAATGACTGGGGAACTCATCAGGGTAAAGAAATATTTTTTTTCCTTTTTAATAATATGTTTAAAGGCATCTTATGATATAAATTGTGTCATTTCATTGTAGAGTCATTAACATGTAGATATTAAGTTTATGGCAACCAGAGTACACATGGAGTTCATTTGGATTATACTAACATTCTTACTCATAAGTGAAGAGGAATAGTAATAATTACATTATTATAAGCTATATTAAATAGGCTGGGTGTGGTGGCTCACATCTGTAATTCTATCACTTTGGGAGGTTGAGCTACCGGATGGATCACTTGAGGTCAGGAGTTTGAGACCAGCCTGGCCAACATGGTGAAACTCCATCTCTTCTAAAAATACAAAAGTTAGCTGGGGCATGGTAATGCATGCCTGTAATCCCAGCTAGTCAGGAGACTGAGGCAGGAGAATCATTTGAACTTGGGAGGCAGGGATTGCAGTGAGCTGAGATTGTACCACTGCACTCTGGCCTGGGTGACAAAGTGAGACTACATTTTGAAAAAACAAATGCAAAAGAAAACATTCCATAGGCTATATTAAATAAAAGATACTTGTTTGCTTTCCTATATCAGCTAGAAAAGTAATTTTAAAAAGAGCTGTAGATAACCATTAGACAAATTACAACATTAAAAATTACTTGCACTCCTTGGGATAAGTTAGAAAGCTATCTACTGAGAAATGGAATTAATGGATCAGAAAAATAGAATCAATGGGCAAATATAAAATGAACAGAAAAATACTATACCTAAGCCTACATGTATCATTAACTACATTGAATATAAATAGATACAATACTCCAATTAAAAGCAGAAATTGGCATTTTAAATTTTCTTAAAAGTACTCAAGTTATATATGTATACATGTGCCATGCTGGTGCACTGCACCCACTAAATGTTGAGACAGCATCCCTAAGTGGGTGCTAAAACGTGTGCACACGGATGTAGAGAGTGGAATGAGAGACAACAAAGACTCAGGCGGGTGAGGGGATGGATGAGAAATTACTAAACGGGTACGATACACGTTACTCGGGTGATGGATACCCACCCTAAGGGCCCTGACTAGACCACTACACAATCTACGCATGTAACCAAATTGCAGGTGTACCCCATAAGTTTAGATGAACTTTAAAAAGAGATTACATTTTTATGCTGATTTCTCCATATTTTCACCCATTTGGTTCATCATTTCCCCTAATTTACTTACCGTATTTATAATAATGATTTTAAAGTCTTTGTCTATCATGTCTAGTGTTCTCATTGGTTTTGTTTTATAAATAATCTGTTATTGCACATGTAATTTCTCCCTTGACCTCAGAGTTAATTTTCTTATTTCTAAGTGGTTAGAATTATAAATGATCTTTATTAAAAAAAAAAAAGTACTCAAGTTAAAGTTTTCTAAAAGAAAAGCATGATTTCTTTTGTTCTCAACTTTTCATTTGATCCTTGTCACTGTCTGCCTGAGTAAGTTGCTGTATTTGTTTACTAGAACTGTGTTATGCATATGCTATCATCTGTTGGTCTATTATCTTGTTGATGAGCATCTGAGCTATTGTCAACTTGAGGCTGTAATGAATGAAACTGAAATGAACATTCATAAACAAGTGTCTTTGTTTACATCTTATTTGAATTATCTTGGATAAATAACAAGTGAAATTTCTTGGTCATAAAAAGGACATATAAATTTCACACAGATGGCAAAGCATTTGCCCAAGGGGCTGAATCCATTTCTATTGCTACTTGCTTCAAAATGTGAGAGTCGCTGGTGCTCCATTATAAGAATGGTGCAGACTCTATGATTAAAAAAAAGACGGAAGAAGAGAAACATTTGCTTTATTTCTACAGGCCTGCCTTCATAAGCCTTTCTCAAAAGCCAATCTCAGACAAATTTGCCTAGTAAAATAAGATATTGGCATGAGTAAAATATAAAAACAGCAGCATGAACCGCTGCACCTGGACTATTTTTATGCATTGTTGATCATTTTGTCCTTTTGCTTTTAACTAAGCTGTTTCAGAGGATATGCCAATGGAGGAAATTTAGAAAACATGAAAATTTAAGACAATAGGTGAAGTAAACTTGCAAGAACATGAAAATAGATTAAGGGATTGGGATGGCAAGGGAACAAGGAAAGAAGAGAGTAACAAATTAAGAACTGGAGATACAATCTGCAAACATGGTCATCAAAGGCAGGTTCAACCTGGCATGTAATTACTGTATCACTGTCACAACTCTTTCAAGTAGGTTAATTTATTTATTGAGTTGTAGACGTTATTATATCAGCCAAGAATGAGAACTGCATGCAAATGACTCTGTTCATCTCATGCAAAAGACAATCCTTAAGAATATAAGGAAGCAGATGTGTTGCACAAAGTTTGAAATGATTCAGGCATATTTTAAATGCCACACAACATAGAATTAATGACTGTAACTTTTTAATAAAAATGTGTGCAATAGTCATGTTTTCATTGTTTTAACTTAATAATAGTATATTTTATTTGCATCATAGGTATCTTAAAATTTCAAGGAAATAAAGTATAAGTGTTGAATACAACTTTCTAGGAAATGTCTCATAGCTTTTACTTTGCTTAATTTAAAATAAAATTTGGATCGCAGAACTATTAAGGTTCACATTCGAAGACTACCTTGATCATTTGGTATTTGCATATTATCAAAAGATATCATTTGAAGAGTTTTACTTTTTTCTATAGCTCTTCAAACTAATAAATAAATGCATTTACATCTGCTTTAAGCTCACATATTCAAAGATAATGCTGACAAATACTAACAGAACTCCAACATCCTGTATTAATACTTTTAATTACAAAGCAAATGAGAAGATGAGACCCTAAAATTTCGTAGGAGAGGCAGAAATTAAAATGAAATACAGACATGAAGATCTAAATTATGCTGGTTTTCAAATATCGCTTATAGCATCAGAGGTCAGGAATTTATTGACTGTTGAGATTTTGGACGAGTTCATTATCATGTATGCATCTGATTCTTATAGATGTGAAATAAACATAAAAATAAATACCTACTCCATGGAGTTACTATGAGAATTCAATAAGTTAATAGTTGGTAAGTGATTGCAAGGATGCCTGGCAGGTAGTAAGATACTATTAACAACATATTAAGTTGCGGCGGTGCGCCATGGCTCACGCCTGTAGTCCCAGCACTTTGGGAGGCCAAGGAGGGCGGATCACGAGGTCAGGAGATCGAGAACATCCTGGCTAACACGGTGAAACCCTCTCTCTACTAAAAATACAAAAAAATAAGCCGGGCGTGGTGGCGGGCGCCTGTAGTCCCAGCTACTCGGGAGGCTGAGGCAGGAGAACGGTGTGAACCCGGGAGGCGGAGCTTGCAGTGAGCTGAGATTGTGCCACTGCGCTCCAGCCTGGGCAACAGAGCGAGACTCCGTCTCAAAAAAAATTAAAAAATAAAATAAATAAATATATATGTATACACACACACATATATATGCACATATATATATCTGGTCAAAACATATTTAGAGTTGACGCAACTATTCAAAAGAATTAACTGAAATTTTGGTACCAAATAACCTCTGAAGAAAAGTGAATTTAATGGCAGTGAAAATATATAATCATTAATTAAAATTTATTACTTATTAAAAATTACTACTTAGTGATAACAACCTTTACTACACTGGGATATGTAGCATTTTCTTCGTCCCTTTTGATGAGCTCTGTGTGATTAGAATTAAAATATGTGATGAAAACCATGTTACAGGTAAAAGTGCAATCTACCCCAGTCATATAATGGCATACAGTAGTCAAATTATTCTCTTAGATTATATTTTACTGAGAAATAATATCCACAATGCCTATCATATGTATAAAAATTGTACATCAAGAGAAGACAGTTTATGAAAAATTAAAATAAAATGGCCTTGAAGTTAAAGAAAACGCTTTGGAGCTATGGACACAGGATTTTACTTCCTTTGCCTCTTGCTATTTTTGCACATTTTGCATGCTTCAATTCCCTAGAATTATTTGGTGGTCAGTTCTGGGCATCCTAAGTAGTTATGAAAAAAACTGTGTCTACCTTTTAGTGTCTTCAACAGGACAAAGAAAAATTCTTATTGGCCTCCAATTCACTGATGATAACAAAAGTTTGATCTCTGAATTATTAAGAGCCACAGGGCTGATGGCTGAGTTGACCATATTGCGGTTTCCTGGATGCTGTAAATTTATCTAAACACAAATTAGACACAGGAAGAGATAAACATTGCTCATCCACCATGATAGTTGAGTTTGCCTTTGCTTTTCATGAACAGCTAAGAGCTTATGCCCAAGCAGATAGAGTTTATGAATTCTTGGTTGGATTTTTAGGACCTGTTTGTTGATGTGGCATTGCAGGGTCTACTTTGCCAGTAATTCCTTATACAAAATTATGCTTTGTTAAGTAAGAAGTTTATATTATCGAGAAACTCATCCAGGTGGCACTGATGAAACTTAAATGTTATATTAAATAAACATTGGGTTTTGACATTTAGTATCTAAGCTAAACATAAATCACAAGGCACCAATGTGATTGTGCATGGTACCTTCTGTTTGTTTTTTCCATCATAGTTATTAGAAGAATCAAGAGAAAAAAATCACTGATACATTCTTATTTTCTCTTAGCTATACTGCTAAGTTTATATTTCATTCTTTCTCAATTTTAGTACTTGGTCTTTTACATCCATGTAATTGAACCAAGTGTTTGTCCTCTGAACCATAGTTTTGGATCCTAGCACTTGCTAAAATTTGTGTGTACGTATGTATGTATGTATATATGTATGTATGTATTTTACAGACAGGGTCTTGCTCTGTTGCCCAGGCTGGATTATAGTGGTGTTATCCTAGCTCACTGTAGCTTCAAACTCATGGGCTCAAGTGATACTTTTCCCTCAGTATCCTGAGTAGCTGCAACCACAGACATACATAACCACATCCAGCTAGTTAAAAAAGAAATTATAGACAGGTATTGCTATGTTGCCCAGCCTTTTATCCTAACTCTTAATATCAATAAAACTACCTTGGTCATTTGGTATTTCTGCATTGTAAACCTTCTTTATTTTATTTTATATCACTTAACTTGCAAAAGCAATATATTACTGCTGCCCATGAAATTATCATCAATCTTTTGTTCTTTTATTTTTTTTTATTTTTTTTATTTTGGATGCTGGGTCTTACATCTTACTACGTTGTCCAGGCTGGAGTGCTGTGGCATGGTCATAGCTCACTGAACACTTGACTTTCTGGGCTCAAGTGATTCTCCCACTATAGCCTCCCATGTAGTTGGTACTATATGCTCATGCCGTCAGCTCCAGCTAACTTTTTTGTAGAAATGGGGATCTGACTATGTTACCCAGGCTGGTCTCGAACTCTTGGGCTCAAGTGACCTACCAGCATTGGCCTCCCAAACTTCTGGAATTATAGGCAGGATCCACTGTGCCTGGCCCAGTCTTTTATTTTTATTAGGAAAAATGTAGGTGGGAAAGAAGTCTGGAGAAATCTGGGAAAGGCTCTGTGAGCCAGCAGTAAGTAAGGATAGTTTAACACAGAATGAAGGAGAAATGAGGAGAAGCATGTCTCACTTAGGTGGAAGAATGTTAGCTACCATGCATAAGCAACTACCTCTGCAAACATGCTGGGATAGATTTTGAAGGGCATCCGCTGGTGCTGGTCTTGAATCAATTAACAGCATCTGTAGCGAGATGCTAGAGAGCCATACCACAATGGTGCCTCACTGCTAATTTTCTCTGGTTTCTCTGGTACAGATTAATAAGCCTGAAAACATTATTGTACTAATAAGCAATAAAAAAGTGTACATGGTATCATATTTTATCAGTATTCTATTAATAGATGCTCCACAAATCATTCCATGTTCTCTTTGCTTTCTTCTAGCAAGTGAGTTGAATTGGGTAGGTTTTTCCTGATAAGTTCTTCCAATCCTTTACCTTTTTTAGGGTCTGACTCATTGATTGTTTTGATTTTGTTGGGGTAACTCATTTTCCCATTGGCAAACATTATTAGTTTAATGAGATATAAGCGGCACCCCATTAATTCCCTGCACTAAAAACTAACTGCTTTTTGTCCCCTTTTGTGTAAAAAGAAATGCCTTCTGAAAAACGGGATCAAATATCATGCTCAGTAATGTAACCCTTTCATCTGCTTAATTACTCAGACATTAACAGTCCCAAATGGCCAGGGAATATAGATTTAATCATGCTTAAACTGTTATGTAGAGGTTTTGAAAGTCCCAGAAAAGATTACTAGCTACAGAAGTTGAAGAAAATATTCCCCAATATAATTACGAAGCACAGATTCTGAAGCTTCTAGCAATTTTAAGTCAATGTGTATGGGGGGCTGGAGAGACAGAGATGAGGATGTGGTGGTTAAAGGAGTGTCTTACTATAGGCTAGGGGACTGTTGTTATCTGTAATTGTTGAATAATAGGATACAGAAGGAAGCCAGTATCTTATGGTGATGGGATTCTATCTGAGTATTAGAAAGCTCTTCTCATTTCATAAGTCTAACAATTCAGAAAATAAATTTAAACTATAGATTGGGAAACTGGCTGAGAAACTATGTCAATAATTTTTGACAGAGATTATGGATATCTAAACTGAGAAAATGACCATGAGGTGAAGGAAGGGACAAATTTAACAGAAATTAGATATTGAATCCTGAGTTGACTGTCACTCCAGAAAGATGTGGCAACACATTGTTCTTATTACACAGAATCCTTCAGCTCCAGCAGATATTTCTATAGATGAACATTGAGCTGCTGAAGTGATTAATGAATGTTCCTAATACATTTCTTGATGGTTTCCTTGTAATGACAGCACAGTAGCCAGGCAATTAGTGGTCCATAATCTGAGCCATAGTGAATGTCTCAGAGGTTTGAAAAAGATTTTTCTTCAAAGGTAAGAATAGATACTCAGTTTCCAGTACTTAGATCAGTTATAGATACCGTGGTAGCCAAGTCCACTCACAGTGATTTTTCTGCAAAACTATTCTGAAATACATATTTAAGCAGACTTGAACTTGTTTGCAAATTTGATGTGATACTCTCTATTTTGCTGGAGCAAAACAGTATGGTATGCCGGTTATGTTGCTATTTTGACAGCATTCATGAGGTGTTGATTTAACAAACTAGGCTAAAACAAAAGTATTACAGCTTTTTATGTTGTCTACTTGATGTTCTATTTCGCTAACTGTTCCATTGATATTTACACACCAATTAACTGAATAAGAACTTCAGATTAAACATTTCTATTCTAGGTTGTGGAGGGGATAAGATACTCAGAGGCCACCTTTCACGTAGGAGAAAGAAGATGTGCAAAAAATATAATAATAGAAGTGATAAGTGACAAAACTTTAGAATTGACACACTGAATGTGATGATTTATAAATGCAAATTTTGATGGATAATCAAGCCATGGTTTTGTCTTCAGAAACACACACACACACACACACACAGAGTGAGACAAGGAGAGAAGAAGAGAGAGAGAGAGACCTGAGTCAACTAAATATTCTATCAATTTAATGCTGGGTTTTCACAAGCCAGCCCAACCAGTTGTTAACAGATAGGCATCTAGCAAAAACACATCTTGCCTAAATCTCTGTTTTTACATATCAAATGTAGACTGCAATATACATTGTATATTGCAAAAGGTTATTGTAAAAATCAAGTGAAAATGGAAATACAGGGGTACTATCAATGTTCAACATACATTTGCAAATAATAACCTTGCTTTTATCTTTTTTTATTTTTGAAAAGTCAGATACAGAAATTAACTGTACAGTTAATTAGAATTTAAGTTAGAGAATCCAAAACTCAGAAAAAAATTATTACTTCATAGTATCTAAAGGACTTTTCATATAATTGCTTAGATACATTCAATTATCAAATATGCTATAATTAAATCACTGTAAAGAAAATCAGACTGTGTATTTTAAAGAAAGTTAAACTAATAGTTGCCAAAATTTATTTTATGTGTTCTAATTAGTTTCTCTAAAAAATAAAAAAAAGTTATAAACATACTTTATTTCACCAGTGCTAAAGGGCTTTTTATTTTTAGAAAAGAAGAGTGGTCCAGGTGTGGCAGCTTATGCCTGTAATCCCTAACCTCTGGAAGGCTGAGGCAGGAAGATTGCTTGAGGCCAGGTGATATGGCTTGGCTGTGTCCCCACCCAAATCTCATGTTGAATTGTAGTTTCTGTAATCCCCACAGGTCATAAAAGGGACGCAGTAAGAGGAAATTAAACCATGGGGGTGGTTACCTCCATGCTGCTGTTCTCATGATAGCGCATGAGTTTTCACAACATCTGATGATTTTATAGGAGGCTTTTTTCCCCATGTGTTCAGCACTTCTTGATCCTGCCATGTGAAGAAGGACATGTTTGCTTCCCTTTCTGCCATGATTGTAAGTTTCCTGAGGCTTCCCCAGCCCTGTAGAACTGTGAGTCAATTAAACCTCTTTTGTTTATAAATTACCCAGTCTGAGATATGTCTTTATTAGCAGGATAAGAATGGACTAATATACCAAGTCTCAGCTATCTGAGAACTGAACTGGGAGGATTGCTTGAGCCCAGGTGTTCGAGGTTACCCTGAGCTAGGATTGCACAACTGCACTCCTGCCTGGGTGATAAAGTAAGATCCCATCTCAAGAAGAAAGAAAGAAAAAGAGAGAGTGATCACATTAAAATACAAAGAATAATGTAACAAATATAACTAACCATTAGTAAATAAAATATAATCTGGAAAAAGAATGGGCATGTAATAAGCACCAATGTTTATTATTAGTTCAATTCTCATCCTGAGCTTACAATCTAAAATTCACCTTCATTTTCACCATTCACAAACACTCATTCAACTTTTCCAATATATTTTCACATTTAAAGGAAAAAAAAGTCATACCAGTAAGCTAACATCTTTTTTGATGATAACTTCCAACACCATCTGATGAACAATTCATTTGCAGTATTTCACACTTACAAACAGGGTAGACATGAAAATGTCACATATTCTCGAATATGAAAATGAATCAAAGTTTCTCTAACGTATAGACGTTTATTTGAACGTGTTGTATATAAAATATACATTTCCAGTTACACAAAAACAATTCTAAACCCTTCCACATGGCTATGATAATTTATACATGGAAAGCAACTTTTGATATTTATCCTCTCAAACATCCAAAACTATTATCATCAGATTCTCAAAAATATTCTAAATATTTTGATTGTCAATATGAAATTATAATACTGCATGAAAAAGTGCTTGGGCTGTATCTGCACTATTTCCTTCCACTTAGTAACCATACATTTGTAATATGTATGATATTTGATAAGGCAAAATGATCTTTCAGAGATTTTGCAAATGTTATTTACAACTGCAAATTAGATAAGAACAAATGATGCTTGCAAAAAGAGAGATGGGACCAAATCTTCAACCAGAAAGAGAAAATGAGGCAATAGAAATACACCCCTCGGTAACTCAAATATTGAAATTAACATATTTATATTAAATAATTCAGGAAACAATGATATTCTGAGAGATACTAGGCATATTAGTGTCCTTCTTCATAAAGATCTAGAATCAGCAAATATCTAATGAGGAAAATGGTCAGAAACTCAGGCTGAGACTCTGAGAATTCATTTTTACCAGCATCCTGGCCTCTCAAGTCTCTCAATTTTGTCTTTCTTGTGTTATAGGGTCAACAGCTCTGCAGTTCACTTGCTGGTTATTTCTTTTCTTGCCTAGTAGGAATTTCTTCATGGATGCCTTAGCTTGTTTTCTAGCACTGTGACTTGAAAAATGCCCAGAAGTAAAAAAATAGCTGCAGCTCAGCAACCTGTACGTTTTGCCCTTATCCATGTGGTTGTAGTATTTTCAGTTCTTGCTTTCACCACAACCATCTGATTCTTCATTAAATTGTTTTTTGTTCTCTATTGTTATTGTTGCTATTTTTTAGTTGTTACTAGTTGAAGCATTGTTCTTTATACACAATTTAGGGAAAAACAGAAATGCTTTTATATTCATTTAAATGATTATATATCCTGCTCCCAATATAAAAAAAATCTACTTATGTTTACTTAACATAAACACATGCTAACAGTAAAACATGGATATATACACTTACGTATATACAGATAATACATACATAAGATATGCATAAATTAATAGATACATCATATAGATAAGTTAAAATATGTCTACATTTACACCATTCAAAATAAAGAACTGTTCAAATTTTCCAATGTATTTTCACATTTACAGGAAAATAATATTATTATCAGTAAGCATCAGTAAGCTAATATTCTTGATCATAACTTCCAACACCATCTGATAAACAATTCATGTATAGTATTTCACAGTTATGAAAGAAGTTAGATGATTAAACACGTTTCTAGTTCCTTAACTTGAACACGAGTTTTGATATTTAAAAATATCAAAAAAAAATGTTTTTAGGATATAGATATGCACTTCAATTTATTGTGTATGAAAATGTACATTTATGTTTAGATTTGTATGTATATCCTTGTCCTGTATTTTTGCATGTGTGCTCTGTGTGTGTGTGTGTGTGTGTGTGTGTGTGTATGTACATGTTCCATACATTTTTCTATCATATATATCCTCATACATATGTATATTCCTGTCATATTTACGTTCTTTCTTTACTTATGCGTCTTTTTCTTTTTAAAATATAAACTTCAGTCATATTTATTTTAAAAATTTTATTTACATTGTTTTATATCTTCACTTCCTCTTGTGTCATTGCTCTCCTAGAGTGTGCTGCAAATTCTGCTGATGAGCTGTCTTGTCATTTCAATGTCAGACATATTCTAAACTAACCTGTTTGGCTCTCCAAGCCAGAACACTTGCTGTATGCAAAGTTTCCAGAGAAGGCATTTTGAATTTCTGTCGGCCAAGGCACAAGGATACATGTCTTGGCATCATGGTTTAGTACAGAAATTCTTTTGGAATATTTGTCTCATATAGAAACAGTCAATTCCAGTCCCTGCATTCATGTACATCCTAAGTGTTATTACCTTGTGGTTAACCATGATTCTACGTGTGTTCACCAAAGATAAAACATTTAAGCCCAAAAATTCATTTGCTTTGGATCAAATATCTCAGTCTTATGCATGGGCATATTTCTCCTATATAAACATATATGTTCAAAACATTTAATGTTTTGTTTCTATTGATGTGGAGAAAAAGAAATTTGGCATGTTCACCATAAGACATGCTGAATCAATGACAAATATATTTAAGCCAGATTTAACAGAAGCAAATAAATCACTAGCTAAAATGATCTTTAAAATCCCAGTAATATTTCAACAATGTTTTTAAAAAATCACCATGCACTTAATCCCCAGCAGTTGCCAGCCTGCTCCAGTGACATGTAAACAAATCATTAAGGAGCATAATTTTCTTTCAACAAAACACCCCAATCTCCAGCTTCCACATTTCCAGGGGGAAATGCTCCAACACATTTTGATTCATTAGGCAATCTTAACAATGACTTAGCTATACATCTGACAAATACCTTTAATTCAATATGTTAGCATATTTGATAAAATAGAGATAGTACAAATTCAAGAGTCCTTAGATTTTTAACAAGTTTCATTGTCTCCTTTTACAAGATACATCCAAAAATGTACAGCCTTTACTAGTCTGATACATTTTAATATGACATTCCTTAAAATTTGATTTAAACAGATTCTATAAAAACTCTATTAGTGATATTTTATTTCTGAAGAAATTACAATGGATTTTCTATTTAAATTGCAAGGCATCTTTCCGTTATAGTCATTCAACATTTGCAGATACAAGAGTAAAAATTTAAAGCAATGGGAAGTATACTAGTTATACATCTGTCCTACTACCAATAGCATTAGTAGGAGTTCATAGGAATACCTGAGCTAATGTGTCTACAGGCTGACCTCCAAATATTTCATCTTATCTTACATCCTAAATCATAAGTAAATCAGAAAAGCTTTAAATATAATATAGAGTAAGTACAACAAGAAAACATACACATCATATGTACAGAATATCCAGGGAAGGCCAGGTGCTGTGGCTCACGCTTAAAATACTAGCACTTTGGCAGGCCCAGATGGGAATATCACTTGAGCCCAGGAGTTTGCTACCAGCCTGAGAAAAATAATGAGGTCTCATCTCTACAAAAAATAAAAAAAGAACAGCTGCCTGACATCCCAGCTACTCAAGAGGCTAATGTGGGAGGATCACATGAGCCCAGGAAGTCAAGGCTGCAGTGAACTGTGATTAAACCACTGCACTCCAGTCTGGGTGACAGAGCAAGACCCTGTCTCTACAATAATAATAATAATAAACAACATCAAGAGAGAAGAAATCCAATTTGGGAAAGGACAATTATGTCAATATTTCAACTGGTCCTGCAGTGCACGCTACATGAAATTAGATACCTGAAATGATATTAATTTGTTTTGAGTCTCCATACTATCTTTTGACATACTGAAAGCAACTGTATTTCACATAAATATAAAAATTGTATTAGGAGATATAAAATTTCAACTGCTTTGGGGATAATTTCAGGCTTGTAAATATAGCCATAATTATTCTTAAGAATGGATTAAGATCCAGGATGTTAATGACTGGAAATCAAGGGTTATGATAGAAAGAGTTTTCCAAAGAAATTTGATCAAATGACACTTCTCTGTATGGCATTTTAATGAAACTTTTTCTGAAGAATTTACATTATCACATGCTGACATATATATACATTTTGCATGTTAAAGAAAAAGTTTATATACACAAAATTAATTCAATAATTGCTATGGAACAACTCCTGAGTGAAAAACTATTTATTTGTATGTGCTGAGGATATATTAATACTTTTTTTAAAAAAATTGAGACAAGGTCTTACTCTGTTGCCCAGGCTAAAGTGAAATGGCATGATCATTTGAGGCTCACTGCAGCCTCAAATTCTGGAGCTTAAGTGATCCTCTCAACTCAGACACCTGAAGTGCGTTCTACCACACTTGGCTAATTTTTAATAGGGTCTCATTACATTGCTCAGGCTTGTATCAACTCCTGGGCTCAAGAAATCCTCCTGCCTTGGCCTCCCAGAGTTCTGGGATTACAGGCTTGAGCCACTGTGTCCAGCCAGTATTGATACATTTAAAGGAGCCCTATCTCAAAGAATGTACAATCTAGCCCAAAGATGAATGTATGCCCAACCACCTCAAAAGGTCCCACTGGATACAGGAACAGTCTGAAACCCTGAAGATTTTTTATATTCATTGAATAGTACTCTATATGTTGTATTCTTTAATAATATTCCATATTCTTACTACCAGAAATGCCTATGCTCCTGAGTATAGTGAGTTCATTACTGCCAGATGTTCTTCAAAACCTGTGCACTATTTTATACCCTCCTTTCTTTCAGAAATTTGAGCCTTCTTTGAAAGAATGATTGATATGTTGAGATTCTATCACCTGTACTTATATTGTCCAAATGCCAAAACCTCAGAGCACAGGTATCTTTCTCTACTCAATGCCACCTCCATGCTGCATTCTCTAGGGTGCAGGCAAGCAAATATGTAAAGAACACCAAGAATATACAGCATATGTTCATATAGAGGCTACATTTTGTTTGAGGATTGCAGATGAGTGTCATGCCAAAAATCAAGTGTGCATAAATTATTAAAAATAATAAAACTGGGTAAATAGAGTAGAATATATAATAAGCAAAAAAAAAACCTCTGAGGAGGCAATATTTGAGATAAGAGTCGAAATAGCTAGGAGGAATAGAATTTTGCTGGGAAGTATTTTCTGTTCTATAAATTGGATCTTGTAAGATGCCTTCAGCTCATTTACCACCAGTGCACAGAAATAACCCATTCTATCTGTTCCTCTCTCATGTATCTGATCCCTGGTTCACACTCCCTTCTGTGTTTGTCCAGAGGTATCTTTTCAGATCACCTTATTTATCTTGATGAATCTGTTTAATCGCTCACCTTTTCTCTTAAGTCTTGCTCCAATGCAAGATGTATCTCCATTCAACAGTCAAGGCCAGAAAGACTTAAGAGGGGACAGATGGCAACTCTCCCCAGAGCAATCATAAATTAAATTCTATCATAAACTAAATTCTAATCCTATTCCTAATGGGTTTCTGTTTTTTTTCTATTTTTTCACAGAAAATTCAAACCCAAAGTGCTGGGATTACAGGCATGAGTCACTGCTCCTGGCAAATATAAAACTTTTTAAATGCATGTTTCTCTTTTAAAGATACAATACCTTATTAGAGATATGCTTTCTATACTTTAACATTGAATTCATGACCAATTGTGCTGACACTCATGCCTGAACAGTTTCTTTGTGTGGCAAGTCACAGCCTTCCTGAACTTAGGAACATTAAACATCACTTCCAGGGTACATTTGGGGACCATTTAAAACATCAAAGTCACCAACAAAAAGGACAAAAACATGAAAAACCTAGCACAAAATAGTTCATGAAAAGAACACATGTTTACTACATGAGAGTCGAAACAAGAACACAGACAGTCACCTCATTTCCCCTCAACTGCAAACCTGTGTGCTGATTTTTTGCTACCCTACAAGTATCTTTGAGGGACCCCCAGCCCACCATGAGTATTGATTTAGGCGTTATTTGTAACTTTAGTGAATTTGCAAATCACAATGATTTGTTCCTATTTCCTCTCTCTCACATGCTGGCCTCTCTTCTTTTCTGTCAACATGCAGACCTCATTGGCTTCAGCCTTATTCATTCAACACACAGGATTTCTTACTAATATATGCAGTCGACTTGAATAAGGAAGGCAAGGCCAGGACACACTAGATGTCATCAGTATGTTCAGCAGAGTTATCTCTAGAGAGAAAACAGAGAGATTGTGTTACCAGGGACGTTAAATCAAAACAAGTATGGATATTCATTATTTATAATTAAGAGGATTTGTTGATGCATTTTTTCTCACTATGATCCAGGCAATGTATTTAAGCTTAATAAGAATAAAAAATAAGGCAAATAGACATTTGGCTGACCTGATTTGTGAGAATCCTAACACAGGGAAAATTTAAATAAATATCTTTGTATTAGTTCATTTCAAACTTCCCGAATCTGGGTAATTTATGAAGAAAAGAGTTTTAATTGTCACAATTCCACATGGCTGGTGAGGCCTCAAGAAACTTACAATTATGGCGGAAGTGAAGGGGGAAAGCAAAGACTTTCCTGAAATGGGGCCAGGAAAGAGAGCTAAGCTAGCAAGAGCAGGGGAAACTGCCTTATAAAATCATCAGATCTTGTGAGGACTCCCTCACTATCATGAGAGCAGCATGGGAGAAACTGCTCTCGTGATCCAATCACCTCTCACTGGGTCCCTCCTTTGACATGTGGGGATTATGCAGATTACAATTCAAGATGAGATTTGGATGGGGACTTAGCCAAACCATATCAATCCTAGTTTCCCAAACTACAGACAGTGAGAGCTGGTCCAAGACTACAGCAATTCTCATCTATGCATTTAATAATCCTGTGCTATCCAGGGAGACATGCCTTTCTCTATAGTGCATAAACATTTTTGTTGCTTACTAAACCAAACATCTATTTCTCTCATAGTCACCCAAAGAAAACCTTCAATCTATCAACCACTGGACTTTGTCTTTAAATCTGCTCCGGTTTGCTTTACTAAAATTATTTCATGAAGTAGCACATGAAAACAATTTGTATTTTTCACACCCCGAATCTGATATAAACATCTTATGCAAGCACCTTCTAGATCTTCATGTCTTTATGGTCTCTAAATATAAAGAATGCATACTTGTTCTGAAATATTCCTAGAAGAACCCCAGAGGTGACTGTCTCATTCACAGATTAATCACTATTCTGTTTTGTCCCCCTCTCTGATCTATGCATATCACCTTATGAATTCTGCAGGGGGAAATATAAGTCCTAGCTTAACTTGAACTTTGAATTATCACACCTGGGTTAATTTTGGTTTAGAAGAAGAAGGGCTATGGAGAAGAGATTCAAAAGAAGATTATTGGATCTAAATTTCAGTGATTTAATTGGCCAATCTCTCTGATATTCAAGCAATTATCAGGACCTGTGTTGGTGGTTGGTGGCAATCTCTAGATGTAAACTCAAATCACCTACTTCTGTTGGTCTTCTCTTCTTACATTACTGTCAGTTGTCTAGATATGCCAGGTGTGATGGCTCACACATGTAATCCCAGCAGTTTGGGAGGCCAAAGCAAGAGGATCACTTGAACCAAGGAGTTGGAGACCAGCCTGGGCAATAGAATGAAATCTTGTCTCTACAAAAATTAATTTAAAAAAATAGCTGGCCATGGAGGCACACACCTGTAGTCCTAGCTACTCAGGCTGAGAAAGGAGGATTGCTTGATCTTAGGATTTCGAGGCTACAGAGGGCTGTGATTGCATCATCATTGCACTCCAGGCTGGGTGACAGAATGAGACCTTGTCCCCCCACAAAAAGGTCTAGATAAAGAAGGAGAAACAAACAAAAGAAAAAAGCCAAAGATAGTTTAAAAAAATGATGAGAACAAATAAGTAATAGAATGTAAGAATAAAAAAATTGCAGCAGAAGTGAGGATGTTATATGAAAAAAAAATTTAGGTAGGATTTGGACAGAAGAATGCAAACATAAATTTTATTTATTTGTATTTTATTTATTTTGTCCTGATACATATTTACTGTTTTTGATATATTTTATTGAAGTAACAATTAGTATTATTAGTAATAATTGTATACGTTTATCCTTCATCAAGTATTTAGACACCTGGCCATTTGAGGCTTGAAATAATAACAAAATAATTTAGGTTTCTTTTAACACTGAGGAAAAGTTTTATATTTGGAAAATAATGTACATTCTTTTTATCACTGAGAAATAAATTGAATTAATGGTTCCACTGAGTTTTATTAAGGCCCTAAATCTGTAAAATGTGTTTGTCATTTTGTATTCCTATGATTATCTTCAGTGTTAAAAGTAATAAAGTCATTCTTTACATATTTAACCTAAGAGGCAACTTTTAATGCATGAATAGTTTAGTTCATGAAAGGAAAAAAAAATGTGATTTATAGTAAAAACACAATAGGTACATTCTTTTAAAAATTAGAATAGCTTGAAGTATTCCTGAACACTTTGCTTAAATGTCAAAGGATTATAAGAAACAAACATACCAGGATATGTTTTTAGTAATTCAAAGTAAGTATTAATAAGATGATAGGAATGTAATGCTCACATACTTCATTCAACCCTCTTGGAAATGAAAAAGCAAACATGACTATCTGGAATCTTACAGGCCATTTTGTAGGAAAAATTTGAATCCTAATTCATAATAGAATTTGGAACGGAATTCTGCCATCCAGAACCCTTTCATGGTCTGAGCTGTGTTCTAGTAGCAGGAGATAATAAAATAACTGTCAGTGTTGTATAGGCTTCCCACCATTCTTCTTACCACTAGAATATGTAGAGAGTATTCATCATTATCCCTGTAGGAACAGAAAAAAAAAGCCAATTCAAGTCGTCAAATGCAACTTTAAAGATGAAAGTAGAGGTTTTAGCAAGCAATGTGCCATCTTTCACTGACACGTTTTTGAATGTATATTATTTTCTTTGAATATAACTCTTGGTTTGGCATCATTACCACACAGATTTGAGGAAAACTGCATTAAAAGCAGAAGTTAAAATCTGACTCTTCTCCCAGAGCTGAAGCTGAATTCTAAGTAAAAATCAGAACTAAAAATAATTGATCTCATGCAAAAACACTAGAGCAGGGAGGAAGCAAGAATTTTGCAAAATAATTGCTTTCTAAACAAACGCTATATGAAATCCCTCTATAGATTTTCAAGCAAGATTGTGTCTTAAGGCTTTGTAAGTTTTTCTGTTGTTTATGTTTTTTACTCTCCTTCATTCTCTCTTTCTGTCTCTCTGTCTCTCTCTCTCTCTGTGTCTCTCTCAATCTCTCTCTGTGTGTCTCTGTCTCTCTCTATTTCCTCTCTCTCTCTTAAACATGCACACCCTTCCCTGGAATCTCATTCTCTGCCTTATTCTTGCTTCTCCTTCTTTCTCTTTTGTTTTGGTCCCTTTTTCTGCAGTTGCAATGACTTCTCAGTCCTGTAACACATTTGCACTCTATTTTTTCCTTTTGTTCAATACTCCCTCCTCCTATGAGCATACTTAACTCTAGAAAATTCAAAAATATTTATTTCAATTCTGTGGCATCCTGCTGGGACTGCCCATTAACTATGTCTCTAAAGCTCCTTAGAAATGCAAAATTTCTTCCTACATGTTTACTCTTTTTTTTTTTTTTTTTTTAGGACTGAGTTTTGCTCTGTTGCCACGCTGGAGTGCAGTGGCACAATTTCGGGTCACTGCAACCTCAACTTCCTAGGTTCAAGCAGTTCTCCTGCCTCAGTCTCTCAGGTAGATGGGACTACAGGCATGCTCCACCAAGCCCAGCTAATTTTTGTACTTTTAGTAGAGACGGGATTTCTGCATGGATATTCTTGATCTCTTGACCTCCTGATCCACCCACCTCAGCCTTCCAAAGTGCTGGGATTACAGGAGTGACCCATCGCCTCTGGCCCATGTTCACTCTTTATATCGTGAATATCTGGATTTGAGAGGCTGGTAAGTTTTACAAACAACCTTTGAATTGCCATCTGTCTTTAGCCGACGGTTCAAGTCCTTTCTTTACAACTGGATGCTCTTAGCCACTTTCATTCCTTTAAAGTACAACTGCGGCTGGGCGCGGTGACTCATGCCTGTAATCCCAGCACTTTGGGAGGCCAAAGCAGGCGGATTAGGAGGTCAGGAGATTAAGACCGTCCTGGCTAACACTAAAAATACAAAAAAAATACACAAACACTCTCTACTAAAAAAATACCAAAAAAATAGCAGGGCGTAGTGGCACGCACCTGTAGTCCCAGCTATTTGGGAGGCTGAGGCAGGAGAATGGCATGAACCCAGGAGGTGGAGATTTCAGGAGCCGAGATCACGGCACTGCACTCCTGTCTTGAGGACAGAGCGAGACTCTGTCTCAAAAAAAAAAAAAAAAAAAAAAAAAAAGTACAACTGGATGCTGTTAGTAACGTCCATTCCTTTAAAGTAAATGATTCACCCTGACCGTGTACTCTGGCCAATTGTCTGTTCCTTTGTCTCTACATTAAGTGGTAAATCTTCCCCGGGTCCTATACTCATTATTTTTTGCATCCTTATTTATTTATTTATTTATTTATTTATTTATTTATTTATTTATTTATTATTTTTTATTTATTTTTTGAGACGGAGTCTGTCTCTGTAGCCCAGGTTGGAGTGCAGTGGCGCGATCTTGGCTCACTGCAACCCCCGACTCCCGCATTCAAGCGATTCTCCTGAGCTAGCCTCCTGAGTAGCTGGGATTACAAGAGCTCACCACCACACCAGGCTAACTTTTCTATTTATAGTAGAGATGGGGTTTCATCATATTGGTCAGGCTAGTCTGGAGCTCCTGACTTCGTAATCCTCCCGACTTGACCTCCTAAAGTGTTGGGATTACAGGCATAAGCCACCGAGCCTGGCTAATTGGGTGATTTTTTTTTTTTTTTAATTTGTTATCCTTGATTTTGAAGTGTTTTTGTATATTTTGGATACAAGTCGTTATCTGAAATGTGTTTCCAAAATGTTTTCTCCCAGTCTGTGACCTGCTTTTTCATACTATTAACATTATATGTTGTACAGCATAACTTTTCAATTTTATTTTATTTTATTTTGAAATGGAGTTTCACCCTTGTTGCTGAGCCTGGAGTGCAGTGACACAATCTTGGGTGATAGCAACCTCTGCCTCTTGGGTTCAAACGATTCTCCTGCTTCAGCCTCTGGAGTAGCTGGGATTATCTGCACCCACCACCATGCCTAGCAATGTTTTTCTTGTTGTTGTTTTTCAGTAGTAGAGTCAGGCTTTCACCATGTTGGCCAGGCTGGTCTTGAACTTCTGACTTCAGGTGACCCATACAGTTTAGCCTCTCAAATTTCTAGGACTACACGTGTGAGCCACTGTGCCCAGCCAATTTTAAATTTTAATAAAGTTCAGTATGTCATCTTTCTTTTCACAGATTCTGGTTATTCTGCTTACGCAGAATCTATGAAAAATGTGAAACATTAAACTTGTGATACAAATATTATTCAGTGATAGAAAGAAATGAGATCTCACTTATACCTAGGACATCATTGCCAAATCTAAGGTTATCTATATTTTCCTGGAATCTTGGTTATTTAATTTGCTAAGTTAAGTTTTATTTTATTAGTTTTATCAATAATTTCTTTTTTAGTGTACAAATATTACGTGCTTAAATGAATTCATCCTAAGTGTGTCACATTTTTTGCTACCTTTAAGCATTACACATTGTTGTAATTTTCCATTTCAAATATTTATAGCATAAGTATAAAATAAATTTAATTTTGTTTATTTAACATGTTCCTTGGAGAGTTGCTTAACCCACTTTTTTGTTATTTTGTAGATAATATGGTATATTCTTTATAAGTGATCATAATCTATGTCTATTTTTTAACCCTTTTCCTCTCCTATTTGGTAGTGCAAATAGCTCTAGTAAAATTTTGTCTACATGTGATAGAAATAGATATGTTTATTTTGTTCTTGATTCATGAACAAAAGCATAGTCTTTTACCACTAAATTTGAGTGTTAGATTTAAGATCTTGTTTGATAACTAGATAAAGTTCTGCATGTTTTTTGTGTTAGAGTTTTAAAACTTACATCTTGAATTTTGTCAAGTGCTTCTTTTTTATTTATTGAGATAATTATGGGTGACTAATTGGTCAATGTGCCATAACAAAAAATATATAGCTCCACGTGTATGGAGCTTAAGCCACGTGGTGTGGCTTAAACAACAAAAATTTATTTTCTCACAGTCCTGGAGGCTTAAAGTCTAAGACTTAGGAGGTTGTCAGGGTTGATTTCTTCTGAGACTTCTCTGCTTGTCTTGCATGTGACCACCTTCTTGCTGTGTCCTCTTCATGTGGACTTTTCTCTGAGCATCACTGGTGTCTCTCTTTGTGTCCAAATTTCCTATTCTTATGAGGACAGCCATCACACTGTATTATGGCCCACACTACTGACCTCATTTTAATTTCATCTCCTCTTTAAAGGACTTATCTCCAAATATAGTCACATCTTCACGTACTGGGGAATCAGGAATTGAATATATAAATTTTGAAAGTAAGGGAACAAAATTTAGTCCAAAAGATAATGTTTTCCTTATTTCTGATATGGTCAATAAAATTGATTGACTTCAAATGTTTGCACCATTTTGTCCTCTGGGTTAAATCACTTGGACATTAGGAATTCACATTTAAATATATTGTTGTATTCAATTGACTCACACTCTTTTGTATATTTCTTCAAATACTTCTGATGGATACAGCTCTGTATTATATATTAAATAATAAATTAATTATATGTTATTACTATAATACAGTAATATATTAAATACTGATTGATTAATATCAAGTTAGTAAATTATATTATTTGAGTATATTAACATATCATTTGATACTTAAATAATATATATCAACCACATAATATATTTATGTATTATTATATAACACAAAGCTTGTTTTCAGTTCTTAGAACTGGATATTCATGTTCTCATAGGTTTCTATGAGGGGTCATTTGCTTGATAAAATTCTCCTTTTAGCTGTTTCTAAACATCTGTTTGGAACTTTTCTTATTGTCAACATGTTCTATTCTCTGAAAGAAATCAGCACATTATAAAGTATATTATTTCATTTTTATATATATTAATGTATCATTTATTAAAAATAACAGATTATATTATAAATAATATAAATTAGTAATACACTAAATATATTTAAAAATATATTAACATTATTTTATCATAACATTACAGTAAAATGTATATTACTATATAAAAATAAATTTTACATATACTATTATGTATACATAATTATATTATTTAAATATATGAATATATTCTATATTATACTAATTAATCTAAAATAATATAACAATTATATCATTGGATATTAACATATAAGTAATATAATATATTTTAAGATATCAATTAAATATATTTGATGGGCATGGGTTTGTATAATTTACGAAGCTCTTTATATTATAGAAAGCTATGTTAATCAAATATAGTATATATAAATGATATATTAAATAAGTATATAGCTCTTTATACATATTATACATAATTATACAGATCTATATACTTATATATAACATGTGTTTTATATATATACACACCCACAGCAATATACTTACTTATAAATAACATATATAAAAATCCATCTCATATATATAATAAGAACTTATAGGTAAGTACACAGGCAAATATACCTCTTATTTGCTTATGTCATTATCATTACCAGTAGCCTGTCTGTCTTTGTAAGCATTGAAGTTACCATCTGATGCTATTATTGCAGCCAAATGAACTTATTTTAGCATGTCTTATAGGGCAGGTATGCTAGCAACCAATTCTCTAAGTCCTTATCTGTGTATGTCTTTATTTTACCTTTTGTTTGATGAATACTTATGCTATATCTAGAGCAGAGTTTTTGTTTGAGAGGGTTTTTTTTGTTTTGTTTTGCTACTTTGAATAGATTATCTCATTGCTACCAGACCCCATTATTTCCAATGAAAAGGAAGTTCTTAATCATGTTGTGGTTCCTTCTTCCTTGATTAGCCATGTTTCTTTTTCCACTTTCAAGATTGTTTCTTCTTCTTTGGCTTTTTAGAGTGTGTGTACCATGGTGAATGTCTCAGTTTTTCTACTTGGAATTTTTCAGAAGTGTAGATTTGTTTTCATCATATTTGGATTGTTTTTAGCAAATACATTGGGAAATACATTTTCTTATACCTTTTCTTTCACCTCTCCTATAACTACCACTAGGTGTATGTTGATACCTCTCAGCTTGTTTGAGCTTCTGTAACAAGATACCATTAACTGGGGTGCTAATAAAAACAGAAAGGTAATTTCAACAGCTCTGAAAGCTGGAAGTTCAAGATCAACGTATTGGAAGATTAACGTCTCGTAAGGAACTGCTTCCTAGTTAACAGATGACTGTATTAATTTTAATATATCCCTCACATGGTGGAAGGGGTGTGGATGCTCTCTGAAGTCTCTTTTATAAAGACGCTAATCCCATTCATGAGGGATCTATCCTCATAACCGCCCAAAATCCCCACCTACTAATATCATCACCTTGTGGATGAGAGTTACAAAATATGAATTTTTCAGACAACGCAAATACTTGGACCATGGCAGTGTTCTTGATGGTGTTTCAAATGTTTCTAAGGCTCTGTTTATTTTCCTTAACTTTCTATTTTTACTGTTCTTCTATGTGAATAAAAGTTGTCTTCAAATTCTTGCTTTTTTTTTAGCTCAAGACTTCTGCTGAGCCACTCTAGTAAATGTTTCATACTATTTTATCTTTAAATAGAAATAACGTACTTTTTAGCCCTAGAGTTGTGATTTAAACAAAAATAGACATTATTTTTGACACATGGTCTTGCTCTGTGCCCAGGCTGTAGTGCAGTAGCCTGATCATGGCTCACTGCAACCTCTGTCACCTAGGCTCAAGTGATCTTCCCCCCTCAACCTCCTAAGTAGCTGGGACTATAGGCATGTGCCACCCAACTGATTTTCTGTATTTTTTGTAGAGACAGTGTTTCACCATGTTGTCCAGACTGGTCTTGAACTCCTGAGCTCAAGCAATCTGTCTGTCTTGACGTCCCAAAGTGTTGAAAGTACAAGTGTGAGCCACTGCACCCAGCCAAAAGTAATCTCTGTGTCTTTATTCATCATCTTTTTTGGGCATGTGTCATTGTTATACTTTGTTGTCACAAAACATGGTTTTCTTTATTTACTTGAACTTACTTCTAATAGCTGATTTAAAATGTTTTTCTGCTAAGGCCAATATCTTGGTTTTCTCTTTTTTTTTCTTTTTTATGGACATTTTCTTTTTATACCTAGTAATTTTTTCCTTCTTGTTGTTATTGAAAAATTGGACAATATATAATCTAAATATCTAGACTATATCACATGAAAATCTGTATTTTGATCTTACCTTAAATTGTCATTGCTTCCATTTCTTGTTTCATGGATTTTTTTGCTTGTGTTTTTGTTGTTTTATTTGCATGTTTTTGTTGTTTATTTGGTTACTTTCCTGGACTAAATGTATACATTCTCTACCCACTTTAGTGTGTAGTCATTGAAGTCTCTGCTCCTTGTTTTTTCTTTAATTTTGTTTAAGTCTGCCTTCAAAGGGGCTGACCCTGAGTCAGTGTAGTTTAGTAGTCAACTAATGATTCATCAGTTTTTCTTAAGACAACTAGAGGTAAGAAGGCAGGAACATCCTCACTGAGGAAACCCATGTGTAGGATGCAACATGCATTCAAAGTTCAGGTAGTTTACAGTTAGCCATGGCCCAATAAGAGCTGATGCCCTGCTGTCTTTTTCCTGGGCATTACTGCGGCCTTGCGTTTGTACATAGCCTTCCAATTTCCCAGAAACATATCAACAGTTTCTAAAGTTGCCTATAACTGTGTTTTCCAATGTCTTTTTTTTTTTTTTACATTTTTTTACTCATTTTTTGCCCGCTCAGACAATGTGGTCTTTTAGATATCTGTGATTTTCTGGGAAGGTTGTAACCCCATAGTAGTCACATAATAAGGAACTGGGGGAGGGACTTTCATGCTAGGAGATAAATTACTGGCGGTAACTGGCCCAGGTGTGCCTGCCTATCAGATACCGGATATTGCAAAACCACTATTAAATCTTGCTTCCACTGTTCTTTGTGTCGCTGAGTCCATTCTTTGAGTTTGGATGTGTGAATGTGCTTCTCATAATCCATATGTGCTGAGACTTTTGCCTAGCATCTTAATTTGATCTTCTTCCTATGACTTGGTCTTATGGTAGATTTGATCTGCTTCCCCTACTTTGATGGCTAATACTATAAGGAAATTAGAATAATATTTTTCCAAGAAAGAACTACAAGCCAACCAGAAATGTGGTAGTGAGCCTATATTAGTAGGGACTTCCTCTAAATTTCAACATTGGTCATGTTATACTGTCTTCTCTTAAATCCTAACTCCCAACTCCCAGAAGCACATTCAAGCTTCTCAATGACTTAATGTTTGAAATGTTTTCTGATATTAAGAAAACCAAGCCTTTTTTTTTTTTTGGAAATATATATGGTGATCCAGTGACCATCCTTAAGTGACATTAGGTGGGAAATTTGCACTGCATCATAAAAGTCTCAACCACAACCTTGTAGCTCATGTTTTCTCTTCTCACAAGTATACATTGAGAAAGTGTGCTATTAGTCTTAAAATATAATTATATCCTGTTTTATGGTAGAACCAATTCTCTGTGTAGGTGCATTCAAGGGAATATCCCTGTGAAATATCAATAAGATAACCTTTCTTCAGAGACACATACATATGTTTATTAAATCAATTTATGTAATCATTTATAAATCCAGCAACATAAAATTGGGTATTGAAGGGGACAAGTAGGCAACCCATCTAGCGAAGTTCACGACTTCCTAGGAAAGAAGAAATTACATTTTGACAAAAACCCTATTTTATTTGCATATTGATGATTCCAATGCCATGGAGATGATGATGTTGCAAGTATCCCTGATATCATTGTATTCTGTAAGAATGTAAAAAACAATATTGAGACACTCATATAAATTATATAATTTGGTGAGAGCATGCAAGAAAAGATAAAAGCGATTGATGAGAAAAATACTTCTGGAATGTTAATTTAGAACTCATTTCACAAAACTTCCAATTGCCTATGTGCATATATTGTTTCCACATGGAAATTTGTCATGGGAACTATTAATTGTGAGTGACCCAGTGACCCTATATCAAGACTTATGCTATATAGATGCAGTGGCTTATTCCTGTAATCTCAGCGCTTTAGGAGGCGTAGGCAGGAGAACAACTTGAGTACAGGGGTTTGAGACTGGCCTGGGGAACATAGTGAGACCCCATCTTTATTTATTTAAAAAATAATAGAAATATGTATGTTGACAGTTTCTAAGGTACATATTGATGTCTACAAGACATAGAAAATTATGTGTAAATCTGTATTGTGCATGGTTTCTGTAAACCTTATCTAGAATCCTAAAAATATTGTAGCCTGCAAAATAATGTAGTCACACTGGAGTTTTCTAGAGTTAATCATATTTTACAGTTCAATGCTTTACAAAATTTCTTCCCTTTGTCCCTATATTACAGAGTCTCCTCGTTTAGCCTAGATTAGTGTAATTATTCAATGCTTAAAACCCATATCTTACCTAAGTTATAGCTTTAGTCATGGAATGCTTCAAGAGGGACTATTTTGCTAATCAGTACTTCAAGCAGTATTCCCAAGAAAAAAAATTCTAGCATACTAAAAATGTTATGTAGTAAAATTATCATATATCTAGACATGATAATGAATTGCTAGAATTGCTAGAATCCCTGCTCTATTCCTTTGATACAAACAATTTCATCCTTTCTTTTTTTTCTCTGCCCTGCAAACACTGTCTCTCCTCAAATCTTTTTTCCTAAAGATTCTGAAGTTCTCACTCTGTAACCTAACTCTTAAAAGTATATGACTTCATTGGGAGGATGAGGTGGGTAGATCACAAGGTCAGGAGATTGAGACCATCCTGGCTAACATGGGGAAATCCTGTCTCTACTAAAAATACAAAAAAATTAGCAGGGTGTGATGGCACGCGCCTGTAGTCCCAACTACTCAGGAGGCTGTGGCAGGAGAATGACGTGAACCGTGAGGCAGAGTTTGCAGTGAGCCGAGATCGCACCACTGCACTCCAGCCTGAGTGACAGAGCGAGACTCCATCTCAAAAGAAAAAAAAAGTGTATGAATTCAGCTTACAATTATTTAGGAAAAGGATTCACATAGATATTGACAGTGATAGAACTAGAGACAGAGATGGACATAAACACAAAGATGTTGACACAAACCTACATGTAAAGGTGTAGACACGAACTTTAACCTGGAAATACACATAAATATTCACATACTGTGTACATATCTGGAGTTTATAAATCCATTACTCATATCTCAACTTGTAGTTGATATTTAAATTTAAAATTATCTATTTCGAACACTTGTTTTACATCCACACAATGCATCACTCTTCTACTTTGCTTTGGTGGTGTCACCATCTTTAGAGAATGACATGTTCAAGCTTCAACATTTATATGAGAACTAAACTCTTGATCTGTAGTTTAAGTATGTCTTAAAACATTAATTTTAGGGGCCAAGCCCAGTAGTTCATGCCTGTAATCCCAACACTTTGGGAGGCTGAGGAGAGCGGATTACAAGGTCAGGAGTTCAAGACCAGCCTGGACAATATGGTGAAACCCCATCTCTACTAAAAATACAAAAATTAGCTGGTCATGGTAGTGTGCACCTGTAGTCCCAGCTATTCAGGAGGCTGAGGCAGAAGAATCACTTGAACCCAGGAGGCAGTCTGAATGAGCCGAGATCATCATGCCACTGCACTCCAGCCTGGGCAACAGAGTGACACTCTGTCTCAAATATATATATACACACACACATACATACACACATGTATATATTTTTATATGTGTATATATATTTATATATGTATATATACACACATATAATTATATATGTAATTTATATATATATATAAATTTTAATCACCACTATATCTGCTTATCCCACTGCTAAGTCTTCAACATTATTTTCATGAATATACTCTTCTCTTTATGGGTTCCTGAGGATCAATTATGACACAGAAAATGAATATCATGATTCCCTTATTAGGAAAATTACATCCATGCTGATTTTCTCATATGATAAAGTTATAAAGAAAACTAAAATTATCAAGAAAAAAGTCTCAGTGTTTGTTTCCAGTTTAGTGTTCTACAATCAACTGGTTTTTGGTTGGTTGTTTGTTTATTTGCTTGATGGATTCTCACTACTCTGCTACCAAAGCTGGAGTGCAGTGGTGCAATCTCAACTCACTGCAACCTCTGCATCCCAGTTTCAATACTCATGCCTCATCCTCCCAAGTAGCTGGGACTACAGGTGTGTACCCACACACCCAGCCAAGTTTTGTATTTTTAGTAGAGAATGGGTTTCACCATGTTGGCTAGGCATATATCAAATTCCTGACCTCAAGTGATCTGCCCTCCTCAGCCTCCAAAAGTGCTGGGATTACCATGTCCAACCTCTGATCATCTTCATGCATGTGTATCACCATACTGAGAATTCAATATTTCCTAAATTCATAATGAACTTTAACATAGCTGTACTTCTCTACATAGAGAACTTCCCATTTCTTTCTGATTCTTGGCTGGAAAATGTCAATCAGTTTTGAGGGGTAGAAATGCCATTTCCTGTGTGTAAAATATTTCTCACTCCCATACACAACACTTTTGTTCAGTGATCAATTCTTTAAATGGCATTTATCATTGAGCCCTCTTTTTACTTAGTTGTCTATGCTCTTGTTTGTACTTTTAGCCTTTAAAATAAGACATATACTTTTATAATTTGTCATTTTTAAGTCCTACTACACTGTGCCCAGCACAGTGCTCCCAGTACACTAAATGTTCTGTAAATATTTGCTTATTGCAAATATTCATATATTGATGAAAATTTGCCATCAAAATGTCAGTTGGAAGTCAAAATTTCTATTACTAAAAGTCAAAAAATAACAGATACGGGTGAGGTTTCAGAAAAAAAAGGAAAGCTTATACACTATTGATGGAAGGGTAGATTATTTCAACCATTGTACAAAGCAGTGTGGTGATTGCTGAAAGAGCTACCAACAAAATTAACATTTGACTCAGCAATCCCATTACTGAGTATACATCCAAAAGAATATAAATTGTTCTATCATTAAGACACATGCACACATATATTAATCACAGCACTGTTGACAATAGCAAAGACATGAAATCAACCTAAATGCCCATTAGTGGCAGGGTGGGTAAAAAAATATATGGTATAGGTACGTCATGAAATATTTTATGTGGCCATAAAAACAAATGGGATCGTGTCCTTTGCAGGGATATGGATGGGGCTAGAGGTCATTATGTTATCCTAAGTGAACTAATGCAGAAAGAGAAAACCAAATACAGCATCTTCTCACTTATAAGTGGGAGTTAAATGATGAGAACATACGGACACAAAGAGAGGAACAATGACTCTGGGACCTACTTGAGGATGGAGGGTGGAAAGGGAGAGAGGAATAGAAAAAAATATCTATTGATTATTAGGCCTAGTACCTGGGTGATAAAATAATCTGTAAGACAAACCCCAGTGATACAAGTTTACCTATGTAATGAATCTTCATATGTACCCGTGAACCTAAAATAAAAGTTTTTAAAAAAACAAACAACAAAATGTCAGGTAGAAAATCTTTTGTATATAGCCCTTCACATTGAAGTGAACCTTAAGAGTAACTTTATAAAACCTGTTTCCAATGTACATAAAAATCTCTGAAGAATAAAACATAGACCCTGAGGACATGACTGCCATTGGGATGAATTTCTGGGTTCTGAGAAAGGATTCTCTTCTAATTGCCTTTGCCTCTCTATTATTAACAATAAAACTCCAACAAAGCTTCTCAACCCCTGTGCCTTCTAAGAAAACACTACATGGTGTTATGCAGGGCTTCCCTGCTCCTGTTAAGACTATACCACAAACTAAGAGCACCGTTCTGTGAATAAACTTCAGAGTCACTGATTCTTGAATATAATCCAAACAAATTTGAGACCAGAAAGCAGGAAGATCATGAAAGAACAATAATCAACAGTTCTGTTACTTTAAATGGAGGCAAATTTTGCTTACTTCATGTAAAAAGTGAAGATGAGTGTTTCACCTCCATTATAGCATTCAATCCAATGGATATAACTTGTTATTGGTCCATTTTCCTGTATCTTCTCTACATCATCAACTGCCATGAAAATGGTGTACCTGTCCCCTGCAACCTACAGAGGAAAAAGCCCATGAGAAAGGCTAGTCAGTGTCTTTTCTATTTTCATAATAATTGTCTCTACTTTATCTCAGGAATACAGAAATACATCTACTCCTCTTGAGCAAAGCAGGGCTCTACTCACTGCCAAGTAGAATCATATTACTTGAAATAGTGCTTCATATTCACATATATGTCACAGAATTGAAAATTTATTGAAATAGCTAAAATGATATAATCCAATTCTATGGAAACTCAAAAAGCGTCATTTTGCCACATTCAATTGTTTTTCCTTTTTTTAACAGAGAAGAAATAAGATGAAAAAATTTTAAGAGTTGGAAGACAGATTGTCTTATGAATATGTACAGAAGTGGAGTGCTGTGCATATACGATTTTATACAACTGTGTGAGCTAGACTGACAAACACACACACACACACACACACACACACACATACACACATAAGATGTCTGAGGTCAAGTTAGTCATGTTACCAGTGAGTGGTCTTGCTCAGATGCAGGGTTTTGGTAAGCACAAATCAGATGAAGCACAACACAGCAGCAAAATCTTCATCTCATTCATGTTTATCTTTCCTCCCCTGGAGAAGCTGAGACTGGATCAGACATTGGAAATAATCTGAATTTGTTCAACTTTTATAGTGTTGATCTGTTGGTATGAAGTGTAACAGATCATTTGTTCATCATACATTTGGTAAAGTATAAGTCCTATAATATTCTCATTTGCAGTGATGGGTTTTTCATGACATTCTGTTGTTTTACTAGTGAAATGAGTTTTAAGAGAAGCTGGAGTTTGTATTGATAATTGACCTTCATGGTAAGTAAATAGACCCAATACATTTGAGGTATTTCAAGGACAGTAATATTTATTTGCTCAGATATCCTAAGTTCTGATACAGTGTATACAGCACAAGACATGTTTCTCCAACTCCTGTACTATTTCTTTAGCTTTGAATAGGTATGTTTAAACTTGTTTTCTAAAACTGAAGATGTTCTTGTGGTATAACAACATTAAAATGTGGCATCTATGTAGAAAGCTGAAACTGGAACCCTTCCTTACACTTTATAAAAAATTAACTCAAGATCAATTAAAGACTTAAACATAAGATCTAAAACCATAAAAACCCTCGAAGAAAGCCTAGGCAATACCGTTCAAGACAGAGGCATGAGCAAAGGCTTCATGACTAAAACACCAAAAGCAATGGCAACAAAAGCAAAGATTGACAAATAAGATCTAAGTAAACTAAAGATCTTCTACACAGCAAAAGAAAATACAGTCAGAGTGAACAGGCAACCTACAGAATGGGTGAAAAGTTTTTCAATATATCCATCTGACAAAGGGCTAATATCTGGAATCTACAAGGAACCTAAACAAATTTACAAGAAAAAAACAAACAACCTCATCAAAAAGTGGGTGAAGGATATGAGCAGACACTTCTCAAAAGAAAACATTTATGTGGCCAACAAACATATGAAAGAAAGCTCATCATCACTGGTCATTAGAGAAATGAAAATAAAAACCACAATGAAATACCATCTCACACCAGGTAGAATGGGGTTCATTAAAAAGGTAAGAAACAGATGCTGGAGAAGATGTAGAGAAATAGGAGTGCTTTTACACTGTTGTTGGGAATGTAGATTAGTTCAATCATTGTGGAAGACAGTGTAGCAATTCCTCAACAATCTAGAACCAGAAATACCATTTGACCCAGCAATCCCATTACGGTATATATCCCATGGCTTATAAACCATTCTACTATAAAGACACATGCACACATAGGTTTATTGCAGTACTATTCACAATAGCAAAGACTTGAAACCAACCCAAATACCCATCAATGATAGACTGGATAAAGAAAATATGGCACATATACAACAGGGAATACTATGCAGCCATAAAAAAGGATGAGTTCATGTCCTTTGTGGGGACATGGATGAGGCTGGAGACCATCATTCTGGGCAAACTGACAAAGGAACAGGAAACCAAAGGTTACGTGTTCTTACTAATAAATAGGAGTTAAACAATGTGAACACATGGACACAGGAAGGGGGACATCACACACCAGGGCCTGTCAGTAGTTGGGGGCCTATGAGAGGGATAGCATTACGAGAAATACCTAATGTAGATGATGGGTTGATGGGTGCAGCAAACCACTATGGCATATGTATACCTATGTAACAAACCTACACATTTTGCACATATCCCATAACTTAAAGTATAATAATAATAAAAAAGTGGCATCTATACCATGAATCACTTGCCAAGAAGTCCCTCAGAGCACTCTATAATTAAATTTAACAAAACATTTTAACAAGAGCAAATTTTTACCTCCTAGTCTACTGAAGAATCCCTTCCAAGTCTACCTCTACAATATAATTTAATATGACCATATGTATACAATCACATGTATACAATTTGATTGTAATCTCAATCCAATTTATGAGAATTCAGCCTTGCTTCTAGTGTCTGATATTTACTCATGTTATCAAACTGTTCCTCTTGGAGCCAGTCTAGATTAGAGAAACCATGAAAAATCAAGCTTAAAATAATACCCAATTGGATGATTTGTTATCAGGTATACACCAGTCCTAACTGAGGATATGATGTTGATTATAAGAAATCAGATAAAAGTGTAATGATTCAGAGTATAAAATAAGGATGGAAACTGAACTGAACCTCTATAAATGAACGGACCTCTAAAACTGAACTGAAAGATGAATTTTAAAAATCTTAATTGAGGTATAAATAACACATAAAAATTTTTACATATTCAGGGACTATTGATAAGCTTTGACATGTAGCCAACTGTGAGACTTTTTTCCCATTCAGCACAATGAACATGTCCATCCATTTCCAATGTGTCTTTTCATTCCTTGTACCCCCACTTTTCTGTCCCAAGAACTGACCCTTTTGTTTTTTGTCACTATGGATACATTGGTATATGTGGGTGATTTTATTTCATTTTTATTTTTATTTGCTTATTATTATTATATTTATATATATATTTATTATACTTTAAGTTCTAGGGTACATGCGCATAACATGCAGGTTTGTTACATATGTACACATGTGCCATGTTGGTGTGCTGCACCCATTAACTCGTCATTTACATTAGGTATATCTCCTAATGCTATCCCTCCCCTCTTCCCCCACTGCACAACAGGCCCCGGTGTGTGATGTTCCCTTTCCTGTGTGCAAGTGTTCTCATTGTTCAATTCCCACCTATGAGTGAGAACATGTAGTGTTTGGTTTTCAGTCCTTGCGATAGTTTGCTGAGAATGATGGTTTCCAGCTTCATCCATGTCCCTACAAAGGACATGAACTCATCATTTTTTATGGTGTATAGTATTCCATGGTGTATATGTGCCACATTTTCTTAATCCAGTCTATCATTGTTGGACATTTGGGATGGTTCCAAATCTTTGCTATTGTGAGTAGTGCCGCAGTAATCATATGTGTGCATTTGTCTTTATAGCAGTATGATTTATATTCCTTTGGGTATATACCCAGTAATGGGATGTCTGGGTCAAATGGTATTTCTAGTTCTAGATCCCTGAGGAATCGCCACACTGTCTTCCACAATGGTTGAACTAGTTTACAGTCCCACCAACAGTGTAAAGGTGTTCATATTTCTCCACAACCTCTCCGGTACCTGTCGTTTCCTGACTTTTTAATGATCGCCATTTTAACTGGTGTGAGATGGTATCCCATTGCGAAATTTATAGCACTAAATGCCCACAAGAGAAAGCAGGAAAGATCTTAAATTAACACCCTAACATCACAATTAAAAGAACTAGAGAAGCAAGAACAAACACATTCAAAAGCTAGCAGAAGGCAAGAAATAACTAAGATCAGAGCAGAACTGAAGGAAATAGAGACACAAAAAAACCCTTCAAAAAATCAATGAATCCAGGAGCTGTTTTTTTGAAAAGATCAACAAAATTGGTAGACTGCTAGCAAGATTAATAAAGAAGAAAAGAGAGAAGAATCAAATAGACACAATAAAAAATGATAAAGGGGATATCACCACTGATCCCACAGAAATACAAACTACCATCAGAGAATACTACAAATACCTCTACGCAAATAAACTAGAAAATCTAGAAGAAATGGATAAGTTTCTCGATGCATACACCCTCCCAAGACTAAACTAGGAAGAAGTTGAGTCTCTTAATAGATCAATAACAGGCTCTGAAATTGAGGCTATAATTAAGAGCTTACCAACCAAAAAAAGTCCAGGACCAGATGGATCAACAGCCGAATTCTACCAGAGGTACAAGGAGGAGCTGTTACCATTCCTTCTGAAACTATTCCAATCAATAGAAAAAGAGGGAATCCTCCCTAACTCATTTTATGAGGCCAGCATCATCCTGATACCAAAGCCTGGCAGAGACACAACAAAAAAGGGAATTTTAGAGCAATATCCCTGATGAACATGGATGCAAAAATCCTCAATAAAATACTGGCAAACTGAATCCAGCAGCACATCAAAAAGCTTATCCACCATGATCAAGTGGGCTTCATCCCTGGGATGCAAGGCTGGTTCAACATATGCAAATCAATAAACGTAATGCAGCATGTGGGTGATTTTTAAAAAAATGGAATCTTAGTGTATGTGTGGTTTTCTTTCCTGGATTTTTTCACTCAGCATAAGGATTTTGATATTTATCTATATTGTGGTTTGCAGAGTTCAATCTCATTTATCACTGAGTGTACTATATGGATATATCATTATTTTAATCCAATTAAATATTGATGGTTAGGTGTTTCCAGGTCTGGACTATTGCCAACACAACTGAACACTCAGTCTTCACTGAGGACTGTGCTGTCATATTTCTTGGGTAGATTTATATGAGTGGAATTGATGGGCCAAAGGTGCATGTATAATTTTACATTCCCATGAACAGTGTATGAGAATTACAGTTGCTCCAAATTCATGTTAACAGTCAGAATGATCATTATCATTTTTAGACATTGTAGTCAGTACATAGTGTTAGCAGATTTACACATTTACTTTACTTTTCTGTATGAAGATGTATAACATCTTTTTATTAGATGTCAGTATATTTTTTTAGTAAGTGTGTCTCTCGAAATCATTTGTCAAATATGGATTGGGTTCCTTTTTATTATCATTGTGTTTGAAAATTTATTTATACACTCTGGATTCAAGTCCTTTTTCATATAGACAATTTACAAATATTTTCTTCTGGTTTGTGGTTTTTGTTTCATTACCTTAACAGTTTGTCTCAAAGACTGAAATACATTAATTTTTTTAAAGTTAATTTTTATTTTTTTTCCACTCATGGGTCATGCTTTGGTAAGAAATATTTGCTTAGCTAAAGGTCTCAGTGGCTTTATAAGAAATATTTGCTTAGCTAAATGTCCTCTAAAGTTCATGTAGCTTTGGTTGTTACATATAGGTCTGTGATTCATTCACTTTCAATTAGTTGTGCTATGTAGCATAAAGTATGCCACAAAGTTCATTTTTTAATCTTTGCATATGAATATTCAATCTTTACAGAAACATTGGTTGAAAAAAAATATTTTCCACTGAATTGCTCACAAAATTATTGCCTATCAAAAACTCATTTTCAGCCAGGAGTGGTGGCTCACACCTGTAAAACCAGAACTTTGTGAGGCCAAGGCAGGAAGATCACTTGAGGTGAGGAGTTCCAAACCAGCAAGGCCAATGTGGTGAAATCCTGTCTCTACTAAAATACAAAAATTAGCTGGTTGTGGTGGCACATGCTTGTAATTCTAGCTACTCAGTAGGCTGAGACAGGAGAATCACTTGAACCCTGGAGGTGGAGGTTGCAGTGAGCTGAGATCGTACCACTGCACTCCACCCTGGGCAACAGAGCAAGATTCCATCTCAAAAAAAAAATTAGATAGATAGATAGTTAGGTAGATGATAGATAGATAGATGGATAGATAGATAGATAGATAGATAGATAGATAGATAGATAGAGCCTCATGGTCTATATATTCCTTTTTCCTCTCCAGGACTGGGTTTCATTTGTTTGTTTGTTTTCATTCTGCTAACTTTGTTTTGGCCAGCATTAAATAAAACAAAGTTAGACTTTGAGGGTCATATGACTTCCTTTAGGGATAGAATAGAATAAAACAAGACTTAAAGAGTCAGAAGACCAATTGTGACTGCCTCACAGAATACCTAGTGTCTGATTTTCCCTTATTTCTCAGTTCACCTTAAAACCTACACAATTAATTCTGATTTTAGATTTCCTAAGTGAACCCAGGTAAGTTGCTTTTTCCTCAAAGGTGAACATTATATCAGTACAAGACATTTATAACCATCTTCTTCCCTAAAGCAGGTTCCTTAATACTGTTTACTGAGATAAACTTCCATATAAAGTCATTATAATTCTGCTGGGGAAAAAAATGTAGAAATAATTCATTTTTTATTGTTTCATTTCACTAATAGCCTTATGAGAATCTCACCTTCAATTCATGGTTTATTCATTGTCTAAACTGCTTCTCTAAGCAGTTGTGAATCCCCAAAGTTTGAGACAGATCTCAGTTAATTTGTAAAGTTTATTTTACCAAGATTGAGGACACACATCTATGACGTAGGCTCAGGAAGTCCTGACGACATGTGGCCATGGTAGTTGTGGCACAGCTGGCTTTATATATCTTAGGGAGACATGAGACAATATAAGTAGTACATTGGTTTGGTCTGGAAGGTGGGACAACTTGAAGCAGGAAGACTGGAATCCAGGAGGGGACTTCCAGGTCACAGATAGGTGAGAGATGAACAGTTGCAGTCTTTTGAGTTTCTGATGAGCCTTTCCAAAGGAGGCAATCAAATATGCTTTTCTCTCTGTGAACAGAGAGATAACTTTGAATAGAATGGGAGGCAGTTTTCTCTAAGCAGTTTCCAGCTTGTGATTTTCTTTTACCCTAGTGATATGGGGGACCCAAGATATTATCCTTTCACACAGTCAAGAAGGGGTAATGGTACTTCACATAATTTTTAGAAGTTTGAAAGAAAAAACCAAACAAATTTCCTCTAATTTCTGTACATCTGGTTATTTTTAAGGACATTGAAATAACCAAATAAACTCATTTTAAAGTGATTTTCATATACCCATGTATGTTTATTTCTTTTTCAAGTAATTTGTTAGGTAAGTACCATCACAATATATTTTGTTCTTACTGTAGGAATGAACAGTGGAACACATGATTTTCATGTCAGTTGAGTGAAAACACTCAGAATATTTATACAAGAGACCCTGATGCCAAGACATGTGGAAGCCTCAGAATCATTCTCCTTGATGTCCTTTTAGTAAAACTTGGCTGCAAGGAGTGTTCAGGCTTTCTCCTCAATTGACTGCTTGACTTCATACTTGGAAAGGATCGATAGTGTTATTGTCTCCTTTAATATTTGCTGTCTTTACTTTTGGTCCAAGATTTTTTCACCCTTTCTGTAATGTATTTCTTTGTATTCTTGTTCTAAATAATCTCCAATCATGAAAGCTATCAAACAAAGTGTTTGTGGATTACAAGATCCTTAGAAATCTACTCCATCATCTATCTCATTTAGTTGATTTCAAGCATGTGCATACTCCATATTTAGAAATTTTAAAGAAAAAAATAAACATAATCCCTGTTAATGGGGAATTCAACCCACTATTAATGAAGAATTCAACCCACTATTTTCTACACTAGCCATTCTTGAGTGTCACTAACCTTTCCAGCTTTTTCTCTTGGAGGTCTACCATCAGGAGTTCCCTGGGAATGTATCCTAAGATCATGTAATCTTAGATCATTGTAACTGCAAATCATGGGGAAAGTAAACTAGTTATTCTGAAGGATTGTTGCAGCAGGTCCATCTCTAGACCCTGAATCCTTTTCTTATTATATCCTTTTTCTTATTATATTCTCTCTTATTATGTCTTATTATATACTTAATATATTTTATCATAGCCTTATTATATCCTTTATATTATTATATCATTTCTTATTATATATCCTTATTATATTCTCATATATATTATATCTTTATAATATTTCTTATTATAACTTTATTATACAGTAAATCTTTCATGTACTGTATTCCTAAAAGTAGTATATGACCTTCAATTCACAACTCTTTCATTTAGTATTGTTGAAAACTAGGGCTAAGGAAAGATTGATGAAAAACAAAGATCACCGGAAGAACATAAACACTTCACAACAAAGAATGCCTTAGGTATTCTTTGTAAGTATTTTCGGTCTTTCCTCCCCACATATATCCAGATTTCTGTAACTATGTAGCAAATATCTCCCAGTTTAAAGTTTTATTTTTTTTTCTTCTTAGATCCTATAAGTTCTTTCTAAACAGTGCCAGAAACCTTTTGATTTTGGTCACCAGGGAGACAGCATTTTTCCTCAATGTACTTACAATCTATAATGGAATAATAAATAACTTGTCAACATTTAGAGACCGGATTCTGTTGGAATTCTGTAAAACAAGCCTCTCAAACAGTAATGTGCTCATTGGTCACCTGAGGATTTTGTTAAAATGCAAGACTTGTATAGCATGTCTAGGATGGAGCCTGGAATTCTGGATTTCTAAGGAGCTTCCTGGCAATGTTATTGCCTTCAGGCCTTAAAATTGTGCTTTTCAGCAAGGATTTAGAGTATTCTTTCCAAAATTGACACTGTTGTAATAGTTTCCTGGTGTACTGGTTTTCCATGCAGACTTCTAGGCTTTTCATATAAAGGTTTGGAGTCACGAGATCTGGGGAAGCATTTCTAAAAGTGTTTATAGGGTACCCATTCCTAAGCAGGGGCAGTTCTGCCTCTCAGGAGAAACACTTGGAAATGTCTGGAGAGATTTTTAGCTGCCATGATGGAGGTGGGAAGGACACTACAACCAGTGTCTCCTGGATAGCAACTAAAGATGCTGCTAAAAAAGCCCAGGACAGCCCCTGCAACAGAAAATATTTTAGCCCAAAGAGTCCATCATACTGAAGTTGAGAAATTACAATTTATGTGTTAACTTATTACTCTCATACATTCTAAAAAACCCAATCCACAGAATAACTTATACACCCCTATGTAATTAATTTATTTCCCTAACTCCTGTGCCTCTCCCTTACTCTGTTCCAGCCTCACTGGACTTGTTGAGGCTCAAAAGCATTTTCACTTGCCCATCCTTACGTTGAAAATCCCAAACACCTGCTCACTCCTTTCCCCTTCTGACTTTAAGTTTTGTTTTATTTTTCTGGTATTAGTCTCCCTGCACTGGAAAGTAAATTCCAAAATAGCTGAGTAGTTATACTTTTTGTTTGGCTGCATTTGAAATCCCTAGGACTGGTTGATGAATAAATTATTGTATGCCTCAGAATGTTTTTCTACTTTAGATTGGACAAACGTAGGCCATCCTGCTGCATAATTTATTGCTGAAAAAATAAAGGCCAAAGTACTTGCTCAGAACCCAGAATCCAGAATCCAGGAGTCACTGATTTAATCTCACTGAAGGACTTTGGGAGGCCAAGGCAGGTGGATCATCTGAGGTCAGGAGTTGGAGACCAGCCTGGTCAACATAGTGAAACCACGTTTCACTAAAAATAAATAAGTTAGCTGGGCAAGGGGCACATGCATGTCATCCCAGCTACTGGGGAGGCTGAGGCAGGAGAATCACTTGAACCCAGGAAGCAGACCTTACATTGATAGAAGATCTCACCAGTGGACTCCAGCCTGGGCAACAGAGTGAGGCTCTGTCTTGAAAAACAAAACAAAATAAAACAAAACAAAACAAAACAAAATAAAATAAAATAAAATAAAATAAAATAAAATAAAATAAACTCACTGAAGGATGCCTTAAATCAAGTGGTTCCAATCAGCAGTGTCACTTGGGCATAAAAGCAGGCTCTCAAAGGTAGGACACAGCAGCTTTGATGTGTTTATAGGAAGTAAGAATGAAATACTATCCCTCACTCTGTGACTAATTGTAATTGAAATACATGAGGAAAGGGGCTGACAGGAGTGATACATTTAACAAGACACATGGGAATGTAAAAAAGGAAGAAAGATGCAAACTGTTGCCTATAGAAGTTCCCACCTAGAAAAAGGATAACAGATGATAAGGATCTCCCTGTGAAATTATTACCACGGTCTTACATCAGCATAGCTTCCAAGGGTGCGTCATGACTCTGATCCAGGAAAGAATTTCTATTTCTTGTTAAATGTCATCCTTGAGGACACTATTCTGTGGCAAACAACCAGGCAAAGGACTCAAAAACCCTAAATGTGAACAGCAGAGGCACAACACTAAATGTTTTCTCAATTTCTCAAGAGATATCCTCTTTCCTGGATTCTTCTATTACGACTATTCCTACTACGGAGAATCCTTCAAATTCATTGAAGTATAGCTGGAAAGAGCTAGTAAAAAAAGTCTGACATACTCCATAGCCCTCATAATCTTTCTGGGAAATTCTAGCCACATATAGTCACAGAAACATATGGAGAGGACTAGATATGATGTCTAACAAATGTCAGAGAGATTTGTGTTATAGGACACCAGGTCTGTATGCCTATTGCATATTAACAGGCCAGTACACTGAAACACCGGAGTTTGTGGCAGAGAAATAGTTTAATGATCTCAGGGTGCAAAATGAGGACATGAGTGTGTATTAGTCTGTTTTCACAGTACTAGAAACAACTACCTGAGACTAGGTAATTTATAAAGAAAAGACGTTTAATTGACTCACAGTTCTGTGTGGCTGGGGAGACCTCAGGAAACTTATGATCATGGCAGTATGTTAAGGGAAAGAAAGGAAAGGGATGTCTTACATGTTGGCAGGTAAGAGAGCAAAGGGGGAAGAGTCTCTTAGAAAGCCATCTGATCTCATGAGAACTCACTCTCTATCATGAGAACAGTGTGTGGGAAACTTTCCCCATGATCCAATAACTTCCCAACAGGCCCTTTCTGACACGTGGGGATTAAAATATGAGATGAGATTTGCGTGGCGACACAGAGCCAGACCACATCAAGAGGAGGCCCTCAAGTTCACTTCCCTGAGGAGTTCTGGGTTCTTGAGGGTATTGTGGAGGGCAGGGGGCTGGAAAGTTAGTGTTTTTGATTTATCAGGGAAAGGGTGATTAAATAATCAGAACGTGGAAGCTGCATTCTCTGGTCAGCCAACTCCTCATGGAGTCCTTTAAAGCAGCTGACATTGGTTGTTTCACTGATATGCAGGATCTGAAAGAATCTCAAAATGGAAAAGTTTAACATTTCATACTGTTGAACCTGTTGTCTATAGAGCAGTTAAGGAAAACTATAATCCAGCATGTACTTGACTCTAATACTAGAGACACCAAATAACCATAAGGTTGAAAGTCAGAAAGCAAGCTGACTTCATAATGAATGGTGAATGGGCTGCAAGCTTTCTTTATTTGTATTTCTCACCATCCCTTCATCACTGATTAATCTTATAAAGTTTACACAGAGACAATGTCAATAGCTTTCAGACAGATGCCATTGTCTCCTCTGTTTGCCTTTTGTTTTATGTTCATGTGTAGGTGTTTTCCTTTTGTTTGTTTGTTCTTTAACAGCTTGTGTGTTTGTCTTACTGAATAATGGGCACTATATTCCTGTATTGTTACTTTAGACATAGTCAGCTTTTGAACACAGGTCTTAATGAAAAATATTTGTAAAAAATATGAAAATTTCCTCCCAAGTTATTGTTGAATACTTGCTAGTGCCACCTTTGAAGCAAAAGCCAATGTCAGCAACAGCCAGTATTAGCAACTTTGAATTACAAACTGGCCTTTCTCAAGTTATATGCACTCTGTGATTTTAATTCTCTGAAGAATGATTAGTATTTCTTGTTATCTTACAATAAATTATTAGAAAATATAGTATAGACCAACATATTATAAATTTTCATCCAAGTGTGCATAATAAAGGATACTCTGTAACGGTTCTCTACCCAATGCTTGCTATATGTTTAATAAATTTTGATTTAGTGCATGCAATGTGCTCACAATAATCTAAGCTTTGAAACTCAGCAATGGTCCACACAGACTTAATTCAAGATTCAGAGAAGTGAGCAGAGATAGTTTAGAAACACATTAAACAGTAATTTTGTCAAATACATTACCCGTTTCTAAGTTCTAGAATGATAAAGGTAAAAGGAACCTGTGTGTTGGGGGCTACATTTTGCGTGGAAACACTATGTCCATAGGAAAGGGTTTCGAAAAAAGCTTTCTGGAAATAATTGGAGAAGCAATTAAATGTGTATCTGTGGATATAACATACAGGGAAGTAGTAATAGAATATGTGAGGCTTCTTGAGAGGTGATGTGGTTGTATTTATGAATTTATCAAAATTTTATACATGCATTCATTTTGATGAAGCATTTCACTTTAAATATTTTTTTTTTAAAATAATTGATACACATAAAAAGTATTCACAGCTGGGTACAGCCTGTAACCCCAACACTTTGGGAGGCTGAGTTGTGTGGAATGCTTGAACACAGGAGATACAGACAAGCCTGAGAAACATAATGAGACCCCATTTCTAAGAAATACAAAATTAATTGTGCATAGTGGCATAGAATTGTGTGCCCAGCTACTTAGGAGTCTGTGGTAGGAGGCTTGCTTGAGCCCAATAAGACAAGGCTGCAGTGTGCCATGATTTAACCACTGCACTGAAGTCAGTGTGACAGAGTGAGAACCTATCTACAAATTAAAAAAAAAAAAAAAAGAAGGAAAGAAAGAATTTACTGACTGGTTGGTTGGTTAGTGATGCTGAAACTTTTAAAAATACTTGACAGTGTGGCAACTATGATACATTCAGGTAAAGGACATGCCCATGACACAGTCTCAGGAGATACTGAGAACATGTGCCAAAGGTGGGCAGGACACAGCTTGGTTTTATACATTTTATGGAAACACAAGACATTAATTAATAGGTGTAAGAGGTACATTCGTTTGGTCCAGAGGGCAGGACAACTTGAAGGGTGGGCAGCTTCCAGGTGATACATGGACTCAAATATTTTTCTGATTGGATATTTGTCAAAAGTGTTCCTCTAAAGTCTTGAAATCAATAGAAGGAAGTGTCTGGGTTAAAATAAGGGGTTGTGGAGACCAGGGTTTTATCAGGCATATCAAGCCTCCAGGTAGCAGGCTTCAGAGAGAATAATTTGTAAATACTTCTTATGAGAGTGTTATCAGAGACTCTTCAGAGTCTGCACTATCAGTCTTAAGGGCTCTACATTAATATAAATGCTGGTGAAGTGTGCCTGAATTCAAAAAGGAGTAAAGAATAATGAATCATGTGGCACCACTCATTCCCATCATGGCCTGAATGACTGTTTCAGATTTACTGTGAAATGCTTTCTCTGAGAGGAGGGTCCATTCAGTTGGTTGATGAGCTTATGATTTTATTTTCGATTTATACTCCCCTCAGGTTCACTTTTTTCTCAGGGGGATTTTGTCTATTTGTACATAAGATGACTATCAAGCTACAGGGAAACTAGAACATATTTTTTTCTAGTCATTTTTTTTTTCTAATTTATTTGTACTCTACTGATATCATGCAACAAAGATGGAAGGAGCAACTAGGAAGTTGTTACATCCCAGAATTTCCATCAGAAGCAGAACATCATGCCACCAAATCCACTGCCACCACCGTATTTTTTTTATTTTATTTTATTTTATTTTTTTTTTTTTTTTTTGAGACAGGGTCTCACTTTGTTACCCTGGCTGGAGTGCAGTGGTGTGATCTTATTTCACTTCAACTTCTGCCTCCCAGATTGAAGCAATTTTCTCACCTCAGCCGCCTTAGTAGTAGAGACTACAGGCCTGCACCACCATGCCTGGCTAATTTTTGTATTTTCAGTAGAGCTGGAGTTGCACCATGTTGGCCAGGCTGTTCTTAAACTCCTAGCATCAAGTGATCCACCTGCCTAGGCCTCCCAAAGTGCTAGGATAACAGGCATGAGCCACTGTGCCTGTCCAGCCTCCACCAAATTTTGTATTCTAGTGTGCTCAACTTCTCCTTTGCTTCTCATCTTCACATTCAATCTGAATTTGGTCATGCCAGTTCTTAAATATAATTCCAACAGTGTGTTTATTTAAGTATGGCATTCTTCTCCACTAAAATACAACTTTTGTGCCTCATGTTACCTGCAGCCCTCTGCAAAATGAATAGGGCTCAAAAGGTCAGATGCAGGGGAAAATAAACATTTAGCATTATTGGTTACATTGGCCTTAGTGTCCTGTTTCCAGAGAATTGAATGAAAAAAGTGAAAATGCAATACTTCCATACAGGTGAAACAGAATATATAAAAAGAAACAAAAGTTTTCCTGTACTAGGCTGACTCACTCCAAGATCCAGGGAAGAACAGGGGTTTGTCAAGGCTTTGACAGCATTATCTGCAGAGCTGGGGCCCAGAAGAGAAAGACACCAGAGTCTCTCCCTCACATCCTGGAGCAAGATTGGGAAAAACAAGTTTTGCTCTTTCAGCTTCCCCCTTCCCCCCTTACTATTCTTACACTTATCTTTGCAAGTTTTGTAAGTTCCTGCTTTTCCCTTCTGGGCAGCACAGTGAAGGTCACAATATATGTCTGAGTTGTAACACCTGGCTTGAGTTGTAAAATCTGTCACTGTTTGATAAACTGTCTTTGTTCTGCTTCTGCAAGCTTGCTTACCTGCCTTACAGGTTTTGCACCATTTTCCAAAGTATGTATAAAAGTGAAGCCCTCTCTCTGTTCAGGTCTCAGCCTTTGGATATTAATCCACTTAGCCAATGGCCACCTAAATAACATCCTCCTGTTCCACCCATTGATCTCATTGGTCTCTCGGGTGCCTTAATTCCCTCAACACAGGAACTTGGAAAATAGTACCTCAGACCAGGTGATCAAGGTCAACATCAAAACCAAAAAGAGGGATGCTTCACCTCTCTGGACTTCCTTCTCGAAACATGTATTCTCAGTCTAATTTTGAGAGGCATTGGAACCAAAGTGGCTCCATCTTGAGTGAAAGCTAGGAAATCAAGGCTGGGTCTTGCTGGGCTGCATTTCCAGAAAGTGAGGTATTCCTAGCCTCTAGATGTTTGTGGTTAAGGAAACAAATTCATAACATTTACTAAACAAACCATCTTAAGAACAGGAGCACTCCTATTTTTGCTTTCAGGATAATAATATAGATTCTTACAAAATATAGTAATTAAGAAAATTAATCCTTTATTACAAATCCTTGTAGCAGAATGTATGTCCCCATGATCTATTTTTATCCTGTATATAAGTGAATATTGTACCTAGGGTAAATGCATTCCTCCTAATACTTTCTGGAATGCCCTACTCTGTCTATGGAGTAGCTGTACTTTCAGTACTTTACTTTCTTAGTAAACTTGCTTTTGCTTTGCACTGTGTACTCACCCTGAATTCCTTCATGTGTGGGATCCAAAAACCCTCTCTTGGGATCTGAACTGGGACCACTTTTTGGTAACACAATTATGAGAAAAAACATTCGTTGTATAAAAACTTAGTGACATCCTAAAAATATCTGACTCGTATTCCCCAAAATGAGCCAGATTTTCAGAAGCAAGGCAACTTTGAGTAACTGTCACAGCCAAGAACAGCTTAAGGAGAAATAAAGACTAAATGTCATGTAGGATGTTGATTGGGATTTTGGAACATAAAAGGGACATTAGTTAAACTAAATGCAATCAGAATAAAGTACAAAGATTAGCTAATAATCATGTATCAGCATTGTTTATTAATTGTGATTAATGTACTATAGTAAAGTAAAAACATGGGAAGGGATGAGATGTATAGCAACTCTCTGTACTACATTCAAGATTTTTCTGTAAAGCAAAGCTATTTTGTAATAAACAGCTACCCATTAACAGGGACTTATACGCTCACATGCTTAGCCCTTTGGGAGGCTGAGATTAGAGGATATCTTGAAGACAGGAGTGAAAGACCAGACTCACAACAAAACTGTCATCTCTACAAAAATAAAAGTAAAGAAAAATTATCTGGATGTGCTGGTGCACATCTGTAGTCACAACTACTTGGGAAGCTGACAGAGGAGGATTTCTTGGCTCCCAGATTTCAAAGCTCCAGTGAGCTATGATTGCACCACTGGACTCCATCCTGGGTGACAGAATGACACTCTGTCTCAAAAAAAAAAAAAAAAAAGGAACACTATGAACTTCTCATTCACTGTTATTTCTCTATCTAGATCATGTGGATTATGAAGCTGGCATAGGAATACTGGCTTGTGGAGAAGTAAGTAAAGAGTGACCAATATGAGTAACAAATTATCCTGGTTACAACATGTTGGCTTAGATAAGGCTGTTGGCTTTAAAGCCATAAGATAATTTTTCTCTTGTGAAACCTATAAAGAGTTCCTAATTTCAGTGGGAAACAGATCATTTATCCACTAACTGTATTTCAGTCTATTTTGTCCCTCTGATTCTGGTAAGAGTACAATGATGTTAGGTCTAATTTGAGCACATGCACACTAACTCCATAGCAGACTTCTTCAAAAAACAACATGTGAGTGCATGGATTAAAACTATCTTTGAAAACAAGACCATGGCTAAGTTGATTTGACAAAGGGGTAAAATCCCTGAAACTACAATTTTGTGTTGAACATTAGGAACAAGCAGCTGTGTTTTGCTTTGGGTCAAAGGGTCATAGCATTCAACTTCCAGGCAATCAAATACCTCTTTCAACATTTTCATCCTTGTGTGTATATATACATGGAAATAGCATTCTATCTTGTCATAATTATGTCCTTATCTCTGGGGACAGACTACAGGATTTGAACAACACTCAGTAGAGAATATGGCATTACTAATACTGCTTTGAAATATTCCAAGTTTTCTCTGCAATGTGTAGATTACATTGAATATGAAAAATTTTCCGTGAAATAATGAGTTAATCTCACCTCACTCAACTGCCAATACCAGAGAAACACAATAAGATGTGGCTATTTTAAATTTCACTCCTGATACAAGATGTTCTAGTCAAATGAGTTCACTTCCCAAATTTCATGCAATACATCTTCCTTCACATTTTCATAATTTCTTAAAAATACACCAAATGCTTGTTGAAATTATTCTTACTTTAAAAAATAACTTTTTATTGTAATTGAAATATCTTTCAAATCCTTTTTCCTTTATACTGTTTCCTTTTCATTCCATTAAATGTTGCTTTTTTTTTTCTTTTGTGAGGCAGAGTCTTCCTCTGTCACCCAGGCTGGAGTGCAGTGGCAGGATCCCGGCTTACTGCAACCTTTGCCTCCCTTGTTCAATCAATTCTCCTGTCTCAGCCTCCCAAGTAGCTGAAGCTACAGTTGCATGTCACCATGCCCAGCTAATTTTTGTATTTTTAGTGGAGAGGGGGTTTTGCGATATTGTTCGTGCTGCTCTCAAACTTGTGGCCTCAGGTGATCCACCACCTCAGTCTCCCAAAGTGCTGGGATTACAGGCATGAGCCACCGTGCCTGGCCAAATGTTGCATTTTTGATGACTGTCTTCATTGCATAAAACATTATTGAATGCTCTATATATATTCAAGATTATATATGTGTGTGTGTGTGTGTGTGTGTGTGTGTATTTAGTGAAACTCCATGCAAGTATGAAAATTTCTTTAAACAATTCCCTGTAACAAGTAGTTTGACCATGAAACATTTATTTTTGCTTTACTTTCAGGAATGTTTACTTATGATTAAAAGGGACAGAATTCCAAAGCCTAATTTTATTTATTCATCTGTTTTTAATCTATCTTTAAATGCATTTTCATGTACTGACAGGGAAAAAGAAGCGTATTACATCAAAATTCCAAAGCACTTAACCACTCATTCATATTTTTTTATTTTAATATCCAGGAAACTATGTCCAATTTTCCTTGTATAATTGAGGTGCTTAGCATTTGTAGACTAGAGGCAAATATGGCAAAGATAAAATAAGTCCAAATTACAAGTCCAGTTTAAATGCTGTTATCTTTGTATTTATAATATAGTTTTAATGAGATAGAGAGAGTAAATAGCTAACAGTAGTTTCATGGGAGAGAGCAGTTGGTTGAAAACATTCATTTATTTTATGAAAAGTAGGAAGAAAATAAAAAGCCCCATGTTAATTTTAAAATAAATATTTCAGCTTTGGCTCTTAGTATTTTGTGCAAAATAGGCTAAATATAATTTTCTCTGAGTTCTGCCTAAAGTATTAAGGCAATGTTTTGGCACAGGCTAAAATCCAAAGGCAATCACATCTATGTTTTCAGGACTGTGCAATAGTTTTCCAATCATTCTTATTTTGAAATTTTTCCTGTAAACACATATTCCAAACACAGAATTCACCATGACCACTGAAGATACACACATTTTTTGATACTCATCATCACTATAAATTTAGAAGTGTTCCTAGGGGCTCCTTCCCTCCTCTCTGCCCATCTTGTTTCTCTGGAGATTGGATACTCCAACTCCAACATCACCTTTCACTCCTCTACCCCTTCCCTTCACTATCATCTATCATCAAGTGCTACCATCTCTGTCTCACTGCTCACCTTGTTTCAGTCCAAGTGATCTAATATTTGAATGACTGCAATGCCTTCCTAACTGACCCCTTTTTATCTCTGATGCCGCATGAATCTTGATAAGCAAAATAGAACTTGTTCTTTTAAAAGTACAAATGGGTTAATGGTTCTCTGTTGCCTTCTGTCTCAGTCACAGGAAATGCCACAATTCATATGAATCCTATAAGGTCGCACCTGACCTGGTCTTCCCACCCTCCCTGACCAGATCTTTTCCCACTGTCCATTCTAACTCTTCCACTTGCAGCAAACAACTCAGCCTGCCACCTCCATACAGCAGAGAGATACACTCATCCCGGATGTTTGTTCCCATTCTTTTCTCTGCTCGGAATAATCATCCCTCAATTAAGGCTTCCTCCATGGATGTCATCCATCTCTTTCTCAGCACCATTCTATTCTTCACAGCTCACTAGTTGACATCTGACATGGGATACATTTTGTTATTTACCTGTTTGTCTACCTTTTCCAATGCAAATGGGAAGCTCCCTGGGAGAAAGGAAAACTCCATAGGAGAAAGGACTTCTAAGCTTTCTCAGCACTTTATGCCCAGTGCCTAAAAAGTACCCAATCAGCATTTGCAGAATTAATGCATGCAATGGTTGCACTCTCCTCATGATATCTGAAAAGTTTTGATGCTTTTGTCTGAGTGGGCACATGGGCAAGCAAACTGATATGACACAGGGAAGTCTTCATACAAAGAATGTCCCCTTCCACCATGTGATCCAGCAAGTGCACTTCCAAAAGAAAATAAATAAATTTATCAAAAAGATACCTGGAGCTGTATATTTATCCCAGCTCTATTCACAATAGCAAAGTTGGAGCGTGTAATCTGTGTCCAGCAATAGATGATTGCATAAAGAAAATGTGTGAAATGGAATACTATTAAGCCATAAGAAATAACAAAATCATTTGTTTTGCAGCAACATGTGTAGAACTGGATGTCATTATGTTAAGATAAATAATGCAGAAACAGAAAGTCAAATACCATATCTTCTCAGTTATCATTGTGAGCTAAATAATGTGTACACGTGGACCATGGACAGAGAGATGGGAATGATAGTCATTGGAGACTGGGAAAGGTGAGAGGGTGGGAAGAGAGAAGATGATGTGAAATTAGTTAATGGCTAAAATATGTGTTATTTGGGCTACAGGCATCCTAGGGCCCTGATTTGACTACTGTGTAATCTATGCATGTAACAAAATTGCACTTGTACCTCAAAAATTTATAAAAAATGTCTCCTGCTGTAGATTTTCCAGGAATATTGCCAGTGATGTGGGCTGATGAGAAAGGTCAAGCCTCCACCTATTATTTCACCTTGTCTTTTAAATCCTCATTCTGCCTCTTCACTCTGAAGCTCTTGTCTTTTTCCAATATTTTTTAGTTACTATTTGTTTCTGCTAAAATTGCAAATTAACTTTCCAGGTCTTGGATTTCTTCAAATGAAAGTATAAAGCAATTTAAAAATTACTCTGAAAACACACACACACACACACACACACACACACACATATATATATACATATTTATGTGTGTGTTTATATATGTATATGTTCTTCATATATATATATATTCTTCATTTATTAGTTTCAGTGATTCTATTTATATATTTATTATTTCCTTTTGTGATTTTATGTTGTGCTTAATTTGCTCTTCTTTTGCTGACTTCTTAAAAAGAAAGAACCTCTATTTTAAATCTTTAAAAGAATCAAACGCCTGTAAAGCTGTAAATATCCCCCAGGGTACTGCTTTAGCTGCATCCCACACACTTTAATAAGTTAAATGCTGACAGCTTCTTAAGTTTTTGTCCATGACCCTTGAGCTATTTACAAACATTTTCCTTCAATTGTCAAATATTCAAAAATTTTCTATATATTTATTTTTATTGGTATTTAACTTAATTGTTTTTTAATCAATGAATATGCCTGATAAGGTTTTGAACTTTTAAAATGTATTATTATTTATTTTGTGGCCCAGAATATAATCTGTCTTTGTGAATGCTTAATGTGCATTTGATGATCAGATACATTCTACAATTTGGGATGAATGTTCTGCAGATGTCGACTATTTCAAGTTTTTTGATAAGATTACATAAGACATTTCTATCTTCACTGATGTTATGTTTGTTACATCATTTACTGAGAAAGGAGAACTACAATCTAACCCTGTAATTTTGAATTGGACTGTTTTCAACTCTATTTCATGTTAGAATTGTACTCTATTTTTGAATACCTATTATTGTTTTCATACATGTTTCTTATTTACATACTTTACTGATGCATTGATTCCTTTCTCATTAGAGAATATCCTATTTTGTATTTGGGTTCCCTATTTTGTTTTTTTGTGGTCTACTTTGTCAGATTTTAATATAGCTACCTCAGATTTATTAGGCCTAAAGTTTGCACAGTGTATCTTGCCAATCAACTTATTTAGAACCTAATGGATTCTAACCATTAATACATGTCTCTTGTAAATAACATGTTGTTAGATTTTTATTTTTATCCAGTCTATTTATTACATCCATATATTAAGGTGTTTAGGTCATTTATATTTTTTACCTAATTTACTGAGGCATAATACATACAGTGAACTGCAACCATTTAAAATACATGGCTTAATGAGTGTGGAAAGACACATTTGCATAACCACATTTTCACTGCAATAAAAATAGAGAACATTTCTATAATTTCAAAACATTCCCTCATTCCCTTTTCCAGCCAAACCCCATCTTTTCCTGGGGCCCCTGGACATCAATGATCTGTTTTTGGACAATGTAAATTGAAAAGCGCTTTCCAGAATATCAAATATATGGAATCATACAAAATGTATCAGTGTGTGTTTATCTTCCTTGGCTCAATATATTGTTTTGAAGCTTTCATGCCTCTGCACAGATTAATGTGTTATTCCTTTCTAAAAATAAGCCCTGATATGATTGCAGGTATATATTACATTTTTAATCTATTTGCATTTTGTTGGACATCTGTCTTCTTCTCAGTTTAAGCTGATTTAGATGTACTTTAATAAATATTTGTGAGCTTTTATGTTTTCATTTTCCTTGAGTAAGTATCAAGAAATAGAATTGCTGGGTTGTATGGTAAATTAATTTTAAAATTTATGCATACTTTCATTCTGTTCCAACCAGCAATAATATTAATTGGCAATCTCTGGATTGGATTCTTCCAATCAAGAAAGTATGGTAAATCTTTCAGTCTTAATATTTGCAGATTTTAGAAATATTTTTGTTTTATATCTCCTTTTTTCTAACATCTATTTATTATTCACCCATGTAACTATTACCTATGCATTTCTCACTTATCTCTATCTCTGTCAAATATCAATCTATATGGCTTCTATTATCTTTCTATCATCCTACTTATATCTATCTGTCATCTATTATCTACCATCTGTCTTTCTATCATCCTATCTCTCTCTCTCTCTATGCATCCATCATGCATCTATCTATGTATCTATTATCTATCTACCTAATCTTTAACCCACTTCACTTGTAATGGCTTTGTTTCTACTTTCTTACAGTTATTTTCTCAAAAACTCAGGTATTTCAAAATACAGATTGATGTCTAAATAAATTATATCCTAGGATTTAAAACCATCAGCTCTCATCACCATTGCTTTCACACTGCTGATCCAATTAGAAAATAACGACCTTCTTTCTGAAAATTTAATCTCACAGTTTGACCCTTACACATAATGCAAGATGTCAACATTTCACTTCTGCTAATTCTTCAAAACCTGTATTTGAGTTCTAATGTCCAAGTCCATTTTTCAGTTATATCTTAATTTTTAACATTGCATCTACTCTTACATTACCTTTATCTAAAATTTCAGAATTAATCTCTGTCATCTAGATTCCATCATCTTTCCGAATTCTTAGAATCCTCACTTCATCAATTTTTCTTCAAATTTTTTTCCTTAAATCATGTCTACTTTCAGGCCTCTCACAACTTAAAAAGGACAAAATGGTACACTATCAACAATTTACTTTTTCTGGCATGAAGCTTATATTTGATAATTCTCCTTACTTTTCTTAACAGCTTATCTTTTGGAGTTGAAACATCTCCTGTCTCAACTTCCTCATTGCTCAATTCACTCCTTAGCCATCCTTAAAAACACGCCTGTTCACCCGTCTTAAAAGTGAAGCATCTCTTGCCAAAATCACAGATGGTTGCATTCCATGCTCCAAATCATACTCTTGCCTTATCATTTCCAATCACTGTAAAATATTCTAGATATTCTCCATCTCTTTGCAAGGCATACCTCTGTGGTGACTGTCTTGACTCTGCTCACTGTGTGCAAATGTTTATGGCATACCCTGGCTCAAACTGAGTCTCCTGAGTTATCTCTGGCTATGCTAATGAGATCTGTTTTCTTGAATTCTCATGCCAAAGAACACATTCCTCCATCTCTGCCTGACAAACCATCAATCCACTTCCTGGCTAATCCCTTGTCATCCTCATGGAGTCAGGTCAGATGAAATCTCTTTCACAAATATCCCCTTATACTTTTTCTGTGAGTTAGTGTCCTAACTAACTAGGATCATGCCTAAAAATATATCAGTATTGTAATCAAATGTTTATTTATTTTTTTCCAGCACATGATTATAATCCTTGAGGAAAAAAACACTGAAAATGTTAGATTTCTTACCTGGGCTTTTCCACTCAGAAGTGGACTTTATCTGGTATAAGCACTCATATTTTGTTTAAAATTGGATGATATTAATTAGCTATGCCTTTTACCTGGAACAAAACTATGCATTATAATTACAATTGTGAATCAGGAAAATGAAATAGAGGAACTTCACATTATTGGACCTGAGTTGGTAAACCACACCAAACTTTGGAGTATTGGGCATGGAAAATGGACCCAGATAGTTCCCATAAAAGTGAAATTTGGGTGCGTGTGTGGGTCACACCTGTCATCCCACCACTTTGAGATGCCAAGACAGGGGAACTCTTAAGGCTAGGCATTCAAGATCAGCCTGGGCAACATAGTGAGACTGTGTGTCTATAATCAATCAATCAATCAGTCAATCAATCTGAGCATGGTGGTGCACCTGTAGTTCCAGGTACTCAGGAGGCTGAGGGGGAAGGATCACTTGAACTGCCCAGCAGTTCAAGACTGCAATGAATTCTGACCATTCCACTGAATTTCTTCCTGGGTGACAGAGAGAGACCAGCTTCCTTAATATCAGTCATTCACAACAAGCCTGGGCAACATAGTGAAACCCTGTCTCTATAAAAAGTAAAAAATTATTGGAGCATGGCAGTGCAACTGTAGTCCCAGATACTCAGGAGACTAAGATGGGAGGACAAATTATGCCCAGCAATTCAAGTCTGCAGTGAGCTATGATTGTGCCACTGCACTTCAACCTGAATGACAGGGTGAGTCCAGATCTCTTACAAAAATATCTAAAAACTGAAATTCAATGAGCACAGTGAAAGCTAGCCCAATTCTGCAAATGGTCTCATTTTCTATGAACTATTCTATCCCTAATTCACACTGAAAAAATATTGACTGCCAAGATGACCAGAAAATTGTCAAAATATCCAGTTAAATTTTGGTCTTTAAATTACAACTTCCATCAATTTCATAAAGAGTTATCTATTATTTTGTTCTCATGTTGATAATTAAGACATATCTGAAACTGGGTGATTTATAAAGGAAAGAAGTTTATTTGACTCACAGCTCAGTATGTCTGAAAAGTTACAACCATGGCAGAAGCAGCAGCAAACACGTCCTTCCTCACATAGTGGCAAGAAGAAGAAGTGCAGAAAAAGCCCTGTAAATAAACATCAGATCTGATGAGAACTCACTCACTATCATAAGAACACCATAGGGGTAACCACCCCATGATTCAATTACCTCCCACTGTGTCCCTCCCATGACATATGGGGATTATGAGAGTGACAGTTCAAGATGAGATTTGGGTGGAACATAGACAAACAATATCAAAGGCTTTGTGAACTCTGGCTATATTGGATAATCCCAGGAATGTTAGAGTAATTACAGTAGTAATAAACCACAAGGAAAAGAGGCAAAAGAAAAAGTATTAACAACAAAGAAGACTTAATATTCTAAAGTTTAAAGAATGTACAAGTATAACTCTCTGCTTGTCTTCTTTATGACAAGGATCTCAGTTTATACAGAAAAAGAGCTAAAGTTTCTTAAAAACAATAAATCGTATAGAGGACATTTTAAAGCACGCTAAAAGGTTTGCTAAAGCAGGCCGTTTCTATAAAAGATGAAAACAACATCAAAATACAATAAATGAAAAAGCAATGATGAGAAAAGAGCACAATGTGGACCATCAGCTGAGAAACCTAGTAAAGAGTAAGGAGCTGCAATCATAGAGATAAAGATGATAAAGAACAGGAAGAAAGAAGAAAATCTGTAGGGAAAACATGAAGAAAGACAGAAAGCATCAGTGTAGAAAAAAATCAATGCAATACAATTTAAAGACATAAAAAAGAATTGGTGTCTAGACAACAGAACTATGCCACCAATCAAACATTACTGATGAAATTTGGACAAACATGTCCAAAATAACTTAACAGCTGAAATCCATCCCTGAAAAGACTCTAGTTATGTCAGCGATACCTAATCAGCCATAATTAAGAAAAAAATAAATAAACTAGGGCGGAAGTATCCTTGTCAAAAAGGTTAGGGTGATTCGTACTCCTTCGGGTTTTTAGACTGGCTTCAGTTTTGTTCTGTGGTAATATCCACCACCAAATAAAAGTGAATAAAACAAATGCAAGGAATGGAGTAAGAACCAAACATTTTTGCAACCAGCCCCTGAAGTTTTTGCATGTTGCATGCATCTCAATATTTTGCATCTTTAGCCCTATTGGGTGTAGAAATAACAGGAAAATATTATTCAATCTAAAGCAAAAATAAACAAAAAACATAACATAATCATGACATTTTATTGTGGACCTTTCTAGAGGACAAATTTAAGGAAAATATTAATGGTCAAAGGGAACGCATATAAAAACATGTGATTAAAGATTAGAAATAGACCTTCTGTATAATTTAAACATACCATTTATATGAAGAAACACTTTTTTCAGTTGCAAGAATTCTTTGAGGTATAGTCTTAGTGAGCTCCCTCAGAATATATTTATTGCATTGCCATTGAGACTGAGTCAATGGAACTTCATGTCCTATTCCTTGTTTGCTGGTGTTAGAAAAGCAAAATGATAAAAAGAAGCACTGAAGTGTGTATGGTTATCGAAGAACAATTCACAATGACAAAGATGTGGAATCAACCTAAGTGCCCAACTGTTGGAGTAGATAACTAAAACATGGTATATATGTACCATGGAATACTACTTAGCCATAAAATGATGAAATAATATACTTTGAAGCAACTTGGCTAGAGCTGGAGGATATTGTTCTAAGTGAAATCAACTTAGGAATAGAAAACTAAATACAATATGTTCTCACGTAATCGGGAGCTAAGCTATGGCTACACAAAGGTATACAGATATAATGGACACTAGAGACTCAGAAGCAGGAAAGGTGAGAGAGAGTTAGGGACGAAAAACTAGATATTGAGGGCCAGGTGCTGTGGCTCATGCCTGTAATCCCAGCACTTTGGGAGGCCAAGGTGGGTGGATCACCGGAGGTCAGGAGTTCCAGATTAGCCTGGACAACATGGCAAAACGCTGTCTTTACTAAAAATGTAAAAACTTAGCCAGGTGTGGTGGCAGGAACCGGTAATCACAGCTATACATGAGGCTGTAGCAGGAGAATCACTTAAATCTTGGAGACAGAGGTTGCAATGAACTGAGATCATGCCACTGCCCTCTAGCCTGGGCAACAAAGTAAGACTCTGTCACCTGCTGCCAAAAAAATAAAGTGCATTAAAATCTCAAAATAACCCCTATACAATTAGTCCAGGTAAGCAGAAACCACTGGTACTCCAAAACAGACTCAAATTTTTAAAAAGAAGCATTGCACTTTAATATTTAAACTACATACTAATTTAAATGTATACTCCACCTCCATATTTCTGCCACAAATGTAACACCCAAGATTGAGAAATATTCTAAAGAAAAAGGAAAGACATAAAGCAATGTAATTTTATCCCATACTATTTCTATAACCCCTTTAATAACAACAAATCCAAAAGTTATAAAAATCGACACGCCAAGTCACAATGGATTTATGATGCAGCGCCCTCTATAGGCAAGAGAGGCTTGTACTTAGTTTGCTAGGGAAGATTCCAAAATAAGCCTCCAAAAACCTGAATGCATGTTTCCATTTCTCTGAAAAACTAAGATTACAGTCTTGGAAGCCTGGGAAATCACAGGGCAAGGTGATCTGGAAACACCAAGAAGCTAAGAGGGACATTGGTCATCTGGGAGAGGCCTTGTGCTATATCACCAGCATTAGGATGGTATTTCAGCATCCACAACCCAGTCTGAAGGCTGAGGAAGACTGCCTTGAAGGGTACTGAAGGCATGGCAACCACAATTGATCGCCAGGGTGAAATGTGTGCTCTCAGCCACACAAAACTGGAATCATGAAAATACTCAGTGGAGGTGTATTCCAGCAAAGGGGGATACTGTATTGCTTGAGAAGACATTCAAGAGTATAAAATGAAATGGAATGTTCAACTGACCCGTTACCGGAGAGGGTCCAGATCCAGAACCAGAGGGACAGTAAGAAAGAATTCAGGGCGAGTCTATAGAGTCACGTGAAAACAAGTTTGTTAAGAAAGTAAACAAATAAAGAATGAGTACTACATAGACAGAATAGCCCCAAGGGCTGATGGTTGCCCATTTTTATGGTTATTTCTTGATTATATGCTAAAAAGAAAAGGGTGGATTATTTATGCCTCATCTTTTTGGACCATGTATAGTAACTTCATGACATTTTCATGACATCTGTAAACTGTCATGGTGCTGGTGGGACTGCCTTTTAGCATGCTAATGCATTTTAATTAGCAAGTAATCTGCCATGAGGAGGATCAGGATTTGGCCGGCTTTTTCTTGCAAACTCTTTTATCAGCAAGGTCTTTATGACCTGTATCTTGTGCTGACCACCTATTCATCCCATGACTTAGAATGCCTAACTGTCTGGGAATGCAGCCTAATATGTCTTAGCCTTATTTTACCCAGTGCCTATTCAAGATGGAGTCACTCTGGAACACACAAGCACTTCTACAAAATCAGTAGGCAAATAGCTTGTTTGATTAATCTCACCATTCCAAAATGAGAACTGTTCTTAAAAGGGCCATTGCCAGTTCCATGAGAGAAAAATGGAAGATTCCAGAAAAATGCAGATGAGAAAACTACTTGTAAAAAAGGAGATGGTGCAAGGAGATGGAGTTCACCAAATTGTTCTCCAGAGACTCACATAAAATACAATGGACATTATCTTTAAATAATTAAACAAGATGTGAATGGTTTCAAAGAAAAATTCTAAAAGGCCAGAAAAGGGTACAAACTGAGATGAGAGAGGTCAATAAATAAATAGCAGCAATGTTAAAATATAGGAAAGCAAGTAACAAAGAGACATGGGGGAACACAAGATAAAACCCTTTATATACATGAGGGAGATTCAAGAGTGAAGCCCACAAAATTAACTACAAACTAAGACAAAAGTCATTTTAGGATTAAAAAATGGTGGAACATTTTATTGCTGTAGAAATAATTACAACAATTGTAAAATGCACAGTATGAAATTACTGAAAGACAAGACTTTAAAAATGACCAAAATATATTTGGATGTTAACCACCACTCTATTCTCTATTTCTATGAATATTTTAGATTGAACATATATATGAGATCATTCAATATTTATCTCTCTGTGTGTGAAAAGTAAAGTAGAGTTTCCTTTTCAAAGACTTTTCTCCCCATCTAATTAGAAATAAATGGCAACTCCTCTTAGAAGCAAAATTTATTCAAAGACCTGTGCTAACATTCTTAAATATCTGCTAGCTATAATAAAGAAATCAATGTACTTTACATTCTGAGCTCCCACAATTTATCCTAAATATTTGTCCTGGCATGCTTATACCAGTCCAAATGTTGGGGGAAAGGCTTATGGGGTACCTGTATAAACTGGCCATTAAAATGTGGGACAATAAGTTGTGGAAAGCCACAAGAGACCTCTGACGAGGAAAGCCTTCTTATCGTCATTATGTTCCCATGCTCTGAGTGAGACTTGCTCTGTTATCCATAAACACTGTGTTCAAGGAGAAGGACACTCCTTAGAAGCATTGGAATGTGACCAGACATGCAAGCTCCTAGTTAAGCCTGCTCCTACTAGCTGCTTTCCAATAAGTTAAAAGATACGCTGTTGAGCACAAAGGAGATTCATTTAAACTGCCACTGCTATAGATTACGCGTATGATGCACTGCCTTTCACCAATTTGCCTTGAACATCTGCTTATTAAATCTAAGTGATTATACTCAAATAATGTGGAGACCAGAACTCTGAGCCTTTTGCAGCCTCCATTCTGAAAGTAGCTCCCTGGCTACTTTATGCCCTCTTAACCTGTCTCTTCCCATTCTTTTGTTGCCACCAGACTTTGGGTACCCTACGGATGGTGTTGAGGCTGGTCTCCAACAGTCCAAGCCAGCATTAGGTCAAAGCCTATTCCTCTTCCTTATCTGAAGATGTTTTTACCTTTCTCAGCATTCCACAAGTTACTTCCTTCTTCCTTTGTTCTCCTCTGCTTTTGCCTCTTTTAAAACTTTCTAAGTTGCTAGCAAATCAAAACAAATACAGAATGAGGTCCCGTTCCAGCCAATGGAAACTGGACACAGCAGTAGGGTGGACGCACCAGGTTATAAATGACCCCGTCTCCTTTGTTCAGTGTAATCTCATGGCAAAACTGCTGGCGAGTGTAGCCTTTCTGCAGAAAGTTTAAAAATGGCCTTACTAAGGAAATTAAATTTATATTCAAGTGTTATTTTTTTACTGCACTGAGGAACGAGCATTTCAAACAAGTGCCATAAATATGTGCCATTACTGTTTCACAATAAAAACAAAAAGTAAATTTGAAAATATTAAGACGGGCATTCAAGATAAAAATTTCAACTTTCCTACGAAATTATGAAAGAAATTACTCTCACATTTCTTTACAGTGACTTCATTAGTATGTGGCGTTGAGGAAATGTCTATGAATTCCAGCAAAAAGGAATAATTATCCAAGACTTTTTTCCTGTCATAAACATGCTAAATTGTCCATCAACAGACTAAAATTTACAATCTAGCAAAAACTTAGTATTCCAGTACTCGTGCAATTTACAGTAAAATTCACTTAACACAATCTAAGCAAGAGGCTGATGTGAGAAATAGGAAAGCAGAAGCTTTCATAAATTATTATTACAGAGTCATCCACCTGAACAAACAACAGAAATAAATTCCCATAGATGTATGAAATATTTTAAATCTTAGAAATGAACATGTAAAATAATATTACAAACGACAGTCATACTAAAGTTTATAGGGAATTATGACAGTTTCATCATCTTTAAGAACAGAAGTCCCTCATAAATCATAATTTAAATAATCAGTTAAATATGCAAAATTTTTCAAATGTAGATACATATATGTGTATATATATATTTTAAACTCTTATTTTAAGTATACATGTGTGTATATGTTACATAGGTAAACTTGTGTCATGAGGATTTGTTGTATAGATTATTTCATTTTATCACCCAGGTATTAAGGCTTGTATCCATTAGTTATTTTTCTTGATCCTCTCCCTCCTCCCACCCTCACCTTCCTATAGTCCCAAGTGTGTGTTATTTCCCTCTATGTGTCCATATGTTCTCATCATTTAACTCTCATTTCTGAGTATGAACATATGATATTTGGTTTTCTGTTCTTCTCGCATAGTTTGCTAAAGATAATGGCCTCTAGCTCTATCCAGATTTGTGAAAAGGACATAATCTTGTTTTTTTTTTTCCTATAGCTACATAATATTCTATGGTGTATATATATCACATTTTCTTTATCCAGTATACACACCGATGGACATTTAGCTTTATTCCATGTCTTTGCTATTGTCAATACTGCTGCAATGAACATATGCATGCATGTGTCTTTATAATAGAATGATATCTATTTCACTGGGTACATACCCAATAATGGGATTGCTGTGTCAAGTAGTATTTCTGCCTCTAGATCTTTAAGAAATCATCACATTGTCTTCCACAATGGTTGAACTAATTTACACTCCCACCAACGGGTAAAAGTATTTCTTTTTCTCTACGATGTCATCAGCATCTGTTTTTTTTTTTTTGGCTTTTTGCTAACTCATTCTGACTGGTATCAGGTGTTATGCCATTTTGGTTTTGACTTGCATTACTCAAATATTCAGTAATGTCGACCTTTTTTCATATGATTGCTGGCCATGTGTATATTTTTAAAACAAAATGAGAGTCAACGTTTAGAAGGAATAAGTACAAGTTACTAAAAACATAACTTTATTTTAAATTTAGAGATCTCTTTAATTTTACATCATAACAAATTTTTTTGTTATAACAAAGTTATTTTCATCTATTAATAAACTTATTAAGCTTTATTTGAAATGCCTGTTTGGTATCAGACAGTCTGCAATGTTTTTATATGGGCAAGTTACTCATAGGTCACTTAGCTTAACCATCCATTTCTCTCTCTCTGTTTCTGTCTCTGTGTGTGTGTATACACACATGCATATATGTGTATGTATATATATATAAAGGTATATGTACACACAACACACATATATGTATATAAAAGTGTTTCTGTTTTTATAGACATATATATATATATATATATAGAAATGTGTGTGTGTTTACAGAAACAGAGAACTCAAAGATCAATATATTATTCTATATCTGATAAACAGTAGCCAAGTTATTTGAAGTAATCTTTACATTTCACTTGCAAAAAAAAGTAACATGTCCTATTTGTAAAAGTGGTTTTGGCTTTGGTTCTTATATAGCAACTCAAAGACATTTTAATGATTACTTTTCTTCAAAATAGTATCTTCCTTAAGTAAAATGCATTTTCATGGAAAATGTCTACAGAATTTGGATATGTCAGAAAAATTAGTTTACTGCAGAAAAGTCATCATAATGTTAATGTCATTTCAGTTTGGAAATAAAAATTTAAAACTTTCCATTACTTTTAAAATTGATTTTCGCTCAGAGGAAATAAAATAAAAACAGTGTTTTATGGAAACCCAATTAAAATATTAAGTCAGTTGTAGAAACACAGCTAAAGTACGGAATGCCTTATTCACTCATAGCTACAACTAAAACGTTTCTGCACTTAGAAATCTACATCAGGGTATTACAATATAAGTGTATCATGTTAGTTCTTAAAGCTTAGAATCTTAAGCTTCTTATTTATCACTAGTTCTCCTAGAGATACACATATTTCCAAAACAGTACAATCTTTAGGGATGATGCCCACAGATGTATTTTTGCAAACTATGCATCCTCAGTGCTAAGAATGTTCATTTGTATTGAATGAGCCAATGAAAGTTCTCATCTTTGTTCCACTTGAAAACAAACATTCCATGATCCACACTCTTTGTCATCTGTCTTCTTTGGTAGGATCTCCAAAATACTTGGCATTCTGAGGGACTAGATAACAGCAAATCTTATGTGGACTATCCTAGAGTGAACACTCAGACCTATAACCTGGCAGTCAGTCATACCTGCACAATTCTCTCTTTGAGTTCGTGAAGTTCATGAGAAGTTCTGTGAAGTCTAAAAATATGTATGTATTTTTTTTTGCAGGAATGCTAATGTCATCTTTTATTTGCTATGGTACAAACCACTGATGGCCAACCCAGTGAGTGTGTCTATATGCAACAGTTTTACAAAGCAGCTGCAAATTATTTGACATTAATCACATCCAAAATTAAAAGATAATATCAAGGTATCTCTTGTACATCGTGGTGACTATAGTTAATAATAATGTAGTATGTACTTGAAAATCATTAAAAACAGTAGATTTGAAGTGTTCTCACCACAAAAAAAAAAAAATGCATGTGAGGTGATGCGTATGTTAACTAGCTTATTTAGCCATTACACGGTGAATACGTAGTTGAAAACATCATGTTATACAAGATAAATATATATAATTTTTCTCAATTGAAAATTATTAATTAATTATTTTAAAGTCGAGGGTGTAAATTTTATCCGCTTGAATCAGGAATGAATTGTGGCTACCTGGACCAACTGAGTACATTAGAAATGATGCTTTGTGGTCATAGTAAGTCCCTTCAGCTTGCACTTTACTTCCATGGGCCACGTATTTTTATGGTGCCTTCTCTTAGCATGCAGTACCCCAGTCTTCATTTCCTGAGAAGCACAGGATACATGGTGAAGCCACATGTTGTTGTTCTGGTCAACCATCTCAACTGAGTCCTGTTTTAAGTTGACTCAGTCCAGGCATGCACCCAGGCATGTGAGTGAAGAAACCATCCTGAATATAGACCAAGATGGTCTGTTCTAAGTGCTGTTCCATCTTCTACCTGTTGGCCTCAGCTCCAGGAGAAACAAACCACCTGCTGTCAGCACCTTATCTATATTTCTCCCCCTAAGAAACAATTAAAGTGAGATTTTCATCACTGAAATTCACACAGCCACATCTATGATTCTGTCTGAAGAAATCAGCCCAGAGTTGCCAATTTGTGCCTTTTTCACCACCTTCCATCTGTACAACAACAGTGTACTTTCTCTAACCGACATAATTAGAATAATCACACACACACACACATACACACACACTCCAAGTTGGAGCCCAACTGGGGAGTCCCTGCTTGTTGCAAATGGCCAGTGGCCCCAACATAAAGCATCACAGTCCTCAGGTCATGTTTCCTCATCAGGGAGGAAGTCACAATAGACAGTGACCCAGTACCTCCAGCAGGCGTGGGGTTTCTCCTGAAGACAAGATGACCATGAGCACAGCCAGATTCTGTGAGTGGTGATCCTGTCTCTTAGAGCCCAAGATGTTGTCTGTCTTGGTCGTTTTCATGAGTCAGTAACAGCTTAGTAGACAGATGGGAATTAAGGTGTGGATTACATTGTGATAAATTAGCTATTATCCAAAAAGAAAGAGACAGAGAGAGATTCATATTTGTAAATGAGCCCTATATCTTCATATATGACTCTGTGTGTGTTGTGTTTGCACAGCACAAAGACCTGTTTTTCTGTGAATAATAAAACAAAGTGACAAATGTATTTCTGTGACAAAATTGCTAATATCATTACACAAATGGCTCCTTGTTTATCGTTCTTTATTACTTTTCCTTAATCTCTAATTGTACCTCTACTCCTTTTCAAAAAATTATATTTGAGTAATACACTAATAAAAGAAAATAATAAATAAAAATAAAACAATACTTTTTATTTTGTTTCAAGTACGTAATTTCAGTTGGAAAAAAATCATGTTACACTAAGGACAAGATCCTAAACCATGCCCCAAGAGCATTGATTAAATTATGCGGTTTCTGCATATGTATGTTATGTGTCAGTATTTTTAGACAAATACTTACATTGTGAAGAGAATGCTTTGTGGATATTCGTTTTGCCAAAGCAAATCATTCTGCATGGCAACAACCTTGGATGAGGTATGTTTATAGACTATAAGAGGAAAATTATTGCCTATGATCTTTAATCTATTTTAATGTCCATTCATATTTTGGCCACTCAGCAGTATAATCAATGTGTAAGAAATAGTACACTTCAAACTCTATATTACATATTCACTTTTACACACACACATTCACACCTTTCAGTTAATGTTTGATCTATCTAAGCAAAACATGTCAAGTTTTTCTGTGAACTGCTCTGAAAATAAACTCAACATATTGCATTTAGAATAGCATCTCCTTATAGTCACTTCCTAAAAGTTATTAGATCAAAATAGAGAGCCTGGAAAAATGAAAACCCCTATCTTTTATTATAGTTAATTATAAAATTTTTTAGATTTTTATCTATAAAATTTTATAGATAATTATCTATAAAAGATAATTATCACTCATTTTAAAACAGCAAAGGAATAAACAAATTTAAAAGGTATTTATGACTGATCAAATATCACTACTTTCTAGTTCATAACTCACATATAAACATGAATTATGGAATAGATCTTTAAAGTATATCTGACATTACATTATTACAGTCTATATTTTTTCACTATCAGCTTTCTATGCCTCTTAAGTTGGCAGAAACAATCTTAATAATGTATTGTTGTAACAAAAGTTCTTACCTGAAACATAACCAGTGAACACAACATGAACTTCTTTGGAACACTAATCTCCCCATACAGTCATACCAGTGACACCTGAATTCAGAGCATAATTTGTACCATTACAAATGTTCTCTTTAATTTTTTTTAAAAACACCTTTAATATGAAAGCTCAGTAGAGTTTTTTGTAATGCAAGCACCAATGTAATAAAATATTTGATAATGTCAGAGTGACAATTTGGGTTTTTCATTTTCCATCTGTATATATATCTCAAAATATGGTGTTTTCTCTCTAGTAAGCTGGCAGTTAGGAAAAGTAGAAACATCTCAAAAGAAGGCAATGTGCAATGTGTTTTTTTAGTTCATCTCCAAGAACTGTATTTGGCAAAAATATATAGAAGTCAGCATAATGTAAAATATCCTCAACTCTCTACTAAGTTTATGTTTCTCCTTTAACTCATTTGTTTCATTCTTTAATACTAAATAATATAAATCAGCAATGCTGTGCCATTTAAATAGCATATATGTTTATTATTTTACTGAAACTGATGGGCTGGTCATAATGACTTACACTGGTAGCCCCAGCACTTTGGGAGGCTGAGTTGGGTGGATGAAGGGGGTCAGGGGTTCAAGATAAGCCTGAGCAACATGGCAAAACCCTTTCACTACAAAAAATACAAAAATTAGCCAGATGTGGTGGTACACACCTATAGTCCTGGCTACTTGGGTGGCTAAGCTAAGAGGACTGCTTGGGCACAGGAGGTGGAGGTTGCGGTGAGCTGATATCATGCCACTGCATTCCAGCCTAAGTGAGAGAGCCACACCTTGTGTTTTTAAAAAAAAATAAAGAAAGAGAGAGAGAAAGAAACTTATGCAGGCAACCCCCAGTTTGGGGCTGAGTTTGGGAAGGTTCTTGCCTTCGCCCGGGAAAGAATTCAAGGGTGAGCCAGTGGTGTTTGACAGCAATTATTCTGAGATGGCAGAAGTACTACTTACTGTTCCTTTCAGAGCAGGGCTACCTCGTAGGCAGTGTGCCCACAGTAACAACTCAGAGGCAGTTCTGCAGTCATATTTATACATCCTTTTAATTACATGCAAATGAAGGGGAATTTATGCAGACATTTCTAGAAAAAGAGTGGTAATTTCCAGATTGTTGGGAAGGAGTGGTAACTCCTGGGTGTTGCTATGGTAATGGTAAACTGACATGGCACACTAGTGGACCTGTCTTATGGAGAGCTCCTTCCATCTTGTCACTGTTTTAACTAGCCCTCAGTTTGGTAAGGTGTGTAAGCCCCACCTCCAGAGTTGGGTCCTGCCTCCTTCCTACCTCTCTGTTTCTGAGACTTGAAACACGGTACTGAGACAAATCCTCAGCAATTTTATCTCTGGAGTAGAAATAGACCAGGGAAAAGATTTATTGACAATTGTAAGGCTGAAGATGCTTTAAGAATTACGAAGGAATCGTCTTGATGAGAGGAACCTGGGATGACTGTGCTGACTGCATTTTCTCTGATCCTTATTCATAATCTTCCGTCTCCAGCTTCATCCTAATCCAACAGATATTCTCTTTGCAAATGAATAGCTTTCAACTCCAGAACCTTCTCTTTGGACTGTACTAATGGTATTGCCAGGAGCTCAAATATATCACCTTCCTCACAGAGATGTTCTTGGTGTCCCTATCAATAAATTGTCTTTCAACAACTAGCCACATCCATAGAAAAAAACATATTGGAGGTTGAAATCCCTCTGAAGAGCTTCAAATATCAGAGATCCCCAGGGATCTGGTGTTGGAGAGTGTTTTTATCTGAGTCATTTCTTTAAACAATTACATCAACATCCTTCATTCCATGCTAACATTTTCTCCATGGAGGGAGGGATAAAAATCTTCCACTAATGCCAAAGAACTATTCCATGATACCATATGCATATATATGTGTATGTGTGTGTGTATATATATATATATATATATATATATATATGTGTGTGTGTGTATATATATATGTATACGTAGTTTTTTGATGTAAGTGATGGCTTTTGTTTCATTACATTATCATATGAAAATGCAAGTGATTATAAATATGGACTATAATTTAGTAGAGGGGGCACTATGAGGAAGGAATTGTTACTTGGAATTACAGAGAGAGATTTGTGGTAAAAGTGAGAATCCTTTGAAGATTTGTCATGGAAAGCAAATAAATAAACTAAAAAAACAAGAAATAAAAATTATCAGTCCTACAAAATCAAAAGTGTATGCCAGAATTGGTGAGCTTTTCAGAAAGGAAAACAAAACAGAACACAATACAACACAATAAAGCAAACCAATAAAAGCCATCACCTAGGAAACTTAATTATATGGACACAAGAGGGTGCCTGTGAATTGAAAAACCTAGTAAGCCATAAACAGCCCCTCACCAGTCCCTCATAAGTCAAAACACAATTTTCCTGGTGGTACAGGAAAATTACACACTGAAAAATAAACAGAAAAAATATACAATTCACTGGAAACTACTGTTAAAATAAAATTCAAAGTGAAACCCAAAAATTTTTAGCCTAACAGGATGCTTCACACAGTGCCCAACAAAGTAAAGAAAAATTTTGGCACAGAACAATAACACCTATAAAGGTTGTTTCCTCAAGTGTTTCTTGATGTGAAGTGCATAGTTAAAACATATAAACAAACCCACCTGGAGAAAAACAGAGTTAGTTATAACCAAAATCACTCACTCAACATCACATAACAAAAACCAAGTATTTTTGTAAATTTTATTCCTTTGGAATTGATATACATTTGCTTTGTCACTAAATGCATAATCAATTTTAATAAATATTTAAATGTAACTGCAGATAAAGTATATTACCTTTTATCGAAGTGTACATTTTGTATACACCCATAAGGGCATCTCATTGATGAATACATTATTTGCTTCCTCTTGTGTTATTTCGTTCACTTGAGTGAGTGTGAATCCTTGCATATCTTATATATTTATGTTATGAAAATTGGTTGCTCTCTTATTTAAAGCATATTCGTAAACATGTCTCTAGTGTTATTTGGAATATTTACTATTACACTTATTTTCTTTTATCACTAGTGCTTTGGCACCTAAATTTTATCTTTTCTTACATAATGATTAAAGCAAAAATTAGAACAGTTAAACCATGTATTATACAACATAATTAAGTGTTGTTGTTTGGAAACAAAGAAGAATATGGACAAACAATTAAATTTTTAAAAATAGGAATAAGGTTCAAATACAAAAATCAAGAAAGTAGTGAGTAGAAAAAAGATTACTGAAATAAAATCGAGACATCATGAGAGATTGATTTGTGTAACATACAGCAAATATGCTTGAAAATTTGTGTGAAATGTCTAATAAAAATAGCTATTTACCAAATGCAACTCATGTACAAAAAGAATCCTTCAATAAAACAATTTTCATTTATCATAGAAAATCATAGAAATATTTCAAATAAGTTATCCTCCAAAAACGCATCTGTTTCAATGGTTTAATAGATTTACTCCAATGTTTCAAATAATTAACAATTGTAATATTTCCTATAAAAATTATAATAAAAATGCAATATTTATATGACTCAAATATGACAAACATTCCTAAGCCTGATTTTCCAAAAAAAAATTGCATAAATCTGAAGTCCAGTAATATGATGCCTCCTGCTTTGTTCCTTTTGCTTAAGATTTTCTCGGGTATATGGTCTCTTTTTTGCTTCCATATGAATTTTAAAATAGTTTTTTTCTAATTCTATGAATAATGTTAATGGTAGGTTAACCAGAATAGCATTGAATGTATAAATTCCTTTGGACAGTATGGTCATTTTAACGATATTGATTCTTCCTTCCTAACATGAGTTTTTTTTTCCCATTTTTTAAGTAATATGAGGGTATAATTTCTTGAATGTCTATGTAACATGACATACCATCATTATTGTCATCATCTGATTCATCACTATGATCATGATGTCATCACTATCATAATCACTACCACCATCAACATTGTCTTCATCATCACCACCATCACTATGACCATAATCAACACCATTATTATCACATCATCATCATTTTCATCATCACCATCATCATCTTCATAGTCATCATCATCATTATCAACATCATCATCAACGCTATCTTCAATATCACCGCCAGGATTGTCATCTACATTATCACCATCATCCCTATCACCATCATCATTATGACCAACAACATGAACATCTCCATCACCACCACCATTATCATATCATCACCATCATCACCATTATTAACATCATTGTCATTGTCACAATTACCATCATCATAATCACCTTTATCATCATCATCGTCATTACCTTATTGTTATATATTACATATTGCTCACCATATGGGTATCAAACCAGAAAATTCATTTATGAGAAGGGGGAAATGTTACTTAATGTCACAGATAGGCTACACAATGCCAAATAGCATGTCAAAGATAATTATGAAATGTCCCATTAGTGCTAGTTTCTTCACTTGCGAAGGAGTGTAGCTTTGTTTATTGAGATAGGCTAGTAGTCAGTAAAGGACAGAAGCTCATAAAACTAAGAGTGATAATTGACATTAAAATTAGTCCAATTTATCCCATTAATTGTTTCATAGATACTGAATTAATAGAGAACTCAAATATTTTACCCTGTTACCCAGCCAAAAAGGAGTAACTGTAATATCTATGGTTAGGTTTTTTTGATGAAGTTTTATCACATTGCCTATGAAACCAAATTCAGTGAGTTAAATCATTTAAATCATAGTCAACTACAGTAGACAATATACAAATCTTCAAATAATACATGTACAAAAAGTTTATTTTTCCAATTCACTTCTCAGATAATTCTTCTGAAATGTGAGTCAATCATCTTCTAGGAAACTTCTCTAACAAATCTCATTGTATACTGAGATTCTCCCAAGTTTGCTATCCCAAAGTTAGTGATCACTCATCTCTGAGTAATGAGCTGATTAAAGAAAATGACCTTTGTTGTTAATTCTGCTCTCAGTACTCCTATAGTACTTTCAAACAGCAGTGATCAGAAGCTGAAATTCCGTGCAACTTTGCAGCACAGTTTCATGGGCATGATTCTATCTTTTCTTTCTTTTCCTTTTTTTTTTTTTTTTTTTTTTTTTTTGAGACGGAATCTCACTGTTTCACAAGGCTGGAGCACAGTGGCACAGTCTTGACTCACTGCAACCTCTGCCTCCCGGGTTCAAGTGATTCTCCTGCCTCAGTCTCCCAATTAGCTGGGACTACAGGCGCCCACCACCACACCCAGCTAATATTTTTGCATTTCCAGCAGAGACAGGGTTTCACCATGTTGGCCAGGATGATCTTGATCTCTTGAACTGGTGATCCACCCTCCTCGACCTCCCAAAGCACTGGGACTACAGGGTGTGGTTCTACCTTATTGGAGCTTAATGAAAAGTGCTTTTTGATGTTACAGTCTATTAAAATAAGGAAAGTAGACATTTTTCTGGGTCATATTTTATTTACTTACAGCAAGGGAACTGGTGGGTCTGTACTAATGGCACAATAAATTATTACATTAATATATTGGACCCCTGAGATCATGAACAAATTCTCAAGAACTATTTTCTTAAAACATCACTTTTAATTATCTTTTCAATTAAAATCATGAAGTCATAAGAGATAATCACATGACAAAATTAAACAGTCGCAATAGAGTGCCAGCTTTGAAAAAAGTCATCATTTCTTAAAATAAAGCTAATTTAAAAATTATTTAAAGAAGTTCATGCATTTAAGCAATTTGTACTAGGCACTAAATTCCTATTACCAGTTTCACTGAATGAGTTTTATCAGTATCCCATACAAAAACAAAAATCTGTCAATTATTTTTATACTTGTATCATTTTTAAACAAAATCATCATGAGTAAATATAGAATTGGGTGTTTTCTGTTAATATTCCAGTAAGAAGGAAATGTCAAATATAAGAAGTTTTTTTTTTTTTTTAATTTTCAGAATGGTAAGTAGTCCTTGTCTTTACTTTAAAAGATCGTGTTTGGCAAGAGGAAAAAAAAATCTTAAAGTCTTTTGAAAACTTCATTTTAAAGTTGTACACACAATGCTTGTACCGCCACAGTGCTAAATAATGACCTCGGACATGTTCTTTGTCTTTTTAAAACCTCACTTTCCTGGAAAATAAGATGATCTCCATGGTTGCTTTTGGTACAATGAAGCTATACTTCATGAAGAAGGAGAAGAAACCTAATGGACCCAGTATGACAGTATTTATTTCAAGATCTAAAGCAACAAAGCATGCTAATAATCTTCATGCATTAACATTTTATTATATTCAGACATCAGGTAGCTTCAGGTGCCTGTCAATTACAGAAATTTGGAAGCTAATGAATCAATAGTCAACACAGGGCTGGTAACTCTCTGAGTTTAATTGTTACATTCAAATATACATGTGAGAAATCATTAACCTGTTCTACCTGATAGATCATGTTTTTCAACACAGGTGGCTATTTTTATTTTCTATGTTCATCTTTAGCCAAGTGAGTTTATAGAGTGGGAAGATACTGTCAATTGCACCCAGCAGTTGAATGCCTGCATAATAAGAAGTGTTACAATGACATAGATGTCACGACTCTACATTTGCATAATGTGCACAAGTGTCAAATCATCCATGGATTTGTTTGTTTGTTTGTGTTTGGTTTGTGTTGTTGTTGGGGGTGGTTGATGGGTTGGTTTTGAAATACGGTCTTGCCCTATCACCCAGCCTGGAGTCAGGTGTCACTATTGCTTAATTGCAGCCTCAAAATCCTGGGCTCAAGTGATCTTCCCACCTTGGCCTCTTGAGTAGCTAGGACCGGAGGCACACACCACCATGCCTGGTGAATAGTTTTGTATTTTTTGTAGAAATGGGATTTCATCTTGTTGCTCAGTCTCATCCATGGGGTTTTTAAAAATAAAAGTCCTCTGAAATAAAAATTAACCTTTCTGCATCTATTGAGATAATCATGTGGTTTTTGTCTTTGGTTCTGTTTATATGCTGGATTACATTTATTGATTTGTGTATATGGAACCAGCCTTGCATCCCAGGGATGAAGCCCACTTGATCATGGTGGATAAGCTTTTTGATATGCTGCTGGATTCAGTTTGCCAGTATTTTATTGAGGATTTTTGCATCAATGTTCATCAAGGATATTGGTCTAAAATTTTCTTTTTTGGTTGTGTCTCTGCCTGGCTTTGGTATCAGGATGATGCTGACCTCATAAAATGAGTTAGGGAGGATTCCCTCTTTTTCTATTGATTGGAATAGTTTCAGAAGCAATGGTAGCAGTTCCTCCTTGTACCTCTGGTAGAATTCGGCTGTGAATCTATCTGGTCCTGGACTCTTTTTGGTTGGTAAGCTATTGATTACTACCACAATTTCAGAGCCTGTTATTGGTCTATTCAGACAGTCAACTTCTTCCTGGTTTAGTCTTGGGAGAGTGTATGTGTTGAGGAATTTATCCATTTCCTCTAGATTTTTTAGTTTATTTGTGAAGAGTTGTTTGTAGTATTCTCTGATGGTAGTTTGTATTTTTGCGGGATCGGTGGTGGTATCCCCTGGCCATCAGATAAATGCAAATCAAAACCACACTGAGATACCATCTCACACCAGTTAGAATGGCAGTCATTAAAAAGTCAGGAAACAACAGGTGCTGGAGAGGATGTGGAGAAATAGGAACACTTTTACACTGTTGGTGGGACTGTAAACTAGTTCAACCATTGTGGAAGTCAGTGTGGTCATTCCTCAGAGATGTAGAACTATAAATACCATTTGACCCAGCCATCCCATTACTGAGTATATACCCTAAGGACTATAAATCATGCTGCTATAAAGACACATGCACACGTATGTCTATTGTGGCACTCTTCACAATAGCAAAGACTTGGAACCAACCCAAATGTCCAACAATGATAGACTGGATTAAGAAAATGTGGCACATATTCACCATGGAATACTATGCAGCCATAAAAAATGATGAGTTCATGTCCTTTGTAGGGACATGGATGAAATTGGAAATCATCATTCTCAGTAAACTATGGCAAGAACAGAAAACCAAACACCGCATATTCTCACTCATAGATGGGAATTGAACAATGAGAACACATGGACACAGGAAGGGGAACATCACACTCTGGGGACTGTTGTGGGGTGGGGGGAGGGGGGAGGGATAGCTTTAGGAGGTATAACTAATGCTAAATGAGGTGCTAATGGGCACAGCGCATCAGCATGACACATGTATACATATATAACTAACCTACACATTGTGCACATGTACTCTAAAACTTAAAGTATAATAATAATAAAATAAAATAATTAACCTTAAATTATAATTTTAAATATGAAAATATCTATCTAAAAAGTACATATAAGTTTCTTATAAGACTTAAATATATCAATGTGTCAGACTGTAATGTGTTGTCTATAACTGATTAGTTGGTTGCCTAATATACAGTTACCAATGATTAAATAATTCATTCTGGAAGATAAGCCTCATGGCTTTTAATAAGGCATCCACACACCCAAAGATTTACCTATTAAAGAAGATAGAATGATTGTACATGACATCACTCTAAATGCATAGCTCAGTCTCTAAAAATGTATTAAGATATGTTGACAAACAATTAAATATGTCAAATAATAAACATATCAAGTAGATTACTGTTCCTAATATTTAAAATAACTTTATAGTCATAGTTACTACATGTCAAATTTTAAACATTGTTCTTCTAGTTCTAGCTGTTTTTATATTTGAATTCAAATATTATTTCTACCTCTGCACATTACAACTATTCAATAGGGCCATTCGTTTCCTATTTCAGTTTTTACAAGCAGTGTTTAGCTTTTTATATCCCAAACTTCCTCACCATCCATAAATACTGGTTACTAAATTCAAACATGTACTACTATTTTCCTGTAAAAATTAATTCACCTTAGTGACCACATGGGGATTGGCGAGTATGCCTGTGTCCCCATGTATTTTAACTTGTCTGTACTTTCTGAGTTTGTTAACGACTCTGTTCAATTTTCCCATTGTCTTGACTGGATAATTTTTTCTCAAAAAGTTGAAATGCTGTTATTTACATTTATTTCTAGAATAAGGCAAAGTGGGCAAGCAAAATTGCCTAACCCAATTTCTTTTCTATCAATTTTTACTAATTTTCGTGTGAAGTATGTGCCCATACGTATTCAAAGAATGATATTTACCAAACTGTCTCCATAGTTGTATCCTGTGTGATAGGCTCTGCCTCTATTTTATTGAAGTGGACACTGACCAATTTGAGTTCATGCTTTTCATATTTTACAAATAACACACTGTAAATCAAACACGTAGTCTTTTACAGGATTGTGTGGTTAAACAAGCAAACTACAATCCCCAAATTGCGGCTTTTGATCTCAATTTTTATGGACCTTTCTGAGAAGAATCTTGCTAAGTTGGTAGCTTTTTTTCTCCATTATCTATGGTATATTTCATTTAACACTCATTATATACTGTTTACATTTTAGAGTAACTCACTAGAACAGTGATTCTCAAATGTTAGTGTAGGTAAGAACATTATGGAAAGCTTTTTAAAACATGGATTTCTGCAAAACCTTCTGATGCAGAAGGTACAGTTTGGTTTCATGCATTTTGCTTCATTTTTATTTTATTTTACTGTAAATTGATAAATTGATAATTTATAATTACATAAATAAATGAGATACAAAGTGTTGTTCAATGCAGAATAATTAAATTAAACTAGTTAGTATATCCTAACATTTTTGTGGTTAGAACATTTATAGTTTACTTTTTTGTCAATTTTGAAGTGTAAAATACTCCACATTACCTATATTCACCACACTTTGTAATATTATCGGAACTCAAAAAAAGGGAATAAATTACTTCTGTCTAATTGAGATTTTGTATCCTTTGACCAAAGCTTTCATTTCCCTTATCCCAGACTCTGAAATTGCTGTTGTCTTCTCTGCTTCTAAGAGTGTGGTGGTTTTATATTTCACGTACATTTAATTTCTAACACATCCCTGGTTTTATTCCTCTGCTGAGCTACAAACCACACTTGAATTACAAAAATGAGGGCTGGGTCATATTTCTTGTTAAAAAGTTAATCTCTAGAGATTAATAAACATGGTAATGCACTAACTGTTAGCTTATGCCACAACATGACTAGACCAGGTTGTTAAGTGTATAGACACAGACTAATGCTTACTTTCCTTGGCATTTCTCTATTTACACTCACATTGTTTTTTCCACATTTTTGGCTTACAATAGAATGGAAGCTTTTACAGTCAACTTGGGGGGATGCAATTTTGCCATAAGATGAAGAGAGACAAGTAGAAAAAAAAAAGAGTAAACATGCTAAAATACAACCTGTCTGTTCATCACATCCTTTCTAAATAAGATTTTCAAGTTATTATTTAAAAGGGACAAAGTGGAAGGTGTATGACTTTTTGATATTGCAATTGTGATTCTACAGGGCAAAGGAAGTCATTTTTGAACATCCTTAGTCATTCTCCCTGAGAAATCATTGTTTTTTTATTTTTTTATTTCCATAGGTTTGGGGGAACAGGTGGTGTTTGGTTACATGAAGAAGTTCTTTAGTGGTGATTTCTGAAATCTTGGTGCAACCATCACCTGAGCAGTATACATGGTAAGCAATGTGTAGTCTCTTATCTGGCACCACTTTCCCACCATTTCCCCTCTAGTCCCCAAAGTCCATTGTATCATTCTTATGCCTTTGTGTCCTCACAGCTTAGCTCCCACCTATGAGTGAGAACATACAATGTTTGGTTTGCCATTCCTGAGTTACTTCACTTAGAATAATTGGATCCAATTCCATCAAGGTCGCTGCAAATGCCTTATTTCATTCCTTTTTATGACTGAGTAGCATTCCATTATATATATATAAAATATTTCATATTTTATATTTTATATAATTATATATTATATATTATAATTTAATATACAATATAATATATATATACAAAAACAATTTATTTTTTAATTTATTATACTTTAAATTCTAGGGTACATGTGCACAATGTGCAGGTTTGTTACATAGGTATACATGTGACATGTTGGTTTGCTGCATGCATCAAGTCAACATTTACATAAGGTATTTCTCCAAATGCTCTCCTACCCTCAGCCCCCTACCTTCTAACGGGTCCCAGTGTGCTATGTTCCCCACCCTGTGTCCATGTGTTCTCATTGTTCAACTCCCATCTATGAGTGAGAACATGTGATGTTTGGTTTTCTGTCCTTGTGATAGTTTGCTGAGAATGATTGTTTCCAGCTTCATGCATGAAGGACATGGCTACATAGTATTCCATGGTGTATATGTGTCATAGTTTCTTAATCCAATCCCACTTGGGTTGGTTCCAAGTCTTTGCTACTGTGACTTGTGGCACAGTAAACATGTGTTCATGTATCTTTATAATAGAATGATTTATAATCCTTTGGGTACGTACCCAGTAATGGGATCGCTGGATCAAATCTAGATCCTTGAGGAATTGCCACAGTCATCCACAATATTTGAACTAATTTACACTCCCACCAATGGTGTAAAAGTGTTCCTATTTCTCCACATCCTCTCCAGCATTTGTTGTTTCCTGACATTTTAATGATCGCCATTCTAACTGGTGTGAGATTTTATCTCATTGTGGTTTTGATTTGCATTTCTCTGATGACCAGGGAAGATGAGCATTTTTTCATATGTCTGTTGGCTGCATAAATGTCTTCTTTTGAGAAGTGTCTGTTCATATGCTTTGCCCACTTTTTGAGGGGATTGTTTGTATTTTTCTGGTAAATTTGTTTAAGTTCTTTGTAGATTCTGGATTTTAGCCCTTTGTCAGATGGGTAGATTGCAAAAATTTTCTTCCATTCTGTAGGTTGCCTGTTTACTCTGATGATAGTTTCTTTTGCTGTGCAGAAGCTCTTTAGTTCAATTAGATCCCATTTGTCTATTTTGGCTTTTGTTGCCATTGCCTTTGGTGTTTTAGTCATGAAGTCTTTGCCTATACCTGTGTGCTGAATGGTATTGCCTTGGTTTTCCTTTAGGGTTTTTATGGTTTTAGGTTTAACATTTAAGTCTTTAATACATCTTGAATTAATTTTTGTATAATGTGTAAGGAAGGGATCCACTTTCAGCTTTCTACATGTGGCTAGCCAGTTTTACCAGCACAATTTATTAAATAGGGAATCCTTTCCCCACTTCTCTTTTTTTGTCAGATTTGTCAAAGATCAGATGGTTGTAGATGTGTAGTGTTATTTCTGAGGCCTCTGTTCTGTTCCATTGGTCTATATATCTGTTTTGATACCAGTACCATGCTGTTTTGGTTACTGTAGCCTTGTAGTATAGTTTGAAGTCATGTATTGATGCCTCTAGCTTTGTTCTTTTTGCTTAGGATTGTCTAGGCTATGCAGTCTCTTTTTTGGTTCCATATGAACTTTAAAGTAGTTTTTCCTGATTCTGTAAAGAAAATCATTGGTAGCTTGATGGGGATGGCATTGAATCTATAAATTACCTTGGGTAGTATGGCCATTTCCATGATATTGATTCTTCCCATTCATGAGCATGGAATGTTCTTCCATTTGTTTGTGTCTTCTTTTATTTCGTTGAGCAGTGGTTTGTAGCTCTCCTTGAAGAGATCCTTCACATCCCTTGTAAGTTGGATTCCTAGGTATTTTATTCTCTTTGGAGCAATTATGAATGGGAGTTCACTCATGATTTGGCTCTCTCTTTGTCTGTTATTGGTGTATAGTGATGCTTCTGATTTTTGCACATTGATATTGTATCCTGAAACTTTGCTGAAGTTGCTTATCAGCTTAAGGATATTTGAGGCTGAGATGACTGGGTTTTCTAAATATACAATCTTGTCATCTGCAAACAGGAAAAATTTGACTTTCTCTTTTCCAAACTGAATACCCTTTATTTGTTTCTCTTGCCTGATTGCCCTGGCCAGAACTTCCAACACTATGTTGAATAGGGGTAGTGAGAGAGGGCATCCTTCTCATCTGCCAGTTTTCAAAGGGAATGCTTCCAGTTTTTGCCCATTCAGTATGATATTGGCCATGGGTTTGTCATAGATAGCTCTTATTATTTTGAGATGCATTCCATCAATACCTTGTTTATTGTGTTTGTAGCATGAAGGCTGTTGAATTTTGTCAAAGGTCTTTTCTACATCTATTGAGATAATCATGTGGTTTTTGCTGTTGGTTCTGCTTATGTGATGAATTACATTTATTGATTTACATATGTTGAACCAGCCTTGCATCCCAGGGATGAGGCCAACTTGATTGTGACAGATAAGCTTTTTGATGTGCTGCTGGATTCAGTTTGTCAATATTTTATTGAGGATTTTCACGTTGATGTTCATCAGGGATATTGGTCTAAAATTCTTTTTTTTGTTATGTCTCTGCCAGGCTGTGGTATCAGGATGACGCTGGCCTCATAAAATGAGTTAAGGAGGCTTACCTCTTTCTCCGCTGATTGTAATAGTATCAAAAGGAATGGTACCAGCTTCTTTTTGTACCTCTAGTAGAATTTGGCTGTGAATCCATCTGGTCCTGAACTTTTTTGGTTGGTAGGCTATTAATTATTGACTCAATTTCAGAGCCTGTTATTCCTCTATTCAGAGACTCAACTTCTTCCTGGTTTAGACATGGGAGGGTATATGTGTCCAGGGATTTTTCCATTTCTTCTAGATTTTCTAGTTAATTTGTGTAGAGGTGTTTACAGTATTCTTTGATAGTAATTTGTATTTCTGTGGGATTGGAGTTGATATCCCCTTTATCAGTTTTAATACCATCTACATGATTTTTCTCCCTTTTCTTCTTTATTAGTCTTGCTAATAGTCTATATATTTTGTTGATCTTTTCAAAAAACCAGCTCTTGGATTCATTGATTTTTTGAAGGTTTTTTGTGTCTCTTTCTCCTTCAGTTCTGCTCCGATCTTAGTTATTTCTTCCCTTCTGTTAGCTTTTGAATTTGTTTATCTTGCTTCTCTAATTCTTTTAATTGTGATATTAGGGTGTCAAATGTAGATCTTTCCTGCTTTCTCTGGTGGGCATTTAGCGCTATAAATTTCCCTCTACACACTGACTTAAATGTATCACAGAGATTCTGATACATTGTGTCTTTGTTCTCATTGGTTTCGAAGAATATATTTATTTGGGCTTTTATTTTGTTATTTACCCAGTAGTCATTCAGGAGCAGGTTGCTCAGTTTCCATGTAGTTGTGAGTTTTGAGTGAATTTGTTAATCCTGAATTCTAATTTGATTGCACTGTGGTCTGAGAGACTGTTTGTTGTGATCTCTGTTCTATTATATTTGCTGAGGAGTGTTTTACATCCAATTTTGTGGTCAACTTTAGAAAAAGTGTGATGTGGTGCTGAGAAGAATGTATATTCTGTTTATTTGGGGTGAAGAGTTTTGTAGATGTCTATTAGGTCTGCTTGGTGCAGTGCTGAATTCAAGTCCTGAATATCCTTGTTAACCCTCTGTATCACTGATCTCTCTAATATTGTCAGTGGGGTGTTAAAGTCTTCCATTATTATTGTATGAGAGTCTATGTCTCTTTATAGGTCTCTCAGAACTTGCTTTATGATTCTGGGTGCTCCTGTATTGGCAGCATATGTATTTAGGATAATTACCTCTTCTTGTTGAATTGATCCCTTTTACCATTGTGTAATGGCCTTCTTTGTCTCTTTTGATCTTTGTTGGTTTAAAGTCTGATTCATCAGAGACTAGAATTGCAATCCCTGCTTTTTGTTTTGTTTTGTTTTCCATTTGCTTGGTAGATCTTCTTCCAACCCTTTATTTTGAGCCTATGCGTGTCTCTGGACATGAGATGGGGCTCCATACCCTTTAAACCAATTCTAAGGTTCTTCTCAACTTCAAATAGTCCTCCTTTCTTCAACTTCTTTCTTCTTGGAGATTTCAAAGTTTGGCTCTCCATTTGCTTAGTAAATATTCTTCCATCCCTTTATTTGGAGCCTATGTGTGTCTTTTTATGTGAGATGGGGCTCCTGAATACAGCACACTGATGGGTCTTGACTATCCAATTTGCCAGTCTGTGTCTTTTAATTGGGAAATTTAGCCCATTTACATTTAAGGTTAATATTGTTATGCATGAATTTGATCCTGTCATTATGATGTTAGCTGGTTATTTTTCCTGTTAATTGATGCAGTTTCTTCATAGCATCAATGGTCTTTACAATTTGGCATGTTTTTGCAGTGGCTGGTACTGGTTGTTCCTTTCCATGTTTAGTGCTTCCTTCAGGAGCTCTTGTAAGGAAGGTCTGGTGGTGACAAAAGTCTCTCAGTATTCACTTCTCTGTAAAGGATTTTATTTCTCCTTCACTTTATGAAGGTTAGTTTGGCTGGATATGAAATTCTGGGTTGAAAAATTCTTTTCTTTAAGAATGTTAAATATTGGCACCCAATTTCTTCTGGCTTGTAGGGTTTCTGGAAAGATCTGCTGTTAGTCTGATGAGCTTTCCTTTGTGGGTAACATGACCTTTCTCTCTGGCTGCCCTTAACATATTTTTTCTTCATTTCAACCTTGGTGAAACTGACAATTATGTGTCTTGGGCTTGCTCTTCTTGAAGAGTGTCTTTGTGGTGGTCTTTGTATTTCTTGAATTTTAATGTTGGTCTGCGTTGCTAGGTTTGTGAATTTCTCCTGGATAATATCCCGAAGAGTGTTTTCTAACTTGCTTCCATTGTTCCTGTTCCTTCCTTTTTTTTTTTTTTTTTTTTTTTTTAATACGGAGTCTCACTCCATCTCCCAGGCTGGAGTGCAGTGGTGTGATCTCGGCTCACTGCAAGCTCCACCTACTGGAATCACACCATTCTTCCACCTCCACATCCCAAGTAGCTGGGGCTACAGGTGCCCATCAGCACGCCTGGCTAATTTTGTTTTTCTTTTTTTAGTAGAGATGGTGTTTCACCATGCTAGCCAAGATGGTCTCGATCTCCTGACCTCATGATCCGCCCGCCTTGGCCTCCCAAAGTGCTGGGATTACAAGTGTGAGACACTGCACTTGGCCTCTTCCTGTCACTTTCAAGTACACCAATCAAACATAGATTTTGTCTCTCCACATAGTCTCATATCTCTTGGAGGTTTTGTTCATTTCTTTTCACTCTTTTTTCTTAATCTTGTCTTCTCACTTTGTTTAATTAATTTGTTCTTCAGTCACGGAATTTGTTCTTCAATCACTGACATCTTTTCTCCCACTTAATTGAATCAGCTATTGAAGCTTGTGCATGCATCACAAAGTTCTTGTGTCATGGTTTTCAGCTCTATCAGGTCACTTAAAGTCTTCTCTACACTGTTTATTCTAGTTAGCCACTCATCTAACCTGTTTTCTAGGTTTTTACCTTCCTTGCAATAGGTTAGAACATGCTCCTTTAGCTTGGAGAAGTTCGTTATTACTACTGACCTTCTGCAGCCTACTTCTGTCAACTCGTCAAATTCATTCTCTACCCAGTTTTGTTTCATTGCTGGCGAGGAGCTGTGATCCTTTGAAGGAGAAGAGGTGCTCTGGTTTTTGGAATTTTCAGCTCTTCTGCTCTGTTTTCTCCCCTTCTTTGTGGTTTTGTCTACATTTGGTCTGTGATATTGGTGACCTACACATGGGATTTTGGTGTGGATGTCCTTTTTGTTGATGTTGATGCTATTTCTTTCCATTTGTTAGTTTTCCTTCTAACAGTCAGGGGCCTCAGCTGCAGGTCTGTTGGTGTTTGCTGGAGGTCCACTCCAGACCCTGTTTGCCTAGGTATCACCAGCAGAGGCCAAAGAACAGCAAATATTGCAGAACAGCAAATATTTCTGCCTGATCATTCCTCTGGAAGTTTTGTCCCAAAGGGGCACCCATATGTATGAGGTGTCTGTCAGCCCTACTGGGATTGTCTCTCAGTCAGGCTACATGGGGGTCAGGGACTCACTTGAGGAGGCGGTTTGTCCTTTCTCAGAGCTTGAACACTGTGCTGGGAGAACTACTGCTCTCTTCAGAGTTGTCAGACAGGGACGTTTCAGTCTGCGGAAGTTGTGTGCTGCCTTTTGTTCAGCTACTCCCTTCCCACAGAGGTGGAGTCTGGAGAGGCAGTAGACTTTGCTGAGCTGCAGTGGGCTCTGCCCAGTTCAAGCTTCTTGGCCACTTTGTTTACCTACTCAAGCCTCAGCAATTGTGGATTCCCCTTCCCCCGCCAGGCTACAGTGTCACAGGTCAATCTCAGACTGCTGTGGTATCAGTGAGCAAGGATCCATGGGCGTGGGACCCACCAAGCCAGGCATGGGAGGGAATCTCCTGGTCTTTCGGTTGCTAAGACCATGGGAAAAGTGCAATATTTGGACAGGGAGTGTACCGTTCCTCCAGGTACAGTCTGTCACGGCTTCCTTTGGCTAGGAAAGGGGAAATCCCCCAACGCTTTGCACCTCCCGGGTGAGGCAACACCCGCCCAGCTTTGGCTCACCCTCTGTGGGCTGCACCCATTGTCCAACCAGTCCCAGTGAGATGAACCAGGTACCTCAGTTGGAAATGCAGAAATCACCCATCTTCTGCGTCAATCTTGCGTGCAGAACAGAGCTGTTCCTATTCGGCCATCTTGGACGTGACTCCGAGAGATTGTTTACTTAACCTTTTTATGAAGCTAAGTATTTTGACATGATGTGTATATTGACTTGAGACATGACTTTTTTTCAAGTCATATTATTCCCTGATTTGGAAGGTTTCAATGTGCATAAAAATATAGATACCCAAATAAGAACTTATTTACTTTTTATTGTATTATTTAGAACCTCTGTTATTTTTCCATTCATTGTAACTCTTTGCTCTTATTAGAAATCCTTTGTAGAAATGATTGCTGAAATCTGGTCTTCAAGTAATTTGAACATTGAAAAATCATTTAACATTTTACATTCTTAGTTGTGTGTATGAAATAAAGTAATGATAGAAACAACAATGACCTAATGTCTCTGACTTGACAGTTTTTCAATCACACCTTCTTCATGGTTTGGATGTAGACAAAGGTAAACTCTAGGTCATTGAAATACCACAGATCTGCTCAAAAAAGTAAAAAAATGGCAGCTGATTATACACACACACACACACACACACACAACAATCACACAGATCATCTGTCTACTTTAGTGATAATTGCTAACATAACTTATTAAGTTGAAGTAAATAAAGTTTTGGTAAACTGAATGCTTCAGTTGAAACCACTAGGGGGTCATTACAGAATATAATTTTACCAGAGACCTGGTGGATGTAGTTGGAGTACATCCTAGTGCTCCTTTTTCAATATGCACCTTCATGCAGATCTTTCAAACCAACTGATTTCACAGACCACCATCAATGGTGACCAATGGAGATCAATACTTGCTAAATTTTGGAAATAAAATAGTAATGGAACTTAGAATCTAGCTATATGTATTTGCTAGTGCTGCCATAACAAAGTCCCACAGAATGTGCGACCTAAACAACATTTATTCTCCTACAGTCCTGGAGACTAAAAGTCTGAGATCAAGGTGTCACAGGGCTACTTCCTCCTAAGCCCTCTCCCCTTGGCTTGTAGATGCCATCTTCTCCCTGTGTCCTCATGTGGTTGTCTCTCTCTGTGTCTGTGTCCCAATCTCTTCTTATAATGATGCCAGTCCTGTTGGATCAGGGCCTACCCTAATGACCTCGTTTTGTTTTAATTGGCACTTTAAAGGACCTATCTCCAAATACAGTCACTGTCTGAGGTACTGGGCTTTAAGACTTTAATATGTGTGTTTGGGGTAAATGCTGCTTACATGAAAATGGAGGCAAAGTAATGTCAAACAAACAATCCAAATACAGTCACTTTCTGAGGTACTGGGCATTAGGACTTTAATATGTGTATTTTAGGTAAATGCTGCTTCCATGAAAATGGAGGCAAAGTAATGCCAAACAATTGGTGAAATTTTTATCAAACAGCTTGTGTCAGACATACCACTGGTGAAAATGTACCATATATATACACAATGGAATACTACGCAGCTATAAAAAAGAATGAGATCACATTCTTTGCAGAAACATGGATGGAGTCCTTAGCAAACTATCATAGGAACAGAAAACCAAATACTGCACATTCTCACTTATAAGCAAGAGCTAAATAATGAGAACACATGGACACTTGGGGAGGAACGACACACACTGGGGTCTATTGGAGGGTGGAGAATGGTAGGATGGAAATAATCAGGAAAAATAACTTAATACTAGCCTTAATACCTAGGTGATGAAACAACCTGTACAATACACCCTCATTACACACTTTTACCTATGTAACAAACTTGCACATACACCTATGAACTTAAAAGTTAAAAAAAGAAGGAACATGTAGAATATAAATTTTATTCTTTTCTTTTTAAATAACTTATAGTAAATAAACCTCAACAGCAGACTTCACATATTTTTATACTGTTGTTAGTAATATTTTCTCCTTCATTTTGTTTCCCATTCCCATGTCTTTTCCCAGATCATACCTGCTTTCAGTATTTACTACTGAAATAACAGAATTGAACACAAACCTATTGTTGGGAATAGGCCCCCAAAATCTGGCCACAAACTGGCCCCAAAACTGGCCATAAACAAAATCTCTGCAGCACTGTGACATGTTCATGATGGCCTCAATGTCCACACGGGAAGGTTGTGTGTTTACTGGAATGAGGGCAAGGAATACCTGGCCACCCAGGTTGGAAAACTGCTTAAAGGCACTCTTAAACCACAAACAATAGCATGAGCGATCTGTGCCTTAAAGACATGCTCCTGCTGCAGATAACTAGCCAAACCCATCACTTTTTTTTTTTTTTTTTTTTGAGACAGAATTTCACTCTGTGGCCCAGGCTGGAGTGCCGTGGCACAATCTCTGCCCATTGCAACCTCCACCTCCTGGATTCAAGCAATTCTCCCATCTCAGCTTCCCAAGTAGCTGGGATTACAGGTGCGTGCCACCATACCTGACTAATTTTTTTATTTTTAGTAGAGACGGGGTTTCACCACGTTGGTCAGGCTGGTCTCAAACTCCTGACCACATGATCCACCCGCCTCTGCCTCCCAAAGTGCTGGGATTACAGGCGTGAGCCACTGCAACTGGCCCAAATCCATCGCTTTATTTTGGCCCATCCTTTATTTCCCTTAAGGAATACTCTTCGTTAAATCTATAATCTATAGAAAAAAATGCTTATCAATGGCTTGCTGTCAATAAATAGGTGGATAAATCTCTGTTTGAGGCACTCAGCTCTGAAGGCTGTGAGACCCCTGATTTCCCACTCCACACACAATATTTCCGTGTGTGTCTCTTTAATTCTTCTAGTGCTGCTGGGTTAGGGTCTCCCCAACTGAGCTGGTCTCTGTACCTCTTCTAACAAGTATAAAAGGTCCATCCTCCTGCCTTCCAATCATTCACTATCTGCTCCCAGACTGCCAGTTTTAAACTTCCATTATTGATCATCAAATGCTTTAATAAACTTTCCTTGTGCTAATTTCCAATTTACTTTCAATTCTGTAACCAACCTATTGCAAATTGCACAATAAAGACATATTTTGACACTTTCTATTTCTCAAGTTTAGCTCTATCTCAGCAAGATTAAGACAGGTGAAGAGGTGAGTTTTTTGGTGTAAATGACCTTCTAAACTCCAAGGAATGGGTTATAAATGGAGACTTTTAAGTAAAAACTTTAAAACATTGCTTTATCACCACTGGTGAATTAATCTCAATATCATACAATATTTAACATTATTTTTCATGAAACAGAATTTTGGAAATAGGAAATACATATGTTCCCATTTACAATATTTATCATACTGATTTTTTAAACTTTTAAGTTCAGGGGTGCATGTGCAGGACTATTACATGGGTAAATGCACATCTTTCATCATGCAGGTAGTAAGCCTAGCACCCATTAGTTATTTTTGCTGATCCTCCCCCTCCTCCCACCTTCCAGTAGGCCACAGTGTGTGTGTTGTTCTCCTCTGTATGTCCCTGTGTTCTCATCATTTAGCTCCCACTTGTAAGTGAGAACATGTGGTATTCAGTTATCTATTCCTGCATTATTTGCTAAGGATAAAGGCCCACAGGCTTCATCCATGTTCCTGCAAAAGACATGATCTTGTTCTTCTGTTATGGCTGCATAGTATTCACGCTGCTTTTAATATAAGAAATACATGCCCTGAACATATATTTTGCATATTTAGTTACCACATAAAACTCAGGATATAGATTCTGATTATGTCTATTGTAGAATCCTGCAACTTACAGTGTTTTTAAAAATTTTTCCATCATTCTCATGTTTTGCTTTAAAACTTTACAGAGAAGACTAGGCATGGCGACTCACGCCTGTAATCTCAGCAGTTTGGGAGGCTGAGGTGGGTGGATCGTTTGAGTTCAAGAGCTTGAGACCAGCCTGCCCAACATTGTGAAACCTTGTCTCTACTAAAAAATAAGAAAATAAAAAAGTTAGGTGGGCATGGGGGTGGGTGCCTGTAGTCCCAGCTATTCAGGAGGCTGAGGCAGGAGAACCACTTGAACCTGGGAAGTGGAGGCTATAGGGAGCTGGGATCATGCCACTGCACTCCACCCTGGGTGACAGAACGAGACAGTCTCTAAACAAATAAAAACAACAAACCAACAACAAAACTTTACAGAGAAAATGAAAAGTAACCACTGTTGATAATTTTCCTCCTCACCATTAGGCATGATTATTCGAATTCTCTCATCATCTAGGATATAGAAGTAAAAAACGTACAAATCACCAAATTGCTAATAAAACTGTAGGAATTATTTATATGTGTTCTTTTCATGTCTCAAGCAGAGAAACTGCATCTCTACAGGTTTCAGCACATTTATCCAGAGTTGTTATGATAAATTTTCCAAAATGATCCGAAATTGCTGGTCCACAAATTCCTTTAAGATTTGTAAAACCTCAAATGTAAATGCAATGTATTTGTATGTGATGGTTTGACTACTCAAGCTTTATCACAAAAGATACCTGTATTTATTTTAAAACATTTTAATAATGTACTTACAGAAGATGTTGCAAAAAAATGCTTCAGAAAAAAAGAAGAGAAGAAAGAAAAACAAACACCAGATTCCAATCCCCCTATTATGCAACTTACAATTTTTTCATTTTTTCAGGAGCAGTCCATAGCTTTTTTGAACCCTCAATATGTCCAGTGTGTTTAATGGCTCTGCCAATCTAGGAAGGAGAGAATCACCAAGAGCAGAAACGTCCTCTACTTGGTCATTTAATTAAAGATAATAAAAGACCATTTTGCTTCTTCACAGGCTTGAGTAAGCAGCATGGAATACTGTAATAGCGATTATTAAATGTTTAAATATCATGCTTAAATTTCTGATTTGGGTTATTATTTTTCAATTTTAAACAGTGCATAGTGACCCTCCCTGTAGATGGCAATATTATTCAAAACACAACATCACCTTTTATCTTCAGGAGATTTGCTGTGCATTACAGGTGAAGTGAGATTGTGTCACAGACATAATATTAAATACATATATTATTTTATATACTTGGGGAATTGGATTTTGGAGATATGGAAAAAAAGACTGAATAAAACTGGCAAAATCTTGACAATTGTTGAAACTTGGTAAATAAACCTAATAGACAGAAAGATGCTAGATGTTTTTTTCTGATTCTCTCCCAACTCCTACCTTCCAATCTCAAGTAGTCCCCAGAGTTTCCCTATATAACAAACCTGCACATGTACCCTGAACCTAAAATAAAAGTTAATACAAAAATAAATAAATAAAATAAAAAGTGCTTCTGTTTTCCTTACATGTGTAAAACAAAACAAAGATCTTAGATAGACAGATAAATGATAGATTGATAGACATCTTGTGTGGTTGAACAAGTGGGCAAAGATAAAACGTGCATCCAATTCCATATGACTTAGTGGATGTTTGTGTTTATTTTTATTTATTTTTTTGATGTCAGAAATCAATATATTACAAAAGAAAGTTGTTTTCCCACTGTTCACTGATTTATTGTCTACTTTTGAATTTGTATAAAAACAACCAATGGTTGATACATGGAGGAAAATCTGGAACATGTTCTACATTACTGTTACTTAGAAAATAATAATAAATATCATTGCTTAGCTATGTAGATGATAGTTTTATTTAAAGGTTTAAGTCAATGAATCACCTAGTTACAACACAGTGTATGACACCAAGCTGCAGGAAGGCCTAGTACATATTTCTTGGATGCCTGGATTAGGGGAATATTTTGGAAGTGGTTTGTAAAATGGATTAAAGATGATATAATGAGCACATGGGCTGAGGGAGTGGAGATAAGGGACTTGAGTGGTGTGCTCATGCACTACTATGCACAACAGTTATGCAACATGAACAGATGAGTCCATCCTAGTGAGTAGAAATGGGTCAAGCATCTGTGAACCTCAAACTGCACTATCTGTGTGTGCTTTTAAAGTGTACAACAGCATCGGACAGACAGCCTGTCAAAAATTGCTGAACATGAATATCCTTTGTTTGCCATATCTGATAATGAAAAAAAGCAAAATTTTGTAGCACTACATGGATTATATGGATGTGCGTGTGTGTGTGTACGTGTGTGCACGAATGCGTACACAAGCTTATGCATCTGTGATAGCCTTTCAAATCAAGTCAAAAATATTTTATTTATATTCTTATTCTATAAATTATTTATAATGTGTGAATTTATATTTGTTATGTTCTGAATTCTAAATTTTGGGTGCATACACACCCAAAATTTCTATGTCAGAGCCTTAACCCCCAGAACCTCAGAATGTGATTATATTTGGAGACAGAATCTTTAAAGAGGTGATTAATGTACAAGGAGGTCACTAGGGTGGGCCCTGATGCATGCAATAGGACTGGTGTCCTTGTAAGAAGAGGACATGAGGATACAGACACACACAGAAGGACAATCCTTTGAGGACTCTTCAAGAGAAGATCTCTTGAAGCCAAGGAGACAGGCCTCAGGAGGAATCAGCCCTGCTCATGCCTTAATCTTAGATTTCCAGCCTCCAGGGCTGTGAGAGAATCAATGTCCGTTGTTTATAAGCCACCCAGTCTATGGTATCCTGTTATGGCAGCTCGAAACAGACTAAGACATCGCATAAGAAGAGGAGATGAGGACACACCCACACACAGAGTGACAACCAGGTGAAGAAACAGGGAGAAGACAGCATCTATAAGACAAAGAGAGAGGACTCACAACTCTGGGAGAATAAATATCTGTCCTTTAAGCTGCTTAGTCTGTCATCCTTTGTTACAGTAGCCCCAAGAGTAAAAAAGGTCCACATTATCCCAATGTATTATTTACAGGAGATACTATATATGTATAAATACATATATACATATGTATAGATACTATATATACACATATATAGATACTATATATATACATATATAGATACATATATATACACATATATATACTATATATATACATATATATATACATATATAGATACTATACATATACATATGTATAGATACTATATATGTATAAATACATTCTTTTAAAAATTTTCAATATCCAGTCATTCCTGGATATTGAGTGACATCTTGTAAGAGCTTTCTTGCTGTTGGGGACTAACTAAAACATCCCTAGGCAGGGCAGGGAATTTTGTAGTAATCTAGTGTTTCTTCATTAATTAAGAAATCAATAAGAGAAAATATATAAGATTATTATGCTAGTATTAGAAGGCATCTTTTTCATTTAGAATGTATCCATAATATAGTTAAGATTATACAAATTTAAAGTGTAATCCTTACTTAGTCCACAGGTACTTATTATTTGAATTTAATAAATGTGTTTTTATAATCAGGTATGTTCTACATTAATCACAATGTAGGTCAGTATAAAAAGATGGTACTCTGAAGAAAATATTCATGGTGCTAAAATTTTATCTTTCCTTAGAAATAATATTTTTTAATCATCTTGAAATATTCAGACTAGAATCCTGATCTGTTTTGCTGAAGTGATGAGACAGACAAAAAGAAGAATGTGATATTAAGTGGCCTGCTGTCAGAAATATGTAGTAATTAGTTTTTGTAATGATGTCTAGAATAATACACATCACTTAAAAGAGGAAAGATAAAATATTAAAAATATTTTTTAAAAAGCCCACATGTCAGAGGAAACTATGATATTTTAAGATACCTTGTGGATGTGAAATGTACCAGTCACAAAAATAAGTGGAATAAATAAAAACATGAGTTACTTATATTAGAAAAATTATAAAGAAATATTTCTTTGTTTTAAGCAACCAAACTTGTAAATGTCGAACCTATGTAATAATCCTAGATGAAAATAGATCTCACTAAGATTTAGCATTGATTGCTAAGGATAATTACACATTTTATGTGTTAAATATACATATACCCTAAAGTTTGCTATTTTAATCATTATTAAATGTACAATTCAGTGGTATTAATTAAAATCACAATGCTGCTCAAGCCATGAGCACTATTTTCAAACCACTTTAATTACTCCAAAGAGAAACTCTGTAGCTCTGACTCCCTTCTTTTCCCTCCCCTGAGCTCCTGGTAACAGTTATCCTATATTTTCTCTCTATGAATTCGGCTATTCCAGTTATTTTATATAAGTGGGATTATGTAATATTTTTCCTTTTATTTCATTAAGCATAATAAACTGTTCATCCACAGTGTGTGTCAGAGTCTCTTTCCCTTCCTTCCTGCCTTTTCTTCCTTCCCTCCTTACTTCCGTTCGTTCGTTCTTTTTTTTTTTTTTTTTGATGTAGATTTGCTCTTGTTGCCCATGCTGGAGTGCAATGGCACAGCCTTGGCTCACTGCAACCTCTGCCACCCGAGTTCAAGTGATTCTCCTGCCCGAGCACCCCAAGTAGCTGGGATTACAGGCATGTGCCAGAACCCTTGGCAAATTTTTGTATTTTTTTTTAGTAGAGACAGAGTTTCACCATTTTGGTCAGGCTGGTCTCAAACTCCTGACCTCAGGTGATCCACCTGCCTTGTCCTCCCAAAGTGCTGGAATTGCAGGCATGAGCCACTGCTCCTGGCTGAGTCTCCTTCCTTTTTAAGACTAAATAATATTCCACTGTATGGATTGGCCACATTTTGATTGGCCGCCGATCAACTGATATACACATGATTTGTTTCCAATTCGTAGCTATTTAAAGAATGCTTCCATGAACACTCATGTATAATTTTCTGTTTGAGTCCTGTCTTTAATTACCTGCACCTGAATTTGAATAGTGAAATTGCTGAGTCATATAGTAATTCTACTTTTAATTTTGAAAGGAAGCATCATATTTTTACCTGTAATGACTATAGCATTTTACATTCTCACCAAAGATGAATAAGTACTCCTACATATCCACATCCTCACCAACACTTGTGACTTTACGATTAAGAATTATTTTGTTTTTTAACATTTTTTTAATTTTTTTTTTGGTAGAAATGCTCTATCACTGTGTTGCCAGGGCTGGTCTCAAACTCTTGGTCTCAATCCTCCCACTTTTGCTTCCCAAAGTGCAGGGATTACAGACATAAGCCAGTACTTCTAGCCAACATTATTTTCAACCGTGTACATATACTAAAGAATTACTCCCAAATTAGACATGACTCACTAAACCCTGGATGAGGACCTATTAAAGATGGTCCTCCTAGGTGAAAGGTAATATCTGAGTTGGAGAGAAAGCAGTGCCTTATTTTTCTAAACCTGAAAGACAATGGTTGGCAAGTGAATTAGTCCATTTTCTATTGCTTATAACAGAATAGGGAAATTAATATTTAAAAAATAATTTATTTATCACAGTTATGGAAGTGAAGATGTCCCAAGTTGAGGAGTGGTATCTTGTAAGAACTTTCTTGCTGTTGGGGACTCATTGAAAATCACCAGGCAGTACAGGGCATCCTATGTTGAGGGGTCTGAGTGCGCTGGCTCAGTTCTCTCTCTTCCCCTCTTATTGTGCCATGAGTCGTACCCCTGTGATAAACCAACAATTCATGAACCTATGAGTCCATGACTTAGCAAATTCTTTCATTCATGTGGAGCCCTCATCACACAAATAGCTCTCCAAGGCCATATCCATCAACCTTGTCACATAGAGGATTATGCTTTAATATGAGTTTTGGAGCAGACAAATATTCAAAACATAGTGGATTTGAAAATAGTGATGATGTTTGCACAGCACTGGGGAGGAGAAAAAGAGGAAAAAGGTAAGTAAATTCAGGTGTCATGGAGACTTAAAAGGAAGAGTTTCTAGAGTTTGACAGTGTGAAAAAAATTGGAGCAGGGTTGAGGGACAGCTTTAAAATAATGAAAACTTTGGAATATTTTACAACTAAACTATTAAATCTGTTACTTTAGTATATTATTGAAGATTCTTCAGAGAGATAGAATCAATAGGATATAGAGATAGATAATACAGATATAGATATAAGAGGATAGACATATATTTAGAGATATAGAGATAAAGATATAGGTTGGGTGTGATGGTTGATGCCTGTAGTCCTAGCACTTTGGGTGACCAAAGCAGGAGGATCCCTCGAGCCCATAGTTCAAAAACAGCCTGGGCCATATGGCAAAGCCCCATCTCTAGAAAAAATGCAAAAACTAGCCAGGTGTCTGGGTGCATACCTATAGACCCAGGTATGCACCAACATACCTGGGACTGCAGGTTTGTTGTAGTCTGAGGTGAGGCTGAGGTGAAGGGATGGCTTCAAACTGGGAGGTTGAGGCTGCAGTGAGCCAAGATCACACCACTGAACTCCAGTTTAGGCTATATAGCAAGAGCCTGTCTCCAAAAAGAAAAGATATATTGATTACAGATATAGATAAAGTTAGCTATTTATAGGCATAGATATAGATGTATAAGAGGAAACTTAAAGGGGGATTGGCTCATGCAGTTATGGAGGATGAGAAGTCCCACCACAAGCTATGTCAAGTCAGAGAACCAGGGAGCCCAGGAGCATGGCTCAATTCATTTCCGAATATCTCATAACTAGGGAAGCTGAAGGTGTAACTCTCATTCCGAGGCTAAAGGCCTGAGGACCTGTGAGGTAACTGGTATAGTCCTGGAGTTCAAAAGCGAGAGAACCTGGAATTCTGTTGTCTAAGGGAAGGAGAAGTGTATCCCACCTCCAGCTTTAGGAGGAAGACAGTGTGTGTGTGTGTGTGTGTGTGTGTGTGTGTGTGTGTGTGTGTGTGTGTGTCTGTCTGTCTGTATTTTTTTCGGCCTTTTTTGTTTTTCTAGCTGGGCCCTTAGCCAATTGAGTGATATTTCCACACACAGAAAGTAGATCTTCTTTACTCAATCTCCTGATTTAAAAGGCAGTCTTTTCTGGAAACTCTCTCACAGGTACACCCAGAAATAATGCTTGACCAGGTATCTGGGTAACCCTCAATCCAGTCAAGTTGACACTTAAAATTAATTAACTACCACCATTCAGTACATAAACTTAGTCTGATGCATTAACAAATAAAATCAATGTTTTTTTTTTTCTAGGAAGGTTGTTTGAAACTATCAGGTATAATAGATCATACTACTAACCTAAAGCTACCAAAGATCAATATTGATTCTTGATTAGAAGAAATTTAATGAAGTGATTTTTTATAGTGGTAATTAGTGCACAATGTTTTGCTGTAAGTTTTCTGAAACACTGTTCAGTTGTACTTACTTTTATCCAAGATGAAAGATAGTCCTTAATTGTCTTTTAGACTGATTTAGTACTTAATATTTTATATCTTATTTTCAAACTATGGTAATAAAAATATTCTTATATACATGAAAATAAACAAATCAATGGAAATATCCTAATTTTCATCCCTTATCATTGTACTGAATCCTTAGTTTATTGGGAAGAATAATTTATAAAAACCCTAAACCCCTTAGTGAGTAGTAGAAGATAATGTAACAAAATGAAAACTATTTGTAGGTTATTACTTTATGTCTAAATATTTCATGAATAAACATTCATGAATGTAAAATAATCACTAAAAAACCAGCAATATATTTCTAAAGATAACCTACCAAACATGATAAACTCCAAATCATCTTTCATTTTTTCCTTTCTACCCACAGAAATATGAATATCTGTAAAGTTTTGAGGTGAATATTTCATTTCCCAATTAACTAGTGTCTTGTTTTGATATTGAAGAATGAGCTCTTTTTCTACTTCACTTGAATTGACAAGTTCATGGATGGGAAGGTGTCACCTGCAACCTCCTTGCAACAGCACATGTGCTTAAGGAAGTTTGTCTTTGAAGAGATGGTCCTTCAACACTAGGCTGCAACTGACCTACCTTTTGCAATAGGAAGTGGCTGCCCTGTGGCCCCATGTGTCTTCTCTGGGCATCATGCCCATAGTGTGTTACCAGAGGAGGCCTAAATCCTTTTGGTCTCCCCTATATATCAGGGAATAGTATGTGTTATTTGCCTGCAATGTTCTCCCTCCAGGTTTTCCCAGAGCGGGTTCCTTCTCTTTCTTCAATTCTGAGTCAACATCTCCAGTCCAATGGCTCTATAAGGAGTAATTTTTCCTCTCAAATTTCTCATCATGATTATGGATTTATTTGCTTCTTTAATGTATCTCTCCTCCCAGTAGGCTGTTGGCCAAAAAGATTGGGAATTCATAACTCTCTCACTAGCGTTTTGAATAGTAAAGGGAAATTGACAGTGATGAAGAATATCTGTTGAATGAATTCACAAAAGAAATTCAGTGTTAATTAATACAGCCAGATAGAGGTTAAAAATGAAATCAATCACTAAAGGACAGAATGCAGATAGGCATTCTGACAATTGCCTAACAATGTGTCTTCAGACAATTTGATTGCTGTGCAAATATCATAGACTATGCTTATACAAACCTGAATAGCATAGCTGATCACATATTTAGGCTATATGTTATGGTGTATTTTCTACCTGGTTACTCACTTGTACAGCCTGATACTCCTCTGAATACTGTAGACAATTGCAGCTCAGTGATAAGTATTTGTATACCTAAAAAAAAAATGAACACAGAAAAAGTAATGTGTTGCTCTATGATGCTGCAATGACTGCATGTCACTAGACTAAAGGAATTTTTCAGCTTTGTTACAATCCCCTGGGCCCACATCATTTATGTGCTCTATTATCAAAATATTGTTATGTGGTACATGACTGTAATTTAAATATGTATGCTGCTGATAGAAACTCTGCCTAAATCAAAAGTGTACCTACATTTAAACTATGACTACATTAGATACATACCAACAAACAGACATGCACTGGTAAAATAGTGATGATAAGATGGTTTTTCTATTGTGATTTTTATATTATCATGTTATTCTTTTTAGCATAATTTAGCAAGTTTGTTATTTCTATAATGTTTATATCTTTAGTTAAAATATATCTCATTCTAAGTTTTTATTTAAAAGAATGAACATCTTTTATTTTCTGGTTGTTAATGACCTTTGACCCATGGATAAGACCTGAAAGTCCCTTATCTACTCTATATTATTCTACTGCATTTATCTCCCCTGACATTTAAATTACATAATATTTTTTAATTGTTTCACAGCCTGTTGGTCTTATGTAGGGACGATTCTGCTTGAACAGCAGTAATCTGTTTTATTTCATCATGGTGAAACACAACAGATAAAATAAGCTTCAGCGAGTGCTTGTCAAGAAATATAAAAGGTACTAAAAAATTGTGAACCACATCAGCTTATCTAGGTGGTAATGCAATGGCAGCTTATAGAAGGTTTCTAACATCCCCATCATTCCACATCTGGCACATGTGTATTCACAAAGGACTAAGCTAAAGTCCACCTGAAAAGACCACCTCAATTTAGGTGAATGAAATCAGAAATATTTACCAAATCAACTGTAAATGCCAAATATTTACCAATCATATACCATATGTAAATAAAAGATGAGGGTAAGGCACCTCATCTTTTATGTCTACTCTCTCTCTCAGTGTGTGGAAATATCACCCAATTGGCTGGAGTCCCAGCTACTGGGGAGGCTGAAGTGAAAGAATGGCTTGGTCCTGGAATGTCAAGGATGCAGTGAGCCAAGATCACACCACTGAACTCCAGTTTCTGTGACATAGCAAGAACCTGTCTCCAAAAAAAAAAAAAGATATATTGATTACAGATATAGATAAAGATAGCTATTGAGAGGCATAGATATAGATGTATGAGAGGCAACTTATAAGGGGATTTGCTCATGCAATTATGGAGGATGAGAACTCCCACCAAAAACGATGTCCAAGTTAGAGAACTCCAGAACCCAGTAGCATGGCTCAGATCAATTTTGAAAATCTTGGAACCAGGGAAGCTGATGGTATAATTCTCATTCTGAGGACAAAGGCTAGAGGACCTGTGGAGCACCCTCATCTTTTTTGTCCATATGGTATGAGTGATTGCCCCAACGGTAAGATCAGCCCACTGAAGCCAACTATTCATAATTTTATCTCATCAAGGACATACAGTTGTTTGTCCACCCCATTGCCCTCAACTGGACTCCCATTTGTCTGGAATATATTATTCCTAAATACCCAACAATTAATTGAGTAACATGCAAAATAAATAGAGATGGGGCAAATCTTCAGGTGTACTGGACGTTACAGGAAAAGTTTGAGGACCACCTGCTGAATATTTTATTCAAAGAGGAAAAAGAAAAGAAGCAGTAGGCTGGGGAGGAGGAGAAGAAGAAGAAAGGGAGAACATGAGTAGGAAGATAAAAAGAATAGAAAGAGACGGAGAGAGAAATGAGTGAGCAAAGCTTGGACCACACAGTTTCTCAGTTCTTACGTGAGGATGACTGATGATGACGTTGTGCACATATGATCTTTCAAAATGATTGAATTGAAGGGGTAATTATGCCATGTTATCATATGATTTTCAGAAATACTCATCAAAGCAGACACTGTGCAAACATTGGAAATATATGACGTGTAACACAAACTTCCTAAATGAGACTCTGTCATTTACAACAACATGGATGGAAGTGGAGATCATTAAGTTCAGTGAAATAAACCAGATATAGAAAGACAAACATCACATGTTCTCACTTATTTGTGGAAGCTAAAGATTAAAACAATTGAACGCACGGAAATAGAGAGTGGAAGGAAGGTTACCAGAGGCTGGGAAGCATAGTGGTTGGTGGAGGGGAAGTTGGGGATGGTTAATCAATAAATAAAATACTTACATGAATCAGATCATAGCACAACAGGCTGACTACAGTAAAAATAATTTAGTTATACACTTTAAAATAACTAAAAAAGTATAATTTCATTGTAAAAAAAAGTAATTGCTTAAAGTATTGAATGTCCCATTCACACTGATATGAGTATTACATATTGTGTGTCTATATAAAAATATCTGATATGCCCCATAAATACATACAGCTACTATGGACCCACATAAATTAAAAATCAGAAGTTTTTAAAGGAGAATTTCCTAAATTCAAAAGCTGTTACCACCTGCTTACATAGAATTAATCCTTCCCTTCCTCTCTCAGCCTCTCTCGATCTTACACACACAAACCTGGACACACACACACACACACACACACACACACACTTCATGACAGTTCTGATTATCTAGCTGAAAATATATTAAATTTATGCCTCAAAGAAGCTTCATCTCTAACATTAGCTAATAAATTAAGTAGTTTTCTGGGAAGAATACTTGCAAGTACAATGGTGTTGTAAGTTTGTCAAAACTTATACAACTTCATAAGTGGCATAACAGAACAAGGTTGAAGTGAGGCAGTCTGTATTGAATTAGAACAATTAATATCCTTTTCCCAATAACAAATGAACTTGATATGTCTCCTGACGTAAAAAGCATTAAATGGCTTATATATAATATTATATCATAAGAAATAAAACTGGCTGGAAGAGATAAACCAACAGAAAGTTAATTAAAATATATCCAAGTGTGAAGCTACCAGCAGCCTGTCACAATGAATTTCCTAGCAAAAAACTGAGAGGATTATGAATATTAAAAATCTAATAAGAAATTACACAGTATTTAACTTGAAAGGACAGTGTATGCATAATAATAGAATAACAGTGTTACATAAATACATAAAGTTACAACATAATCTTCATATTTTAATGACAATAATTGTCAATTTCTTATAAATCTACAAATGCACACATAATAAGACTTAGAAGATCAATTCCTAAATATTTAACCAAGAAAAATTAAAATGTATCCATATTTGTATAAGAACTTCCATAGCAGGTTGATTCATAAAACCCCAATAGTACAAATACTCCAGACATTGTAAGAGAAGAAAAGAGAAAGTGTGGCATACTTAATATGGACTACCAATAATTACGTAATAAAAAATAGGACTACTGATATAAACAATAACATTGAAGAACCTTTACAAAATGATGTTGATAGAGAGAACCCACAATAATACAAACTGTATATTTTTATTTACATAAAATTAGAGTAAAAAAAAAGAAACCCATGGTGAAAAAGAATGTTGTTCCCTAACTGGGTGGGAATGAGAATTGACTGAGACTAAAGGAGAGAGCTGAGTGAGTTCTTCACCTTCATAGAAGTTTGTTATACAGGTATACGCATTTGTCAAGATTTTGTGCAGGTATACTCAGGATTATGCATTTTACTTTGGGTTGCAAATTTTACCTAAACTAAAACAAAAAGAACCATAAACAAGTATTAATAGTATGCATACTAAAGTATTGGGTGATGGGAAGTAATGTTATTTGCCACTTATTTTTAAATATTTTTTAAAAAAGACAACTAGCTTGAATAAAGAGAACTATAAGTCAATAGCTAGCTATATAGCAAACCAATTAAAATATGATACATCTGTACAGATGTTATAAGGGTGTTTACAGTTCTTTCACTTTACCTGCATATTTCAGAATTTGAATATTACATATTGGAAAAATAAGAACAGCATTAGTATATTTCAGTAAATGCTAAAGCGTACATCTATAATGAAGGCAAAGAAACAAAAAACAAGTTGCAAAAATTATGAAGAAATACAGAAACTGGTATACTAAATAAACTTTGATAATTGTTTATTGTTAATTGCTGCTTTTAAGAGTATCCAGATAATACTGATTGAAAAGTAGGCTTTACATAGCCTTTAGAAACTTTACCTTTATGATATTGGAGAAACTATTCCTGGCTTTCTCATAAGCAGAAAAAAATATTTCATCTGTATTTTGGGGATTATTTTTGCTTTTCTTCTTTTATGTACTTTTTTCTAATTTGTGTAAATTTAAGGGGTACAAGTGCAATTTGTTACATGGATGTTTTGAGTGGTGGTAAAGTCTGAGTTTTTAGTGTATCCACCACCTGAATAAGGCAAATTGTCCCATGAAGTAAATTCTCATTCATCACAACCTCCCACCTTCCCACCCTTTCAACTCTCCAGTGTCCATTGTTCTAAATCAGTGATTCGCCAAACTTTTGGCAGCAGGTACTGATTTTGTGGAAGACAATTTTTCCATGGATCTGTGGGTGGAGTGTAGATGGTTTCAGGCTGAAACTGCTCCACCTAAGATCATCAGGTGTTAGATTCTCATAAAGAGTGCACAAACCAGATCCCTCTCATGTACCAGTCAATGGCCTTGGGGTAAGGGACTCCTGTTCTGCCTTATGCTTCAATGTGTAGACATTATTAATCTCCAAGTTGTAAGTTAGTACACATGGTTTTTGTCTTTCTGTTTCTGAGTTGTTTTACTTGAGATAATGGCCCCCAGTTGCATGCATGTTGCTGCAAAAAACAAACAAATAAACAAAAAAAAGGTTTCATTCTTTTTTATGGCTTAATAATATTCTATTGTGTACATATACCACATTTTGTTCATGAAATCATCTATTGATGGACACTTAATTTGCTTCCGTATCTTCTCTATTGTGAATATTACTGTAATAAACATGTGAGTACAGGTATATTTTTGATATAATGATTTATTTTCTTCTGGGTGGATACCCAGTAGTAGGATGGCTAGATCAAATGGTAGTTACACTTTTAGTTTTCTGAAGAATCTCTACAGTGTTTTCCATAGAGATTGTACTAATTTATATTCCTACCAACTATGTATAAGCATTCTTTTTTTTTTAACCTCACCAATATCTGTTACTTTTTGTCTTTAATAATAGTCATTTTAACTGGTGTATGATGGTATCTCATTGTAATTTTAACCTGCATTTCTCTAATTATTTCAGCAATTTTTCATATGTTTGTATAAGTATTTGTATATCTCCTTTGAAAAATAGCTATTTATGTTTTTTGCCTACTCCTTAATGGAGTTCCATGGTTTTAGTTGTTTTTGTTGATGTTTTTGAGTTTCTACTAATTCTGGATCTATATTTCAATTGAGGATTAACTTGCAAACAATGTTGGTTTTTATTTTTTCCACAGAGATACAAAGTTATTACATAAATTTATAAACTGGAGCTGCAATATGGATTAGATAATAAACACATTCTTTCAATTATTTTGTACATATGCATAAAAAGATTTTTTAATTATAATTTAAGTTTTAGGGTACATGTGCACAATGTGCAGGTTTGTTACATATTAGGAGATATACTTAATGTTAAAAAAGATTATTCTTAAGAGAGAACTATAACGTTAATTTCTCAGATCTTCTTATAAATTTTAGTACACTGGAGATTGTATCATACATTATTACAACAGCTTCCACAATTAAATGAATTCTAATCATATTTTGTAGAATATAAAGTAGTAATGTATAACATCAAATTAATAAAAATATTTTAATCTGATTTCTTCATAAATGTAATAACTAGTAATTTAGCTATTCTTTTTGAAAGACGTGATCACAAAAAAGGAACTAATCTCTCAACAAATATATAAGCATATTATTTGCATATAAATATATTATTTGCATAAGTTTATAAATTTAGCTTTATTTTCTCCTAATAACATTAACACAGGAACTGTATTCAGCATTAAACCTTTGAGCACAGATTCTTCATTTTAAGATATAAAAGTTATTGACATGAGATTTATAATATTTTAATCATTGTAATATTTTAATTATTGTTGTAATATAATGGCATATTCACCAGATTCTTGAGAAAAGATTGCTCTAATCAGCCTATTTATTTAAAATTGTTTAAGATAGGTAAGTGTTCCTAGCTTAGCAGTTATTGCAATCAGAAATGGGAAGACTTCAAGAATTTCTATGTTGCTCTTCGGAAGTGTAAAGTCATTTAGCTGTATGATCCTTTATTGCCATTTTTTTTCTGACAGATTTTATGAATTTATCTTTGTCTCAAACGTTCATCATGTTGTATTAATGTGAGTCTATTTTATTTAATATGCGGGTAATTAATTTTTTTCTGGGACCTGGTTTTTCATTTCTGGGAAAGGCATTATTTTTTAATGTGAATCCTACTGGCAACCTTTTGGACACATTTTTTTCTTTTGAGACAGGATCTCAGCCTGTCAAGCAGCTTGGAGTGCAGTGGCACCATCAAAGCCCATTGCAGCCTCATCTACCCTGGCTTAAGTGATCCTCTTACCTCAGCTTCCCAAATAGCTGAGACTACAGGTACACACCACCACACCTGGATAATTTTGATATCTTTTGTAGACATGGGGTTTTTCCATCTTGCCCAGCATTATCTTAAAGTCCTGGGCTGAAGTTACCTTCTCACCTTGGTCTCCCAAAGTGCTGAAATTACAGGTGTGAGCCACTGAGCCTGGCCAGACCTTTTTTTTTTTTTTTTTTTTTTTTTTTTTTTTTTTTTTTTTTTTTTTTTTTTTTTTGTCGGGGAGACGGAGTCTCACTCTGTCGCCAGGCTGGAGTGCAGTGGCTTATGATCTCGGCCCACTGCAACCTCTGCCTCTTGGGTTTCACCACTTTGGCCAGGATGGACTCGATCTCTTGACATCGTGATCCACCTGTCTCGGTCTCCCAAAGTGCTGGGATTACAGCCGTGACCCACCGTGCCCTGCAACAGACAAATGTTTATAGATGTTATAGGTTATACTTTCTCCATGTGTTAATTGCCTTTATTAATTCCTTAATTGTAATTTTAAAATTTTCAAAGTCTTGGCGATTGTATAATCTAAAATTCTCTTCTTATTTTTTCAGGTGTGACTCAATTACTTCATTCTACAATCTCTCTTGATAATTTATAAGTGCTTCCTTTTTTATTTTTTATTTTTTCTTAGGTAGGATTTGAAATTATTCCATTCATTTTTTCTGTCTTTTAACAATAGCACTACCTCCCTATGCAAGTACATACTTTTCCTAATAGTAGTTTCAAATACAATTTTGGCTGCTTGTCAGTTATATTTTGAATGTGTCTAAAATTATTTAGTTCCTACTCTCTTTTCTACTCATAAAATCAGTTTTATATAGTTATTAACCTATTTCTCTGCCAACTCCTAAATTTCTACTGAGTCATTTTAGGACATTAAAACCCGACTAGTATTATAATTTTCCTTATGGTATATTTCTTGCTTTTAATAACTTTATTTTGGCAATGACATAATACATTCATAGTTAATAACCTTTTCCATTTTGCCTTATTGTTCTCCATGGTTTTACACTTTTTCTGTTGAGATATGTGCACAGTTGATTTTGCAGACCTTTAAATTAGGTATTGACAATGAAATTCCTTTTAATTAGTTGGGTGCTTTTTTTTTACTAGAATTTCTTTTTGGACACAGGGTCTTCCTCTGTTGCCCAGGCTGTAGTGCAGTGGTGTCATCTCAGCTCATTGAAGCCTTAGTCTCCCAGGCTCAAACAATCATCCCACCTCAGCCTCCTAAGTATCTGGAACCACAGATATCTACTACCACATCTGGCAATTTTTTTTATTTTTTATTTTGTAGAGTAAGGGTTTCACCATGTTGTCCAGGCTGGTCTCAAACTCCTGGGCTCAAATGATCCTCCCACTTCAGCCTCTCACACTGCTAGGATTACAGGAGTAAGTCACTGCACCTGACTTTGAATATTCTTATTTAGCTCAGAAAACAGCTTTTGAGCTGAACTTCCTTAAATGCTATAGTTGCCAATTATATGTCATTGCTATTATTAATATGAATGTTATTGTTACTAATATCATTTTATTGTTGTTTGTACAACTTACCGTCTGTTTCCTCCAGCAGCTCAGTTTTCTGGGAATGTCATTTATGTGTTCAGATTCCCAGGTCTTCTAATTTGAAGGACTCATTTATTTGTGGACTGACTGGATCTTAAACCCTGTTATTAGAGTATTTTAAATTGCTGTGCCTCCTTGGAAGTACAGATAAAATGGTCTCAACCACCATCGGCCATTAATCAGCAGAGGTCACCATGGGCAGCCTATGGAAATCAGCAGGGGACGTCTGTGCATTAAAGAAATCAGGCTCACTCACTTTACATCATTGCAGCATCTGAGGAAATCCCCATGAAACCATTGTCTGCCACTTTCTGGTCCCCACCCTGAGATTTCCTGAAACTGCATTTCTGATCCTTATTGCATCCATGAAGGAGAGTGCTCCATGTAAATTCCCTTGCTGTCGTTCCAACTACATCCAAACTTCATTCTTACACAACTTTCTGGCGGCCTCAGACATCAAGTCCAGGAGGGTCCAGTTGCTGGATCCTTGAGTTCAGGTGAATTGAATTGCATTAGAGATATCTTTCCAGAATCACCTTCCACAAATCGTCATTTATGAACTCATATATTACATGTGTTTCTCATCCTTTTAGTATTAAATATATATCAGATATTTGGCTCAACTGTTTCAATGATTGGGATGGAATGAATGCAGTTTTAGATCATTAATAATAACCTGGATTTTTATTATATATATATTTCTAAGAGTTAAAGAAAGAAGAGGGAAACATGAAAAGTGGCTCAACAGTCAAAGGTATGTTTATTTTGGAGAATAAAAATAAGAGGAACTTCTGGCCAATTTTGATCAGGAGTACTCTCTCTTACAGACTAAGAGTATTTAAGGTTTTATGGCAAGATAGCTTATCGCAGGTTTGGAATGTTTTTGTGTGGAGGAGAAATTTATTGTGGGGTTGGAATGTCTCTGGTTGGAGGGGAGATTATTGCGAGTCTGTCACGTCTCTAGTCGAGGAGGGGTTTAACTCAGATTTGGAATGTCTCTGATCAGAGATGTCATTTGTGGTTTATGGTCATGCTGATGTTAGCCATTAGACTGATGCCCTTTGGGTTGGACTTAGGCAGTTTTTGATAAAGGGGAACTTTAAAATAGCGCTGCTTGTCCAAGATGGTAATGCCTATGCTCTGCCAATATTATGTACAAATACAATTTTCATAAATTTCTTAATAAGAAAGTTCCAATCTCCTCTACTCATCTCTTCTTTCAATATCTTCTTTTCTGGTTCCTCTTGTCTCATACCTACTTACCCTGATTGTCATCCAAGGACTCAATCCCAGTATCATGAGTCCTAAAAAATATTTTTTCGTACATATTTTGACATAAAGAACACCTGGCTAGAAGCAATATCCCCTGAATGTAGGTCCTGAGAATGAGACAGCTGACACCTTTTATTAATTGGTAAAGAAGGCGACAAGCTTTGAATGAGACCATAGAGTGGGGGACATTTGTGTGCATGTCACTTTCATCCTGTTTTGCTTTTATCTCTCTCCTTTTCTCTCTCTTTCTCCCTCTTTCTATATGTGTTTGTTTTCATATGTGTGTGTGTGTTTTAATTTCTTTTGTTCAATTTTTTTAAATTATACTTTAAGTTCTAGGATACATGAGGAAAACATCCAGGTTTTTTACATAGGTATAGAGATGCCATGGTAGTTTGCTGCACCCATCAACCGAACATTGACATTAGCTATTTCTCTAAAGCTGTCCCTCCCTTGGCCCCCCATCCCCTGACAGGCCCCTGTGTTTGATGAACCCTGCCCTGTGTCCATGTGTTCTCATTGTTCAACTCCCAATTATGAGTGAGAACATGCAATATTTGGTTTTCTGTTCTTGTGTTAGTTTGTTAAGATGATGGTTTCCAACTTCATCTATGTCCCTGCAAAGGACACTAACTCATTCTTTTTATGGCTGCATAGCATTCTATGTTGTATATGTGCTACATTTTCTTTATCCAGTCTATTATTGATGGGCATTTAGTTTGATTCCAAGTCTTTGCTATTGTGAATAGTGCTCCAATAAACATATGTGTGCGTGTGTCTTTATAGCAGAATGATTTATAATCCTTTGAGTATATTCCCAGTAATGGAATTGCTAGGTCAAATGATATTTCTTTTTCTAGGTTCTTGAAGAATCGCCACACTTTCTTCCAAACTGGTAAAACTAATTTACACTGCCACCAACAGTGTAAAAGTATTCCCTATTCCTCCACATTCTCTCCAGCATCTGCTGTTTCCTGACATTTTAATGAATGCCATTCTAACTTGAGTGAGATGGTATCTCATGGTGGTTTTGACTTGCATTTCTCTAATGACCAGTGACAATGAGCTTTATTTTTTTCTCATATGTTTGTTGGCCGCATAAATGTCTCTTTTGAGAAGTGTCTGTTCATATACTTCATCCATTTTTTAATATATTTGTTTGTTTTTTTCTTGTAAATTTGTTTAAGTTCCTTTTAGATTCAGGATATTAACCTTTTGTCAGATGGACAGATTGCAAAATTTTTCTCTCATTCCATAGTTGGCTCATTCATCCTGATGATTGCTTCTTTTGCTGTGCAGAAGCTCTTTAGTTTAATTAGATCTCATTTTTCAATTTTGGCTTTTGTTGCCGTTGCTTTTGGTGTTTTAGTCATTTGCTCATGTCTATATACTGAATGGTATTGCCTAGGTTTTCTTCTACAGTTTTTATGGTTTTAGGTCTTATATTTAAGTCATTAATCCACTTTGATTTAATTTTTGTATAAGGTGTAAAGAAGGGGTCCAGTTTTAGTTTTCTTCATATGGCTAGCCAGTTTTCCCAACACCATGTATTAAGTAGAGAATCTTTTCCCCATTGCTTGTTTTTATCAGATTTGTCAAAGACCAGATGGTTGTAGACATGTGGCATTACTTCTGAGGCCTCTGTTCTGTTCCATTGGTCTATATATCTGTTTTGGTACCAGTATCATGCTATTTTGGTTACTGTATCCTTGTATTATAGTTTGAAGTCAGGTAGTGTAAACACTCCAGTTTTTTTCTTTTTGCTTAGGATTGTTCTGGCTATATATGGTTCCTGACCCTCATGTCTCCTGACTGGGAGACACCTCCCAGCACAGGTTGACAGACATCTCATACAAGAGAGCTCTGGCTGGCATCTGGCAAGTGCTCATCTGGGAAGAAGCTTCCAGAGGAAAGAACAGGCAGCAAACTTTGCTGTTCTGCAGCCTCCACTGGTGATACCCAGGCAAAAAGTGTCTGGAGTGGACCTCCAGCAAACTCCAGCAGACCTGCAGCACAGGGGCCTATTAGAAGGAAAACTAACAGAAATGAATAGGTTCAACACCAACAAAAAGGATGTACACCCAAAACCCCATCTGAATTTCACCATCATCAAAGACCAATGGTAGATAAATCCACAAAGATGAGGAATAAACAGCACATAAAGGCTGAAAATTCCAAAAACCAGAATGCTGCTTCTCCTCCAAAGGATCATAACTCCTCACCAGCAAGGTCACAAAACGGGATGGATAATGAGTTTAACAAACTGACAGAAGTAGGCTTCATAAGGTGGGGAATAGCAAACTCTTCTGACCTAAAGGAGCATGTTCTAACTCAATGCAAGGAAGCTAAGAATCTTGAAAAAAGAGTAGATGAATTTTTAACTAGAATAGTCAGTTTAGAGAAGAACATGAGTGACCAGATGGAGCTGAAAACACAGCAGGAGAACTTCATGAAGCATACACAAGTATCAATAGTGGAATCAATCAAGGGGAAGAAAAGATATAAGAGATTGAAGATCAAATTAATGAAATAAAGGATGAAGACAATATTAGAGAAAAAAGAATAAAAAGGAATGAACAAAGCCTCCAAGAAGTATGGGACTATGTGAAAAGACCAAACCTATGTTTGATTGATGTACCTGAATGTGACAGGGACAATGGAACCAAGTTGGAAAACACTCTTTGGTATATCAGCCAGAAGAATTTCCCCAGCCTAGCAAGACAGGCCAATATTCAAATTCAGGAAATACAGAGAACACCACAAAGATATTCCTTGAGAAGAGCAACCCCAAGACACATAATCATCAGATTCACCAAGGTTGAAATGAAGAAAATAATGTTAAGGGCAGCCAGAGAGAAAGGTTGGGTTACCCACAAAGGGAAGCCCATCAGATTAATGGAACATCTATCTGCAGAAATCCTACAAGCCAGAAGAGAGTGGGGGCCAATATTCAGCATTCTTACAGAAAAGCATTTTCAATCCAGAATTTCATATCCAGACAAAACAAGAGGCTAAGCAAAGGAGAAATAAAATTCTTTACAGACAAGCAAATGCTGAGAGATTTTGTCACCACCAGGCCTAACTTACAATAGTTCATGAAGGAAGTGTTAAATATAGAATGGAAGAACTGGTACCAGCCACTGCAAAAACATACAAAATTGTAAAGACCATCAACACTATGAAGAAACTGCAACAACTAATGGGCAAAATAACCAACTAGCATGATAGTGACAGGGTCAAGTTCACACATAACAATATTAACCTTAAATGTAAACGGGCTAAATGCCCCAGTTAAAAGACACAGACTGGCAAATTGTATAAAGAGTCATGACCCATCAGTGTGCTGTATTCAAGAGACCCATCTCACGTGCAAAGACACACATAGGCTCAAAATAAAGGGATGGAGGAATATTTACCAAGTAAATGGAAAGCAAAAAAAAAAAAAAAAAAAAGGTGTGTTTTAATTTCAATAGCTTTAGAGCTGCAAGTGGCTTTTGATTACATGGCTGAATCATATAGTGATGAAGTCAGGGATTTTAGCTGACCTGTCACCAGAATAGTGTACAATGTACTCAGTAGGTAGGTTTCATTCCTCACCCTCCTCCTAGCCTCCCCTTTCTGAGTCTCCAGTGTCCAGTGTCCACTGTGTTTGCCTCTGCATCTTCATACCTCAATTTCCATTCACAAGTGAGAACGTGCAGTATCTGGTTTTCAACTCCTAAGTTATTTCACTTAGAATAGAGGCCTCCAGTTACATGAAAGTTGTTTAGAAAGACATTATTTCATTCTATCTTATGGCTGAGTAGTTGGAATGAGTGTATTTTGTGTTGTATATGGACATCAATTTTGAATAGGCAGCAGTGAAAAGTTATGATCTGAATTATAACCCTTACAAACACACACACACACACACACACACACACACACACACTTCATATGTTGAAGCCCCAACTCCCTATGTGACTATATTTGGATTTAGGAATTTTCAGAGAAAATTCAGGTTAAATAAGATGATATCCATGGGGTCCCAATTCTATAGTACTACTTACCATATAAGAGGAGAAAGAGAGAGATATCCCTTGTTTTTTTCCAACCATGTGAGGCCACTTTGAGAAGCTGGATGTCTATACGCAAAGAAGGAAACCCTCCCAGAAACAGAAACTTGTGAGAGGAAAAATTGTTCATAATTGTGGAAGGAACCTTCTTGGACCTTCATCATGGACTTCCCAGCCCCTAGAACTGTGAATAATTAAATTTCTTTTATATAATTGTGAAAGGAAAATATTTTCTTTCCCCAAAATCACTAAGCTAAAGGGAAAAGTAAAGCTGGCAACTGCTTAGGGCCAAGCTGCCTCCCATTCTATTAAAAGTCAACCCTCTACTCACTGAGATAAATGCACATCTGATTGCCTCCTTTGGAGAGGCTAATCACAAACTTAAAAGAATGCAAATATTTTTCTCTTATCTACCCATTACCTGGAAGCCCCCTCCCCACTTCAAGTTGTCCTACCATTCCAGATGGAACCAATGTTCATCTTACATATGTTGATCAATGTCTCATGTCTACCTAAAATGTATACAACCAAACTGCTCTGACCACCTTGGACACATGTCATGAGGACGTCCTGAGGCTGTGTCACTGGCACACGTCTTCAACCTTGGAAAAATAAATTTTCAAAATTAACTGAGAACTGTCTCAGATTTTGGGGGCTCACGTAATGCATCATTTTATTTTGCTATGGCAATCTCAGCACAGTTTCAACCCTTCTTGGTCTTCCGTCGTCTGGAAATCTCTGTTTTCTTTCAGAAACTTGAGTAATTTTCTTAGTAAGGTATAAATTTAGTATTGTTTAGGTCCCAAGCTCTTCTGCTATGACTGACATACAAAATAATAATGGAGAAATATTTAAAATAGAATCTTATTATCCCCGTATGAGATGCCAGTTGACAACAGAGAAGGGTTCCCTGGGTTGGACTCATGTAGTTGAATATAAAATTATCTATTTGTTTGATCTAGGGAATTTCTCCTTTCCATATGGTTCTAAATATTCACCACACCACATTCTCATTCCAAGGAGGAGGAGAAAGTGAGTTCACCTCCCACTGGGTAAAACTAAGCAGACCTCATTCTGTCCAGCATAGTAAAAGACAACATTTTGGATCTTCTTCTATGAGAGTGAGAGAATAAATATTTGAGTGCAACAGAAAATTTCTTCCACTTTTTGTATAATTGCACAATGATTTTGAATCTAACAAGTAAAGATATGTTTAACTGCTTCCATGAATAATAGCTTAATTGTATTTTTTCAACTTTTATTGTAAGTTCTGGGGCACATGTCCAAGATGTGCAGGTTTGTTATACAGGTAAACATGTGCCATGGTGACTCGCTGCACAGAACAACCCTTTACCGAGGTATTAAGCCCAGAATCAATTAGCTTTTCTTCCTGATGCTGACCTTCCTCCTACCCCTCACTCTGGGATAGGCCCCAGTGTGTTTTGCTCCCTCCCATGTGTCCATGTTTTCTGATGATTTAGCTCCCACTTATAAGTGAGAATATGTGGTGTCTGGTTTTTAATGCCTGCATTAGTTCGCTGAGGATAATGGACTTCAGCTCCATCAATGTCCCTGCAAAGGACATAATCTAATTCCTTTTGATGGCTGCTTAGTATTCCACAGTGTATATATGTCACATTTTCTTTATCCAGGCTATCATTGATGAGCATTTGGATTGATTCCATGTATTTGCTATTGTAAACAGTGCTTCAGTGAACATATGTGTATATGTATCTTTATAATAAGATGATTTCTATTCCTTTCATATGTACTCAGTAATGGGGTGTCCAAAAATGAACACTTTTACATTGGTGGTGGAGATGTCTTGAACTAATTTACTCCACTACCAACAGTGTAAAAGTGTTCATTTTTCTCTGCTTAATTGGTTTTAATAGTGTTGGCTGTTAATTTTTGTTCCTCAACTAATTTAAAAGATGATTCCAGAGATTCTTAGCTTCCAGTATTGCCCTTCCTAACACTGATTTCTCTGTGTGGGTGTCTTTGTGTGTGTGTGTGTATGTGTGTGTGTGTGTGTGTGTAACACCTATCCTGTAATTAACTTCTTTAAAGGTTTCTCTGTTAGAATTTGTTAGTGTAAGTGTATGGAAGTGGGGGTGGTGGGAGAGAGAGAGACAGGTGTCTGCACTCAATCTCTTTTTATTTTTTTGAAAAGTCAATGACTTTTTAGGGTCAGGAATCTCTTCCTCTTATACATCTTTGGCTATGTTCCTTTCCAACAGTTTATTCTCCTTTTTCAGGAATATTTATAATTTATAAGTCATTGCGAGTTTGGTTTTCCCTGCCTTTGTTGTTTTCAATTTGTTTTCTTGTTCATAGCATATATATTTTTTCCTTATGGTAATCCCTGCTTTTAATCTTCTAGAAAAATTTAGTTTACTGTGATGCCTATTTTCTTGTATTTGCATACCACTGTAGATACTTTTTTATTTAGGACATTGTATTTAAAAATTGCATTCCCCAAACACAACTTTGAAAAAATATTAATTATATCTTTAAGATTTGTGTACATTTTATTAATTCTGAATCAGTGGGAAGCTGACACTCTGAAGCTGATTTCCTTCTTTAAGCTAGAGCTCACTATTAAATAACTTTATTTCCCTTTACTTCATATGGCCAGTAGGTGCAGACCTTATTCACTACATTCTTTATTAAAACTCTTGCTATTTTTTAGGATCTGCGCATTTTGCCCCAGAATCTATAAGCAACCTCAGTCATGAATTAGGTAAAAGACAGAGATCTTGGCTATATCTTTATTTCCTGAAAATGACTACTTTATTTTTAAAATCTATTTAACATGAATTCATCATGGATTGAACTATGAATACAAGGTGAAGGAAACATATTGAACTGTCAAGTTCAGTGTGAGTTTTCTAGTATTGTGGATACAGTTGAATATATACTTAAACAGGATAATGCATTTAATGGTTTCATATCTATTGAAGTATCTAATGTTTGTAACTTTGCTTCCTAAATCCATACACAGAACTTTGTAAATCAATCTTGAAACATGTGATTTTGAAATACAAATAACTTTTTTCTAAAAATATATTTAAAAACTTATATCTACTATAATAAATTGTCATCACTCGTAAGTCTAATAGAAAAGCCACAATTTCCATCGAGAAATATTAATCCCCATTGAGATTTCACTATTTGCAGAGGGAATCAACAGCTTTTATTGTGATTTCTATTTAAACTGAAGGACCCACACATTTAATATAAGATTGTCCTTTTTGGTGTTTGCAAAGAGGAGCTGATAAGGGCTCCCTTGCATGTGAAATACAGATGAATGCCTTTAATCCTCTATGCTCAGAAAATCAAATGCATTACTACCAAGAATAGGCCAGAGACTCTGCATAGTTGCTACTTGAGAGATTAAATGAACAAATGCCAAAATAACTACTTTCAATAACATAGAGGTTGAAAATATTTACACATAGATGGAAGAAATAATGCACGATTCCAGAGTAAAGGATCAGAACTGATCATTGACATAAATACTTTGTCTTTTTCATATAAGTATTATAAAACTACTTAAACAGAGAAATCTCCACTGGAGAGACTTGAATGATAAAATGTTTTACTGTAGAGGGCCAAATGCTCTTGCAATATTTAACATTCCAAAAAGTTTGATGACTTGATCATTTCTAAGAATGCTCTAACAGTCACAGCTTCTGCCCTGAGTTTCAACAGAATATACCAGTGTTTGTAATAAGCTACTAAGTATCTCTGATGGAAGGATATTTACTCTTTCTCTTTTTGTATTGGATCAATAACCAGTGGATATTGTTTACAAAATATGGCCAGGCAAATTATTTGATAACTATTGGTAAGCTTATAATTCAGTCTTCAATGGGAAAGTAAAAATTATAGTTAATATTGCCCTAGTCTGAAATGTAAATATGCCATGTTTTCATTTGTAATTCACATCCAAAGAGAGTAATACAAACAGAATAAAACAACAATGACAAATCAACAAAACAGGACTGAGTGGGAATTTGGAAATGAGTACAGAATTCATGCTGTCCAAAAATTTAGGACTAAACACTGGTAGAGGTGGATCATCATTAACACAGAACAGTACCCCAGAATAAAATTGTAAAAGATGTACCCAAAAGAAGCCTTAAAACTTTCTAGAAATGAAGAATAACATAGGTGCTAGAATCTTTCTAACCTTAAGTGTTTCCAGTACTTTATTAGAAATTATAGCACTTAGTCCAAAAATTATTGTAGAAATCATCTTAGATTTCTAAATGTTTGTTAAAGAGCTGGGCATAAAATATGAACTCAATAAATGGAGATTTCAAATGAAATGTACATAGTTCATTCCTATTCAGCAATGGTTTGAATTAACCCACATATCAGAATTGCCTCATATTCTAAGAGGAAGAGAATTTGAGTAATAAAGTATGTGTCCCTTATTTCTTAATATGACTATGATTTTACTGTATGTGTCTTGAGAAATTCATAAAACAATGAGATTATTTATGCTGAAAAGGGCAGATGCCCAGCAGATGCTCCAGCAGAACTTTGACTCTCACCATTGTTAGAAGAGTAGTGAGCAAGGTGCCATTTTTCCGAATGATTTTTCTTTTGGGAACCACCAATATTAACTGAGAACACTTCTTGGAAATCATGTTCTGATACCCTATTTAGTGATGAATTTCTTATAGGTATTATACGTGTCGCATATGTGTGTGTGTGTGTGTTTTGAACTCAAAATATCTGAAACAGTTTTCAGTCATTTTAGAAAGTTTACTTTGCCAAGGTTATGGATATGTCTGTGACACAGTCTCAGGAGGTCTCAATGACATGAGCCCAAGATGGTCAGGACACAGCTTGGCTTTGTGCATTTTAGGAAGACATAAGACATCAATCAATACATGCAATATATACATTGGTTTAATCTGGAAGGTGGGATAACTAGAAGCAAGAATCTCCAGGTCATATACAGATTTAGAAATTTTCTGATTGGCAATTGGTTGAAAGAGCTATTATCAGTAGAAAGGAGTATCTGCGTTAGGATAAGGGGTTGTGGAGATTGAAGTTTTATCATTCATGAAGCCTCCAGGGGGCCAGCTTCAGAGAAAATAGATTATAAATGTTTCTTATCATACTTAAGTCTGTGTGGATGATAATGCTGGAGGGGTATCATGAGGCATGTCCAATCCCCTCTTCCATCATGGCCTGAACTAGTTTTTCATGTTAACTCTGGAATGCCCTTAGCCAAGAGGAGGAATCCATTCAGATGGTTGAAGAGGCCTTTAAATTTTAATTTTGCTCTATCATATATATACATATACATACATATAAAAATATACATTTATAGATTATATATTTTAGTATATATACATACACATATAATTTTAATATTTATATATTTATAGAAGTTATATTTTATATAAAACATATCTATAGTCAATGTATAAATATATATTAAATGTAATATTTACACATAAAATATATACAAATATAAATGTCATATATTTATATATAGTAAAATATGTAAGAATATATATTTATATTGTACTATATAAAGTAAAATATATATCTTTTATATGTTTATGTGATATAAGACATATATAGTAAATATATGTATTTTAAAATATATGATAAAATATATAGATATATATTTAAAGCTGTTATATGTAAATATATTTTTACACAAAAATATAAATATACTTTATGTATATTTATATTGTTACATATGTTTATATGTTATAAATTATTTATATGTTTAATATATAATAACTATATATTTTTATGTTATATATAAAATATAACATAAATATAACATCTATCTATATATTTATGTTTTATTTATATATTTGAAATTACATATAACATATATAACTTCATATATAAAATATCAGTATAGACCATATATCAGTATATACAATACATAAATACATAGTCTCTATAATATATACATAGAAATGATGTTTTCAGTCTTAAAACTTATTTGATGGTTCCAAGGAAAATTGTAACTTCATATTTTCCACCTAAAAATTTTATATTGACATTTTAACTAAGACGAACTTCATTCATAGTAAACAGTGAAAAGGAGGGAAAAAAAGGGATTTGGTTCATAAAATTTATTATTAATCTATTCTAACATTTTTGGAGTTTCTAAACTATTTGGGAATTGCTCAAGTGCTATCATGTTTCTTTTCAGTATGTCAGTGATTATTAAGTCACTTCATTCTTTCCAGCTATAGGATATTGTGGGGGGATTGTCTTCAGTGGTATAAGGACTGTTATGTACAAAAAACTGACATGACTCTTGGTTGGATAGCATTTAATATAAATGTCGTGGCTGACATGTTGGTTTTGATAGTCATCAAAACTGGTGCACCTGATGCACCAGTTTATTCTCTGATCTTCTATTGCTTTGATAATCTTAATAAACAACAACAGAGCCACGTAAGTGCCTTAACTTTGCCTGGATATCATGTTTCATAGGAACGTCCTGGAAAATGTCCCCATGAGAATGATTTCCATTCTTTGTATTTTATGTGTATGGTGATTATACCCCTGGGAACATTTCACGTGTCTACTTCCAATGGGAATGATGTGGGAGTACATTCCATTCCCACAGTTGTGTTTGCATGCTATCTTTTTTCTTCAAATTTTTCATTTATTCATGGATTTATCTTCAAGATTTAAGTCCAACTGCTTAAGTAAAGTGGACAACTTAAAAGCCTGGTGCAAATTTGTGAATAATCATCATACTTCAGAGACTGACAATTTTTGTAAAGTAGGAGGCACTTTTAACTATACCTAGCTTTTAATCAGAATTCAACAGATACGTAATAGCTTTATAACTGATATTTTTATTTTTATATTGGAGGCATCAGATAAGTAGATAGGAAACGGTTTAACTCATCATAAAATCAACCCAGGCAGTCAATAAACATTTGAAAGTGACTCCTTGTTTTAACTAAGCATGAGGAGGAGTCTGTGGAAACATACACACACACACAAGTCCACATAATTTTGGTGAATGTAGGAAGAAATAGGTTAACTTCAATATCCCTTTGGTATTTTATTAAGCTTGCAATATATTTGGATATTTCTACAGATCTAAGAAAATTTGTAAAATGCATACACTTGCCTCTTCTACTTTTCTTTTTTTCTTTTTCTTCTTTTTTTCTGAGACAGAGTCTCGTTCTGTTGCCCAGGTTGGAGTGCAGTGGCGCCATCTCGGCTCACTGCAAGCTGTGCCTCCTGGGTTCACGCCATTCTCCTGCCTCAGCCTCCCGAGTAGCTGGGACTACAGGTGCCCTCCACCACGCTCGGCTAATTTTTTTGTATTTTTAATAGAGACGGGGTTTCACCTTGTTAACCAGGATGGTTTCAATCTCCTGACCTCATAATCCACCTGCCTCTGCTTCCCAAAGTGCTGGGATTACAGGCGTGAGCCACCGCGCCCAGCCTTCTCTTCTACTTTTCCATTTCCAGGATTACAATGAAGTCTTCACTTAAAATTTTAAACAGTTTCCTGGAAACTGAGACTTTAAGCTAAAGGATGTATAAAGAAAACAATTCTGGCCGGCCATGGTGGCTCAAGCTGTAATCCCAGAACTTTGGAAGACCAAGCCCAGGAGTTTGAGAGACCAACCTGAGCAACAAAGTGAGACCTCATCTCTACAAAAAACATTTAAAAACTACATGGTATGGTGGTGCTTGCCTCTAATCCCAGCCAATTGGAATGCTGAGGTGGGAAGATAGCTTGAGCTCAGGAGGTAGAGGCTGCAGTCAGTGACCTGTGATTATACCATTGAACCACAGTCTGGGCAACAGAACAAGACCCTCTCCCCCTGACCCAAAAAAAACAGAAATCAATTTTTATCTTAGGGACAAGAGTTAAGTTCCTAAGGTGTATCTCTGCTCCCAGAAACATCACCGAAATTCTAAATAATATACTATACATTTTTTTTTTCTTTTAAGACAGAGTCTTTTTTGCTCTGTTGCCCAGGCTGGAGTGCAGTGGTGCAGTGATCTTAGCTCACTGCAACCTTTGCCTCCATGGTTCAAGCGGTTCTACTGCCTCAGCC